>NC_000011.10:120202727-120505757 GCF_000001405.40 Homo sapiens | reverse complement strand
GTCTATATGTGTATACATATTTCTGTATATATGTACTTCATAGATACATATATCTCTCATCATATGTGTAACTCAGCATCATGCAATAGAGCAATAATTTATTGTACAGCTTCTGTCTGCCAGGTACAGCATAGTATTAGACACTATAGGGTACAGAAAGAAAAACTGGCCATGGTTTCTACTGTCAAAAAGAATACAGACTCATGCATTTAATTTTCCCTCCTAAAGGAAAACCTTTAAATTTTATCTCAGAGCAATGCTTAGGAATTTGGGCTCTCTTAAGGAATTCAGAATAGCAAAAGGTATAAGATTCTATTCACCCAGGAGGGACTTCTTACTCTTCGTAGCTCAGTAAGGGATAGGTTACTTTCAAGAGGGGTATTATATAGGAGGCTATGCCCAAGTGTGAAATACTAGAAGAGATACCTTACCAGTGAGCTGCAATTATAACAAAGGTTTCCTTTATAACAACAGTTAACATACACTCATTTCCATCTTGTTCTTCCAGATTCCAGGCAAAAATCTTCATTTTAAAACAATTCAGTTATCTTAATTCGGAAAAGACAAAAGGGAAATGTAGTAGCTATCTTCAAATACTTAAGATCTTTCTTACGTTGCTCCACAACCAGGACCAGTGGATAGAAGTTACAGAGAGGCGGCCGGGCACGGTGGCTCATGCCTGTAATCCCAGCACTTTGGGAGACCGAGGCGGGTAGATTACCTGAGATCAAGAGTTCGAGACCAGCCTGGCCAATATGGTGAAACCCCATCTTTACTAAAAATACAAAAATTAGCCGGGCATGGTAGCACGCACCTGTAATCCCAGCTACTCGGGAGGCTGAGGCAGGAGAATTGCTTGAGCCCGGGAGGCAGAGGTTGCAGTGAGCCAAGATCGTGCCCTGCACTCCAGCCTGGCCGATAGAGCGAGACTCTGTCTCAAAAAAAAAGAAGTTACAGAGAGGCCACTTTTAGCTCAAATAAGAAAGAATTTATGAGTTGCCTCAGGAGATAATGAGCTCCCCAGCCCTGGAAGTATACAAGCAGATGGATGGCCATCTGCCAGGGCTGCCCTAGAGGGTATTCCAGCAGTAGATTAGGAGGTTGAATGAGGTAACTTCCATCTGTAAATTCTTGGATTCTCTCAGTCTGTCTTCTTGGCCCAAGGCTAAAAGGAAATTTGGATCTTTGGAGAAATGTAACACTTATTGTTGAAAGTAAAAACTTGCCTTATGTTTTTGGACCTTTTTCTTTAGATGTATGGGTGCTTTTCTTTAAATGCAGCGAAGATACTTAATACCAGAAAAGGCAATAATTACTTAAGTGCTCTATTGACAAAAGTAATATTATTGACACACTGAAGTGTTACTAGGTAAATAGCATTAATGGCCTTTTTTAAAAAGGATACATTTACATGAGAGGAAGACAGTTCCAAAATAAAACCAATCTGAATAGATGAACATCATGTTTGTTTTTTAAAATGACTTCTTGTAACACACACATGCATATACTTTCAGGAATGAAAACAGTAAGTAGAGTAAAAATGAAAACGTGTCTCTATATATTGCTTTATGCTTCCATGTCAGACTGCACCTCCTGCCAGAGGAAGGATGGTTTTCTTCAAGCATTTTCCAGCATTAAGCATTTGGGTAAACTTCAGCACACACGGCAGGGTGCGGTGGCTCACGCTGTAATCTCAGCACTTTGGGAGGCTGAGGCGGGCAGATCACATGAGGTCAGGAGTTCGAGACCAGCCTGACTGACCAACATGGTGAAACTGTGTCTCTACTAAAAATACAAAAAGTACCCGGGCGTCGTGGCGGGTGCCTGTAATCCCAGCTACTCAGGAGGCTGAGGCAGGAGAATCACTTGAACCCGGGAGGCAGAGGTTGTAGTGAGCTGAGATTGCGCCACTGCACTCCAGCCTGGTGACAGAGCTAGACTCCGTCTCAAAAAAAAAAAATCCAGCACACACAATAATACCTTGTTCTTCTGAATACAAACTGACTCCAAGCTACCCTCCCCCTCCACCCTTCTGAGGGAGTACACTGCTTTTAAAATGCTAATTAATTAGGCCCCCTGTTGAGGTGTATGGTTGACTTAAAAATTTGGCTGGGAAAGAGGAATAGAGAAATTAAACTGAAAAACAAAAGTTGAAGAGGTAGACCCAGCTGAAAATACCTATATACAAATACCTATACAGTTAATAACCAAGTAAGTCTTATCTCTCCCAACCCCAAAGACAAGATTTTTATTTTTGGTAGCGATAGAAGGGTCTGTTTTATGGTGTAGTTGGCTAAAGAAGTGGGTGGGGGAAGGGAGAAAAGGTTTATTAAATACTGGAGGCTACTCCCAGGACTGTGTTTTCAACCATCAGTTGAAGGTAGTGAACAATTACTCCGTGGCTCCTAGGTGGCAGGCACTGTCCTCGATTTTTGCTGGTGTGGTTCCATTCCCCAAGAACCAGCTCACTCCAGTGAGACCTACACAGGCAACATTCCCCTGTGCACTCCCTTAGTGGCGGTCCCCACTAATTCCAGTCCTCAGCTCAACACTGTTGCCTCTGCACCTTACTCATTAACAACATAATCAATCCGAATGCACAAGTAAATGCATTTGGATACATATCTTATTATTTATTTTTTTTTTTTTTCAGATGGAGTCTCGCTCTGTCACCCAGGCTGGAGGGCAGTGGCATGATCTTGACTCACTGCAACCTCTGCCTACTGGGTTCAAGCAATTCTCCTGCCTCAACCTCCCCAGTAGCTGGGATTACAGGCAGCCGCCACCACACCCAGCTAATTTTTATATTTTTAGTAGGGATGGGGTTTCGCCATGTTGGCCTGGCTGATCTCGAACTCCTGACCTCAAGCGATCCACCTGCCTCGGCCTCCCAAAAGGCTGGGATTACAGGAGTGAGCCACTGCACCCGGCCCTGGACGTAGAGCTTATATATAAATTTGAACTAATGAGTAGTAAGCATTCTGAGGATAAATGTGCAAAGCACATCATGGTTTACAAAGTGCTTTCACAGCCATCATCATATTTCTCATTTCAACCCTGAGTTGTGTTATCCTCGTTTCAAAGATAAGAAAATTTGTATTTATTTTTAATATTATTTGTTTGTTTTGAGACAGGGTCTCACTCTGCTGCCCAGGCTGGAGTGCAGCGGTAGTATCATAGCTCACTGCAGCCTTCAACTCCTAGGCTTAAGCAATCCTCCTGCCTCAGCCTCCCATGTAGCTTGGATCACATGGGTGTGCCACCACACCCAGGTAATTTTTTGATTTTTTGTAAAGATGAGAGTCTCACTTTCTAGCCCAGTCTGGTCTCAAACTCCTAGGCTCAAGTGATCTGCCTGCCTCAACCTCCCAAAGTGCTGGGATTACATGTATAAGCCACCATGCCTGGCTGAAAATAGCTATTTAGTAGTAAATTATGAGCCTTTAAGTTGTATTTTCTGATTTGAAATCAAAATATTCCCCTTCCACTAGTTATATTTTAACAACCCCACCACCATCCTGATATAAAGAATCCGAGGTACAAAGTGATTCACCAAACCAAGCTGTGCCACTGAAATGAGCTAAAATCTACATTCCTGCTCCGTAAGGTTCCGGGCTCTTTTCTTGTAACTGAGCCAAGTCACCAGCTTTGCCTTGGGCCAGATGAAAAGATCAAAACATTCTTTGTAGAATGGAAAACATAGGTGAAATCAAAACAGCTGGAAAATTCAACCTATCACTTGAAATTTCAAGAGTAAAAATTAAGGTAAAAAAAATCAATCTTACTTTTAAAGTAAGTTCAACTGTATCTTTCTCTCTCTTATTCTGCGCCTTGTTTTATACATGTGCCTTGTTTCAGATGTGTCTCTCCCAGGGGCAGGGTCCAATTGTTTATCATTTTAAAATACAATATTTGGAAAACATTCCCCAGGATAACATACACCGTCCATTATACAGGTTTTAGTCACTAGGGCTGAAACTAAGCATCTAGACTCTGAGTCCAGACAGAACTGTGCTATTCTTTGTTTAACAGAGCACATGGTTGACATTTAATAAATGTTAGATAATAAAAATAGAAGCAGTACTTCAACATAACAATATCTGGAGAATCTCATTAAGCACAAAGTAAGGTAAACAAACCACCATCACACATCTGGATTTGCATATAAAAGCACGTTCTCCTTCCATTATAAAAGACAGGGACCTGCTGGACAGCATGTTTCACCCAACACCATGGTAAGAGAAGGGAAAAAAAGGTTATTTTGTTCAGCTCTCTTCCCTAATTATACCTTAGATCTGAGTAAAGAAAATATAGCACACATGATCAGAAATAATTTATCACTAAATAAATAGCAATGGAGTAGGGGGTTAATCACATTATCAATAACATGGTGAGCAGAAATGGACAGATGGGAGCACCAAATTATTGACAACAGCATGAAACAGAAAAGGAAATTCAAAGCCAGAGGAGATGAGTCAAGAAATTAAACTTGGTTTCCATGTTAATTCAAAATTGTTTGGGAGCTGAAGGAAGAGGGAAGCAATGACAACTCCAGCAGAGAAACTGCTCATTAATATCCTAGCAAAACAATCCTCTGATAATAGGAAATATTATGATGTCTCCAGAGAAAAGAGAGAAATTCAGATTTACTCTCCCATGCATAGAGCTCATGGATGCTTTAACACAGTACATTCAACCAAGCTGAATAAATATCAACAAGAAGGTTAAAACATTGATTAGGGGAAATACTTCACATTACTGACATCCGAAAACAAACAAACCAGCTAAAAACAAAGCAGGCGGGGACGGGGGTGGGGGGGTGGGGGATGTAGGCTGTTTTATTCCTCTGGAAGTAATGCTGGTGATTTGTGGTTCCAGCTGCCCAGCAGGTGGCTTGAGGTAGGGATTGGGGAGTAGGAAGCAGAGGGAATGAGAGGTGGGAGGGAACATTTCCTTGGTGCAAAGCTATTGAATGCTGCTACTATTGGGTTTATTATGCTGTTTTATGAAGCGATACAAGAGATTACCCAAACATCTTCAGCTAACATCAAGACTGCACTGGACACCTAATAAAACAAGTAGCTTGGCCGGGCGCTGTGGCCCACGCCTGTAATTCCAGTACTTTGGGAAGCCGAGGTGGGTGGATCATTTGAGGTCAGGAGTTGGAGACCAGCCTGGCCAATATGGTGAAATCTGGCCTCTACTAAAAATACAAAAATCAGCCGGGGGTGGTGGCAGGCGCCTGTAGTCTCAGCTGCTCGGAAGGCTGAGGCAAGAGAATCACTTTAAACTGGGAGGCGGAGGTTGCAGGAGCCGAAATCGCACCACTGCACTCCAGCCTGGGCGACAGAGCGAGACTCTGTCTCAAAAAAAAAAAAACCAAGAAACAAAAAACAAATGGCTTGTAAAAAATTGCCAAATCTTCTAGATGATTGAATCTATATAAATCCTCTCCTGTCTAGCCTTTTGGTGTCATATCACTTCATAATACTTGTCTAATCTTAGCCAAAACAAGGATAAGAAGTTGGAGGTTACAGCAAGAATTTAGGAAGGGACTCCTCCTTATGTTCACATACTTAAAAAATGGTCTTTCTCTTTCTACCTTTAGTTACCAAAGAGCATGGGGGTGCTGGGAAAGGTCAGCCCAGCTGCCTGATGCTAAATAAAACTGCTCTCAACTCTCAGTATCACTGCATCTCTGAAGGTGGAGGGAAAACATGAAGCTTCCCTGGTGTCTTGCCGGCCATCGTGCAGTTAAGACCCCAAGGCGCCTCATCTCTTTTGCCACACTGTTCACAGACATCTTGAAGGGAAAAACGAAATTGCTGGCAAGTTGGCATAATGTCAACGCATCAGTAGATCCCACTGAGATTCTTTAAAGAAAAAAAAAAACCATACATTTTCACAGCTTATCCCAACTGTCCTTGCCGTATGTTCCTGTACGCGGTAGACTTTTTGGACTATGAGGAAATCAAAAAACAAAGTGTAGCAACTGGCCAGTTGTGGTGGCTCACACCTGTAATCCCAGCACTTTGGGAGGCTGAGGCTGGAGGATCGCTTGAGGTCAGGAGTTCAAGACTAGCTTGGTCAATATGGCGAAACCCCATCTCTACTAAAAATACAAAAATTAGCTGGATACGGTGGTGCATGCCTGTAATCCCAGCTACTTGGGAGGTTGAGGCAGGAGAATTGCTTGAACCCAGGAGGTGGAGGTCGCAGTGAGCTGAGATCTCACCACTGCGCTCCAGCCTGAGTGACAGAGCGAGACTCTGTTTCAAAAACAAACAACAGACAAACCAAAGTGTAGCAACTGACCTCTTATGAGGTATTTTATATTGTGAGGGGCAAGCAAGAAATAAAAGACTAATTATGACCGAATATAAAGTATTTACTAGCTGCTGGGCACGCCACGTGCATTGTTTCATTTTCGTCAATGCAACCCTGAGGAAGGTACTATTATTAACTCAGTTTTTGCAGATGCTGAAACTGACGCTTAACGAAATTCACTTGCCCAATGTCACGCAAGTCAGTAAGTGGCAAAGCCAGCACTTTCTGATGTCGAGAGACCATTCTTCCTACCCACTATGCCACATACACCAATTAGAAGTCTCAAAAAAATAGAATGGGTTATTGGGCAAAAAGATAAGTTCCCTAAGACAGAAGATGTTCACCCATCTCCAGTGTGAGTAGAGAAGGGACAAAGGCACTGAGTCACTCAGTATGAGGACACAGTAGGTGATCTCTGAGGTACTTTTTTTCTTCCACTTAAAAAATATATAATTCATATGCCATAAAATTCACCATTTTAAAGTGTACGACTCCGTGGTTTTTAGTATATTTGCAAGGTCATACAGCCATTGCCACTAATTCCAGAACATTTTTGCCACCGCCCCTGAAAAAATTCCAAATCTTTTCATTACCAAATATCCATGAACACCCTCCCCTCTCCCCAGTCCCTGGCAACCACTAATCTACTTTCTATTGGTTTTCCTATTCTACATATTTCATATAAAGGAATCATACAATATGTGGCCATACAATTGGGGACCGCCTTCTCCACCTAGCATAAAGTTTTCAAGATTCATTATGTCGCATGTTATCTGTACTTCATTCCTTTTTTAAGGGCAAAGAATATTCCCCTATATGAATATACCACATTTGGTTTCCCCAATCAGTTGACAGACTCTAAAGTACTTTCAATTCTGAGATTTTATGACACAGATTTTATGCACACAATTGTGGATTATGTCCTTAATCCAACTGAAACAACACGAATGACAACTTGATTTAGCTCTGGAACTGTATTTGCCACATCTTGCTAGACATCTGTAAGTTGAGACAACACTGCTACCTAAAACTCAACATGGCCAAAATTACACTGATTTTCCCCTCAAAGCCTATCTCTGCTCTATGCTTTCCCAGTTGTTAATCAATCTCTTTGGTTCACAGAAAGTCTTGTTTTTTAAACTCCTCCCTCTCCTTATGCTACATATTAACTTACATGCTAACATCTGTAATTTCTACCTCAACTACACCATTTTTCCCCTTTCTGTTCCTACTTTACCAAATGTAAGCCTCTTGTTCAGATATTATCACTCTGCTAGCCTTCCTGCCTCCCAACTCTCCTTTGCCTGCTTTATTCTACTTTAGCATAATTCAGCTGCTGAGTTAATCTCTTTAAATGTTTAGTTGTGTTCAAGTCATTCCCAAGATCAAACACCTTGAATGGAATGCAAACTTCTCAGAATTTCTGCCCCTTAGTCCAGTGTAGATAACTGCAATTTAGGGAGGGAGAAAAGCAGAAAATTAATATTCATGTACTTGTCACTACTAGGCTGTAAACACCTTTAAGTACAGAAACTATTTCTGCAGCCGGGTAAAAAAGACAAGCTTTGGTGGAAGACAGACCTTATCTTGAATCCTAGCTGTGCCACTGGGAACATCATAATCACTACTAGCTTCAGTTACCTGCTCTGTAAAAATGGAGAAAAACCACTTACCTTATGAGGTTTTTGTGAAGACAGGAGTCATGTATGTAGTGTACAGCACCTGACACATAGTTTGTACTCATTAAGTTGTAGCTAATATTTTTATTTTTTATTTTATTTTGATTGCTGGGCTGGAGTGCAGATCATGGCTCACTGCAACCTCCGCTTCCTGGGCTCAAGTGATCCTCCCACTTCAGCCTCCCAAGTAGCTGTGACTACAGGCGCACATCACCTCACCTAGCTAATTTTTCTATTGTTTGTAAGATGGTGTTTCACCATGTTGCCCAAGCTGGTCTTGAACTCTTGGGCTCAAGTGACAAGCGATCCACCCTCCTCAGCCTCCCAAAGTGCTAGGATTACAGGCATGAGCCACCATGTCTGGCCAGCCATTATTTATTTATTTATTTATTTATTTATTTATTTATTTATTTATTTATTTTCAGATGGAGTCTTGCTCTGTCGCCAGACTGGAGTGCAATGGTGCGATCTCGGCTCACTGCAACCTCTGCCTCCCGGGTCCAAGTGATTCCCCTGCCTCAGCCTCCCAAGTTGCTGGGACTACAGGCGCCTGCCACCACGCACAGCTAATTTTTTGTAGTTTAGTAGAAACGGGGTTTCACCCTGTTGGCCAGGATGGTCTCCATCTCCCAACCTCTTGATCCGCCCGCCTTGGCCTCCCAAAGTGCTGGGATTACAGGCGTGAGTCATCGCGCCCGGCCAGCTATTACTTTTAATACTCATCTTGGAAGTTTCCAAAGTACATTTCAGACTAAGGGAAAAGCAAAGGTGGAGTCCCGGCCTAGAATGTGAGGTGGGGAGACTTGGAGGAGCCTAAGCCTTACTGGGGAAGAGGGCTCACGATGGACAGTAGAGGGAAATGAAGCTGGCCAAATTATGATCATCTCTGAAACAAAGCGGAGTTTAATCGATACAGTAGTAACCATAGCCACTGCAGGTTCTTGGGCAGGCAAGTGGCACAATGAAAGGAATGTTTTGGAGCAAACCTGGCGGGTAGTCATGCATGACAGGCTGGAGAGCGGAGGAGGCAGCAATCTATGCAGGTGTTTTAGTTACATGGAGCTGTGCCGCAAGATAACCTGCTACAGTGGAAACAGAGCAAGGGGTAAATCAGAGACATTTTGAAAGAAAAAAAATCATAGGATCAAGTAACAAATACTGCAAACGAGCCTAACATCCACCTTCTTTTCCCTAAGGCCTATGATTCCTTTTTTTCCTTAAACCATCTTCAAACGCCCTGCTCTGCTGCAAAGCTTTCTGAAACAAAGCTGGGAATAAGTTAACCAATTAATCAACCAACTCTATAGTCACGGCCGCCAAGCTGTTCTGGCCCAAGATAGAAAGATTCCTGCATTTAATCTGCCTTGGTATGCCCAGCCTTAATTGCATGTCAGATCAGTACATCTTTGAAGAGAGAGGGAGAAAAGAGTTGAGAATGTAAGTTAATCATAACGCATGTTTAAAGATGCAGAACTGGCTGGGCGCCATGGCTCACGCCTGTAATCCCAACACTTTGGGAGGGCCCAGGCAGGCAGATAGCTTGAGGTCAGGAGTTCGAGACCAGCCTGGCCAACATGATGAAACCCAGTCTCTACTAAAAATATAAAAAATCAGCTGGGCATGGTGGCATGTGCCTGTAGTCCCAACTACTCAGGAGGCTTAGGCAGGAGAATTGCTTGAACCTGGGAGGCAGAGGTTGCAGTTAGCCAAGATTGTACCACTGCACTCTAGCCTGGGCAACAGAGTGAGACTCAGTCAGGAGAGGAGAGGAGAAGGGAGGGGAGGGGAGGGGAAAGGAAGGGAGGGAAGGAAACAGAACCTTCCTCAAACACTCCTATTAGAATGCCAATATCCCCACCAGAAGCAAACATTAGGCTCTGTAGGTATTGCAGGTAAATGTCACTGACTACTCAACCAGGATTTATCCCAAAGAGGACAATTTCCAAAAGAAAAAAAAAGAAACAGTAGAGAAGATTTGAGTCTTTTACTCTCAGTAGGTGGCAAGCCATAGAAACAGTTTTGTCTAATCTCCTTTCCTGTCACTTGAAGTGTTGGTTTGTAAATATTTGATTGCATGAAAGCATCCAAGTTATCTGGGACTTATTCTTGCTGGCTGGAACAGTTTCTCTGGTGGAGCATTTGCTTGCTATACAATCTGGTTAGCTTATATTCTGGGGACTCAACTTCTACAAAGTCTCCAAATTTCATAAGCCTTTCAGAACCGGCCATCACTCAGGACACGAGCTGAAGTGGAGATAAGACCTCCAGTCTCTCCTCAGCCAATGCTCAGCAAGTCTTCTCTGAACCAGGAAAGTCAGATTTTCTTCCACAAAAGCCTCCAAGTTGTTGTAAACTGGCAGTGAGACCGTGATGAAAGAAGAGATGAAACTGTTTTATCAGACTGCAGGTAACAGTAAACTAAAGTAAGCTGTCAAAGATACTTCAAAGAAGAACAGGAGAAAAAGAATTTTCCAGGGACAGATTTCAGTGGGTGACATTAAAATTACACTCTAGTTGGGTGCAGTGGCTCACACCTGTAATCCCAACACTTCAGGAGGCTGAGATGGGAAGATTGGCCTGGTGGCGTATGCCTGCAGTCCCAGCTACTGAGGAGGTTGAGGTGGGAAGATGGCTTGAGCCCAGGAGGTCGAGTCTGCAGTGAGCCGTGTTTGTGTCACTGAACTCTAGCCTCAGTGACAGAGCAAGACCCTGTCACAAAAATAAAATAAGCAAATAAAAGAACACTCTAATTGGGAGCAACACAGAAGGTCAGGAAAGGATAGAGCTTACCTGAGAATACCTAAGCAAGCCAGTGGGCAAGCTCTGTCTGTTTTCCTGTGCTATCAATTTAACATTCAGAGTTGAAGGGGCCTTGGAGAGAACTGACATCCAACTTCCTCAGTGTAAGATGAGAACACTGAGCCTCGATAAGTAAATGACTTGTTGTAGGTTAGATAACCAGCTGATATCAGCACAGAGACTAGAAGGAACTCAGTTTAGTTTGGTCTTGCTTCCCTGGTATGTACGGGCCCTCTCCCTATGCATAGGAGGGGAAGGCAGAGAGGAATCCCAGAAATCCTGTCATATGCTAGACTTTAGGCCATGATGTCTGGGGCTGTTTCTTCAGAAAAGGTTTCAAAGTGCTATTATGATTTGAATATGAAAATCACTTATGCTTTTCAGTGCAGGGGACGTGGTGATTGATGCATTTTTAGGAAGACAAAACACAAACTCTCACTAAATAACCACAATATAACTCAGATTTCCATTAAGACTTAAAAGAAAGTAAGCAGCTTATATATTTGAATACAGATGTTTCAAAACTACAAAGATCTAGCTTTAACTGGAAGATAACCCAAGTAGTATTAGCACATTGTATATGGGAGCTTGCAGCAAGATGAAAACCACTACAGGTGTACATAATCACTGAAAAGTTTCTGGAACATCTACCATTCCACTTCACCCCATTACAACAGTAGTCCCAAAACATCACAAGTCCAATACATAGGTTTCTCTAAAACCAAGGCTCTCACTAAAGCAAATGTAATCAAAAGGGTATTTTTTTCTTTCTTTACACTTAAAAGAACAATCAAGTTAAAGTGTATTATTACAGAGGTCAGCAACTTATTTTTTTTTAAATGGGGCTCGGTGCAGTGGCTCACGCCTGTAATTTCAGCATGTTGGGAAGCTGAGATGGGAGAATCGTTTGAGGACAGAAGTTCCAGACCAGCCTGGGTGACATAGTGAGACCCTGTCTCGAAAAAAAGTTTAAAAGTTAGCCAGGCATGGTGGCACGTGCCTGTATTCCCAGCTACTTGGGAGACAGAGGCAGGATTATTTCAGCCCAGAAGTGCAAGGCTGCGGTGAGCTATGACAGCACCACTGCACACCAGCCTGGGCGACAGAGAGAAACCCTGTCTCTAAAAAATAAAAAGAACACACATATACTCACCCCTAAGAGTCTAGGGTTTAGACACACCAAAACCATAATATTACAGGAAATATGGCTGTATTAGCAAGTGGGATACCTACATATTCTTGACTATTTTTCTCCTCTCCTGTTTTAGGTACTTCAGATCCTGAAATGGGGCCGGGCACGGTGGCTCACGCCTATAATCTCAGCACTTTGGGAAGCCAAGGCGGGCGGATCACGAGGTCAGGAAATCGAGAACATCCTGGCTAACGTGGTGAAACCCCGTCTCCACTAAAAATACAAAATATTAGTCGGGCTTGGTAGCGGGCGCCTGTAGTCCCAGCTACTCTGGAGGCTGAGGCAGGAGAATGGCGTGAATCGGGAGGCGGAGCTTGCAGTGAGCCGAGATCGCGCCACTGCACTCCAGCCTGGGCGACAGAGTGAGACTCCGTCTCAAAAAATAAAAAACACAACAAAAAAATCCTGAAATGGAAAATAAAAAACGAAAAATGTTGGGGAGATACCAGCCTCATGCCTAGTAATTTCTCATTTAATCCTCACAACTGTTAGGTTGGATATTATTTACTTCAATTTATAGATAAGAAAATGGAAACAGAGAAGGTAGCTCACTCAAGGCCACACAGCAAGTAAGTAGAAGAGTTGAAACCGAATCCAGATCATCTAAGTTCAGGTTCTTTTCACTACACCAACAGTTCTCAAAGTGTGGTCTGCAAACCTTTGGGGATGCCCAAGACTCCCAGGGAGTCAAAACTATTGTCATAGGCTGGGCGCGGTGGCTCATGCCTGTAATCCTGGCATTTGGAGGCTCAGGCAGGACGATGGCTTGAAGCCAGGAGTTGGGAGGCCAGCCTGAGCAACACAGTAAGACCCCATTTCTACAAAAAATAATCTTTAAAAAATTATCCGGGCACGGTGGCATGCACCTGTAGTCCCAGCTACTAAGGAGGGTGAGGCAGGGCGGCAGGATCCCTTGAGCCCAGGAGTTTGAGGCTGTAGTGAGCTATAACTGCACCACTGCACTTCAGCCTGGATGACAGAGCAAGAACAGAGACAGACTGCAAAAAAAAAAAAAAAAAAAAAAAAACAAAAAAAAACCCAAAAACAAAAAAAACCCAAACCCCAAAACTTTTCATAAAACTACTGAGACACCACGTACCTTTTCAGCATGTTGACAATTGCACTGATGGTGCAAAATCAATAGAGGGTGAAGCTGCTGGTGACTTGGCAGGAATCAAAGTTGTTGTACCAAATTTCATTAACACTGTATCTGTTACTGCTGCTGACTTGCAATAGACACTGCCAGTTGCACTTAAGAATGTCCTTGACGAAGCAGTAAATTTTAATAATTTTATGAAATCTCAACCCTTGAGTACACATCTTTTTAATATTTTGTGTGAGGAAAAAAAGGTAAGTATGCATCAAGCAACCCTGCCACATAACAAAGTACCATGGTTGTGGCTGAAGGAAAGGTACTAGCTACTTTTTTTTTTGAGATGGAGTCTCACTCTGTCACCAGGCTGGAGTGCAGTGGCGCGATCTTGGCTCACTGCAACCTCCACCTCCCGAGTTCAAGCAATTCCCCTGCCTCAGCCTCCTGAGTAGCTGGGACTACAGGCGCACGCCACCATGCTCGGCTAATTTTTTGTATTTTAGTAGAGATGGGGTTTCAACATGTTGGCCAGGATGGTCTTGATCTCCTGACCTCGTAATCGGCCCGCCTTGGCCTCCCAAAGTGCTGGGATTACAAGTGTGAGCCACCGTGCCCAACTTTTTTTTTTTTTTTAAATGGAGGAAGACCATTTTAACATGAAAGAATGACTGGTAAGCAATCGCCATTCAGACTTGAATATTTGGCAGGTATCTTCTCACTCAAAAATTAAAAAAAGTGAGGCTGTCATTTCAAGGAAAACTGTATTTGTTGCCAATGATAAAATTCAAGATTCCAAGGAAACATTAGAATTTTGTGAAATTTGCATTTACCATGGGACTTTTCTGATATCAGTTGTGATATTAACAAATGTGACTTGATATTTATATAAAGAAATGTGTCAATATTTGGAAGAACTGCATAATTCAGTAAACCAGTATTTTCCAAATGACCAATACAGGATATTACAAAATCATGCATGGGTAAAAGTTACCACTCTTCACATAAATAAAGTGTAAAACGGATCAGTGGATTTTTAGTTTAACAGAGTACAAAAACTTCCTTGATAGGATTTCAGATTCCACACTGCAGCTATCTTTGAAGGAACTATCACTTGCCAAATTTTGTACAGTATCAAAGAAGAATATCCATAATTATCTGAAAAGGCTATTCCAATATTTCTCCATTTAAAAATATGTATCCGTGTGAACCTGGATTTTCTTTATATACTTCAACATACCACAACAGGGCCGGACACAGTGGCTCACCTGAGGTCAGGAGTTCGAGACAAGCCTGGCCAACATGGCAAAACCCCATTTCATGCGGGAGGCAGGATAATCGCTTGAACCCCGGCAGTGGAGGTTGCACTGAGCTGAGATGGCACCACTGCACTCCAGCCTGGGTGACAGAGCAAGACTCCGTCTCAAAAAAAAAGAAAAAAAAATCACAAAAGATTGTGCAGAAGCATACATGAGAATCCAGCTGTATTCTATTATGCCAGACATTAAAGAGATCTCAAAAACTACATAAACCTCAATTTTTAATTGTGGAAAATAGTGATCTTTTCATAAAAATGTGATTTATGTTCACATGTATTTGGGTTTACTATTTTTAAATAAATTCATTTTCCTCATTTCTATTTTCTTTTAAATGTCTAATACAGTAACAATTGATAGCTATAATCCACATGAATACAAGCTTCTCCATGAAGTCTTTCATCATTTTTAAGAGTGTCCAGTGGTCCTGGCCAGGTGTGGTGGCTCATACTTGTAATCCCACCACTTTGGGAGGGTGAGGCTTGCTTGAGCCCAGGAGTTTGAAACCAGCCTGGGCAACATGGAGAAATGTCATCTCTACAAAAAATAAAAAAAAATTAGCCAGGCCTGGTGGTTCACACCTTTGATCCCAGATACTTGGGAGGCTGAGGAGGGAGGGTCACTTGAGTCTAGGAGGTTGAGGCGGCATGAGCCACGTTAGTGCCACTGCACTCCAGCCTGGGCGACAGAGCAAGACCCTGTCTCAAACAACAACAACAACAAGAACAACACACAAAAAAAGATATACATTTTTTAAAAAGTGGTCGTGAGATCAAAAAGATTGAAAAGTGTTGCATTATGTCATGCTATTTGCCTTTAATATTTAAAATAATGATAGCAGAAAAAAAGTCTTTGTACAGATGCCTCCCTGAAAGTTTTTAAAAGATTACCAAAATGTATCCTAATTAGTGTTTTTGATTAGCATGTGTTCAGGCAGCCACAACCCTCTGATCACACGTACAAAGAAAAAGATCCCTTAAAATAAAATGCCTTAAATTACAGGTCGGTCCAAAAGCACTCTAATCAATTGAGGGGGAAAATCTAGAAAGAGAGCTCTACATACCTTAAATGATCTCAAACCAAGGCCTCTGCTGATGCTAAGGGAATGATGATGTCTCACTAGTAAAAATAAGTGGCAAAACAAACATATTCCCTGACAGCTAAAGTTGAGGAAGTGTTTCCAATTAGTAACAAGAATTATCCTTGACATTATAGAGAAAATGGGAAACACCTACATCCAGCTACTTATCTCTCATGCTTTATGACATTTGTCATAAAACATCAAGGAGATAACGAGTTCAATTAAAAAGCAACTTTTTAATCAGGATAGATCCTCTTATATTTGAAGTTGGTAATAAACCTTTGGTAAACCAGTCATTTAGCTTGAAAGAGGGCAGTAAAAAATAGAAGTAACTGCTCACATGCAAATACAGAGTTTTATTGTCTCCATTCCTAGGAGGTGGCTATCAAAGAGCAAGTGGGAATGGTACAGGTATTTCTTTGTTCCACCAGATATGTATCTGTATCTGTATCTATATATATAGATATAGATATATGTTTGTAAACAAAGCCAGGCATACAAACAGGTTAATTTCCGCAAAGTACATTTGAATAGTCTTAATCTTTAAAATGTTTAACTAAAAGATGGTATAAACTACTAAGCATTTTATTACGCTTATTAGCTCCGTCAGCCAAATGTGCCCTTGAATGACTGAAAACTAAAATATTATCCCAAGAATAAGTCAAATTACAAGTATTTCAAAACCAAAATACAGCAAATGCCCAAAGTAAGCGAGCCTTCTGAGCTAAAATGCTGTTGGTAAAAGCACAGAAATGTTGGTATGTGAAGAAGCCCAGCACTGGGGACAGGAAAAATAGAGGCATATGCTTCATTTAGGGTAGGATTAAAACCAAAGTTATCTTCAGGTGCGTCATAAAAGCTGGCCTACCTCACTGAACTTTATACTTAAAAATAGTTACAATAGCAAATTTTGTTATATATATATTTCACCACAATTAAAAATCAATAATATACCAAAACCCATCTGATTATACACTTTAAATGGATGAATTATATGATATGTGAATATCTCAATAAAGCTATTAAAAAAACAACAAACCTGCCCCACATGCTAGGGCAAGCCCACCTGCCAGCACTGTCATGAAGGTTTAGCCTTGTTGCTAGGGATGCTCTAATAAGCAGGAAGATGTCTGACAGTCACTGACAGGAAAATTAATTACAGGCTCCTCGACTCCTCAACTTTTCTAATATAACTTGGACAAGACAAATCAACCAGAATACAAATAAAAAGTCACATGCTTGGTTCCTTTAAGCTTATTTAATATTTGAAATCTTATTTTCTATTTTCCCAGACCCCAGAAAACAGAAAGTTTTTAGATGACCAATATTTTGTTCCAGAAACATACAGCCTTATCAGCTAATTCATAAAAGAGCTATTTTACAAAGGTACATCTGGATAATTAGAACAATAAAGTCTTTTAGGCATTTCAAAATGTGATCAGTAAAAATACATGATTATTAATAAAGTTTTTTTAAAGATAGTTCCAGATATTTTTTAAAAGCAATTTCTGTTAAAGAGTACATGATTGTATGGTGAACAAGGAAAATAAAATGTTCTAGTAGGAAGAGGCTTATTAAAAATAACCAACAGTGTGCACATGACAGTTACCATTTTTGGAATATATCTGCTTAGCAGTTGGCACCTGGAAATGGTGGGGAAGGCTTCCTTCTAGGAGGTACTTTTTTTTCCTACCAATTTATTATCAAAACCCTCAATACCAGTGGGGAAGGCATAAGGAATAAGGCAAAAGGAACTCTTTTCTTGAGGAAAGAAAAATTTTGTAGATGACTCTGAAAAGTGGTGGAAATATCAGGAAAAAAATGACTTATAAAACAAAAATTGTAATATAAGGGGGAAAAACTAGCCATGAGGAAGCTGACTGTGAGGCCCTGCTAATTTTGTATTTTGAGGTCCTATGCACGCAGTTCTCAGTGGTGCCCTCTGTGACATATAGGGAAGGAAATACTGACCAAAGCTCTAGTAATTCAAAACCATATATCGACTTCAGAGAAGAAAGCTTCCACTTTGAAATATGGAAGCCCCACGTATTACACCAAATTTACTAACATCAAAGAGGAAAACAAAGATGCCAGTAAAAGACAATTCACAGGAAGCATAATTACTTTCTTTAGCTTCTAAAAATAATTTTTAAATGGACTTCTCTATTATCCCTCCTAACTCAAAATCAAATAAACAACAACAACAACAACTTTTTAAAAAGGGGATTCATCCTTCATTGGCAGTTGCTGTGGGAAAAAAGAAAGCCAAAAAGCTCATAAAATATACCTCCCATGAAATACAATACATAGTTACAATTTCGGTTCTAAAAGCCAATGTAATTCAAGCAGTCCAAGTTAGGTGATTTTAAAGTATGCAAAATATATAGCTTCGAAGGTGGTAATCATGATGTTAAATTACAGCACTTTGGGGGCTTGCTGATTTGCCTTGATTAACTGTTCTCTGAAAAGGAAGGAGACACTCTACATGTAATTTGCCACTTCATAGCAAAGGAACCATTAAGCCCACAGAAGAGAGCACAGTGTCACAGCAGGTCACTTCCATAGCTAAAATGCAGCCTGCTTGCTCTGGGAAGGTAGCTTTCTTTGTACACCACCCCTGTGCCCTTTAGCAGGGAAGTAGATTTCAACTTCTAGTCACGTCACTTAGAAAAAACTCCTCTGATGGTGACCAGTCTCACTCAAAGACAGACTGCATCTAATTCCATCATCCTGAAAGGAAGATGTCACAACCAAAGTCAAACGGATGTGACTATAATGGCCAAAATGAAATGGAACGTGTGGGAGGCCAAGTTGGGAGGGAAAAGAGAAGTTAGGTCGGTAAGATAAAAAGAACATTCAAAAATTGTGAGATATTTTCAGAATTAGACTTCATCTTGGGGCTTTGTTTGAAAATCTAGATATGAATTTATTTGGAAGTACTAGAGCTATGGTCAAAGTATTTTTCCAGTTAGTCCTGTTAGAGTTCCAAGGAGAAATTGAACTGCAGGGAAAGCAAATAATTACTAAGGACAAGACACTGGCTGAACTAGAGAAACTGAAATTTTGCTAACCTACAAGCTTCTTAATTGAGTGCTAGAGAATTACATAATTACCCTGTAGTGTGTGACGTTAAGAGCAAAGTTTTTATATTTACTTTTCTCCTGATTAATTGCCCTCGATGGTGTTAGTGTCAAGTGGCTACAGGTGTAACCCTTTTAATTGAGAATGACATTATTTCTAGCAGCACAATGTAACCATTTGGTTTTTACTTGTTCCTCCTAAGAGATACAGAAAGTTCCAAATCCCAAACTTCATTTATATATTAGCTTCTGCTTCTAAAATTTTTAATCCCATTCTGAGTTAGATTGTACTTGGCTTATGACTAAAAATATAATTTCAATTTATAGATGAGGTCTAAAGATCCAAGTTGATCCACCTAAAAACACAGATCAATTTAGGACAGAAACAGAAATCTGGACATAGATAAATAAACTTGTTAAGTTGCAGTGGTGTTTATAAAAGTAGGTGGGCATCCCTTACCATTTGTGGTGAAAAAATCATCTTTGGACTGCAGGGAAGCATTAAAATTACATCCTAGCAACCCACAGAGTTCAGAGGGCACCAATGAAAGATGTGAGCAACGGATGAACTCCTTGTTTATTAACAGAATTTACAGACTTCATTTTAGTTGGCAAAAATACTTCAAAAAATATATACCTAATGCACAAGGAAAACCAAAGAAAGTCAATATAATTGAAGGAGTTCTCAAATTACAATTCTGAAACTTACCCTCTGTAGGGTGCTGCTAACGCTACTATTCATCCTAGAGCAGGCAGTTACCAACACCTTGCCTGCAGTGTCCAGTGTATGTGCTGGTCTGCAATTTTTAGGGTCAATCACGGCCCCGTGTGGAAAGAGCTGCGGCAGTGAAGTCAGAGGACGTGCTTCTGGAGCTGGTGTGAGCAGTTCTGCCTTCACCATATCTTTTTCCACTCCACCCTTGGCTATCCTTTTGACTCAGGGCCCTTTGGCACCATCAGTGCAAAAATTAGAGTCAAACCTCCAGGTACTAAAATTTTACTGGCCTTATAATCAGCAGTACCTGTGGCTAATGATAGCCATGATTCAACTCAGTAGTGATTCAGTTAGATAACCTTCCCAAACTCTTTACCCACTCCCATCCCACCCTTTCCTTAGCAACCCCCACCCCTGCCACTATCCGAAGCATTTCCATTTGTTTTTACTTCCTGCTCAATCTGCAGGGACAGTTTTACACAAGTGCCAATGTCTAATGTATAATTATAAAAATGAAATGATACCAAGAATAACAAATTTATAGTCAAGAAAATAAAATTTGCTTTCCTCTCCCACCCAAATCCCAACCCTCAATAGAAAAGACGACAATGGAAGAAAACACACCCATTTTCAAGTGCCTGCTATTTAGTATGTTGAGGATTCCTATTAATTGTGGTTGATCCCAGCTACAGAGAAGAGGTGCTTGCCTCAGGGCGGGAGGAAGCCCATCCACTCTCTGACCACACCACCTGGGCACATAAGAGCCACACGGCATAGCATACCTTTGAGGTGACCCTCAGAGAAGCAGCCTACTGGACAGCAGAGAGCTTGGAATACTGTATAGTGAAGCAAGGTGCTCCTCCCTTCCCCGTCTCACTTCCTCCTCTTCTTAACCTCTCTACCCAACTTCTGCATACTCCATCCTGACCTCTTTGCTTCAGGAGCAGTTGATCCTTGGGTGTACTAAAGACAAAGGTCTAAAACTCTCACTACTCAATTAAAACAAAACAAGGCAAATAAAAATTAAAATGTGCTTTCAAATACGGAATGAAGTCAAATAAATACATCTGATTTTCTCTTTTTCTTAAATCTAAGTACAATTTCATATCCTACACCCAAAGCTCTATACATTTGGTTTTTATTCTGAATCAAAATGAATTTCCGATAGTGAGGAGAGTAGAGTGAGGGAATGGATATTCCCTCACAAACAGATTAGTGCAGCTGCCACACTGTGAAGAACTAGTCCCACTCTGGGCACCTTGGGACTTGACTAATCCCAGGTGGTTCACAGGCAGATCCTCTGTCACACTCTCTCTGCATCCACACTGGAGCCAGGATGTGGTGAGACACGGCCGATACTCCAAATCCAACAACCTGCAGTCACCTCCAGGACATGCGGCTCTAACTTTTATCTGAGAAGAATAAAGATACATGGAAATGATATTAAGAAAAAGAATATACTAACATTGCAAAGAATACCCATGACATCTGTGGGCGTGGTTCAATCTTTGTTTCTGAATCAGTATGTAAGCAGATGAGTATAAACTGCTGCAGGGAACACAAATCCATCTGCAGTCAGGGGAGACACCAGCCACACTGTCAGCAGAGGCAAGTGCACCAACATCCAATAAGGCCAAATCCTCCACACTAGGGAGTCACAGCAGTACCAGTAAGCCTCACACCGAATCTGTGATTTACCAGGCTTCCCACTGCTCTGCCTTCTGCTTTGAAAAGGTGAAAAGAGAGAGAAGAGGGGATGGTATGGGAACTGACAACTGCAGTTCCTCTTAGAGAAGAGTAGAGTCAGCAGGCATGAGCTTCCGCTTGATATCTGATGTTTAGAAACAGGCAGTTCTTTAAAGACAGAAGAGAAATGGAATCTCAGAAGGTTTTCACTTCAAAGTATGATAAGTCATTTCATTCAGTGTAGGATGATTAGTCTAGAGTCTGGAACTCATAACTTTTACATACCTGAGTGCTTGTCTGTGAGGGCTGATCCAGCCAGCCTTTGGCAAAGAATGGTGTAACTTTCCTCCACCTTCTGTGAAATAAAACCCATAGGTTTTTTATTCAAACGTAATGAAACAAAACAAAACAAAAACTTCAGAAAACAGAAAAGAAGCCCTTTTTACATTACAGGTACAAGCCCCCAAATTTCAAAAATATTAACTTCATCATTAAAAATTTCATTAGTGGGAAGAAAAAAGTAAATTTCATTCCTTTTACCAATTTCTCCACTGAAGGAATAACTTAGTATTTTCCCATGTAAAAAGAAAGTAGAGGTGGTAACCATAGATGCAATTCTCCCACCCCCAGGAGTCACCCTGGACATGGTCCCGTCATCATGTGCATGAGCTATAGTCATGCAGCACATAAAGACATGGCGGCCTGCATACATGATGATGGTCCCTTAAGATTATTATGGGTGGGGCATGGTGGCTCACGCCTGTAATCCCAGCACTTTGGGAGGCCGAGGCAGGTGGATCACCTGAGGTCAGGAGTTCCAGACCAGCCTGGCCAACATGGTGAAATCCTGTCTCTACTAAAATTATAAAAATTAGCTGGGACTGGGCGCGGTGGCTCACGCCTGTAATCCCAACACTTTGGGAGGCCGAGGCAGGCGGATCACGAGGTCAGGAGATCGAGACCATCCAGGCTAACATGGTGAAACCCCGTCTCTACTAAAAATAAAAAAAATTAGCCGGGCATGGTGGCAGGCGCCTGTAGTCCCAGCTACTGGGGAGGCTGAGGCAGGAGAATGGCGTGAACCTGGGAGGTGGAGCTTGCAGTGAGGAGAGATCATGCCACTGCACTCCAGCCTGGGCGACAGAGCAAGACTCTGTCTCAAAAAATATAAATACATAAATAAATTAAAAGATAGAAAAAAATTAGCTGGGTGTGGTGGCGGGCACCTGTAATCCCAGCTACTCAGGAAGCTGAGGCAGGAGAATCGCTTGAACCCGGGAGGCGGAGGTTGCGGTGAGCCGAGATTGCACCATTGCACTCCAGCCTGGGTGACAGACCGAGACTCCATTTAAAAAAAAAAAAAAATTTATCTGGGCATGGTGGTGGTGCCTGTAGTCCCAGCTCCTTGGGAGGCCAAGGCAGGAGAATCGCTTGAACCTGGGAGGCAGAGGTTGCAGTGAGCCGAAATAGCGCCACTGCACTCCAGCCTGGGTGACAGAGCAAGACTGTCTCAAAAAAAAAAAAAAAAAAAAAAGATTATTATGGAGCACATGTAGAAACCTGGTGTGTGGCACTTAATAATGGCATTGCTGATCAGGTAGGGGAAATGACTAATATTCAGTAATAGTGTTGAGAGATTTGGCTTTCCATATGAAAAAATCTATGTAAATAAAGATATATTCTATCTAGGTTTGTGTAAGTACACTCTGTGAAGTTCACACAAAGATAAAAATGCCTAATGATGAATTTCTCAGAATATATCCCCATTGCTAAGCAACACATGACTGTATATAAGAACCGACCTGTCCTCAATGGGCTTGTCGATATCTCATCAGCTACAGAATGATACTACATAAAATAAGTAACATGAAGAGGGAAAAATCAATTATATGAAGGTAAAAGAGAAACTAAGGGAGACCAGTCTTTAACTCAAAGGCTAAGGATACTTAAATCTACCCCTCAAGTCTCTGGTGTAAATGATGTCATGAGGAAAATGTTTGGGCTCTGGAAGCTGTGTTTTCTGATGGCAAACTTTTTTTTTTTTTTTTGAGACAGAGTCTCGCTCTGTCACCCAGGTTGGAGTGCAGTGGCGTGATCTCAGCTCCCTGCAAGCTCCGCCTCCCAGGTTCATGCCATTCTCCTGCCTCAGCCTCCTGAGTAGCTGGGACTACAGGCGCCCACCACCACACCTGGCTGATTTTTTTTATTTTTAGTAGAGACGGGGTTTCACCGTGTTAGCAAGGATGGTCTCGATCTCCTGACCTCGTGATCCGCCTGCCTTGCCTCCCAAAGTGCTGGAATTACAGGCGTGAGCCACCGTGCCCTGCCTCTGATGGAAAACTTTAAGATAGGTCTTTCTCTTGGAAATTGCCACACAAGTCAGTTTTGCAATAGTGACATCTTCAATTACCAATCTACAAAAATCCCATGCATGACCATGTTTTTAGATTACAGGAGCCACTGAAGCCAATTTCTATCTGTCATAGGATTTGGGAAGCTGCCAATGTCACCTAATGAGTCACAGATAATAGGCTACAGAAAGTCATAGCATTTCTCAGCCTAGATTCATAACTACATAAACCCTACCTATCTCATCTTCTTGTTCATGTCTGACAGAGGCCAGCCAACTACCCGAAGCATTTCAGGTTCTTAAACTTAGACACCCATACAAACACACAGTTCACAGAGCTGCAACTTTTTCTGCTCTTGTGATAGTCAAAAGATAAACAATGCCGACTGGGCGCGGTGGCTCACGCCTGTAATCCCAGTACTTTGGGAGGCCGAGGCAGGCGGATCACGAGGTCAGGAGATCGAGACCATCCTGGCTAACATGGTGAAACCCCGTCTCTATTAAAAATACAAAAAATTAGCTGGGCGTGGGGGCGGGTGCCTGTAGTCCCAGCTGCTTGGGAGGCTGAGGCAGGAGAATGGTGTGAACCTGGAAGGCAGAGCTTGCAGTGAGCTGAGATCACGCCACTGCACTCTAGCCTGGTTGACAGAGCGAGACTCCGTCTCAAAAAAAAAAAAAAAAAGAAAGAAAGAAAAAGATAAACAATGCCAATCTCAACTTTTTACCCAGGCCTATTCATGGATAATAGTCAAAGAAATCTAGAACCTGAACAAGTTTATTGACATCAGCATTTTCATCACCCTATTCTTCCCCTCTGCTAAATGTTTCTTACAACCAAGTCCTATGGATGTGGAAGTATGAGGTACCTTTAAGTGTTCAAGGTCAGCCTCTATCTTATGAATGTACTCCATGATCTGGCTCTGTGAATCTGCACAAGAGGAGGGACTCTGGATCTCAAAACAGGAATACTCCATAGCTCCCCAGCGCTGCTGGACCAGAAATTCGGGGGTGAATGGTGAAATTGCCCCATCGGAGTGAGTATTCTGAGGAGAATGTTGCTGCTGGTGGGTGGATTCCACAGCAGGGATGCCTGTCATGGGCTGCAGGGTAAGTGAGGAAGCAACCTCCTCATCTGTGGAACTCTCCTGCACTGGGTCATAGCCATCAAGGATCAAATAGTTTCCTATGGATAGAGACAGAATAGTTTGATAAGACCAGTGCTGCCATTAGAAAACAGAAATAGCATAGTGTGCTGACAACTTCAACTTGAAAAGTTATTAAGAGAGGGAAAAGCCATTAATTCCTGAGTTTAGTTTCAGGTACATCAGAATTTCCTCACTTCAGATGAAAGCTAAACTCTGCAAACTTTCATGGTAATTTCCAAAAAATTTCATTTCAAAAGTTTAAAGCTGGAAACTACAGTGCCTAAATGATCTTGCTACCACTTCCCCTGCCAAACGCCTCTCTTGCCCCATCTCCTGCCATTGTCTCCCTCATCCAGTGTTCGATCACCACAAAAAGCTTGCTCTTTGACACAAAGCCTCTGCCCCACTCTGCTCTCTGCTGGAATAGTAAGCTCCCAGGTACCCACCCGGCTTTATTCCCTCATTTCATTGAGGTCTCTGCTCAAATGCTACCTCATCGGAGGTCCTAATCCCTGATCACCCTGTTTGCCTTCATTACTCTCCGTCCCCTCAGTCTGACTTATGTTTCTTCCTAATACTTCCTGAAGTCTATTTATTTGTTTACTTATTTACCATCCTTCTTTCCCCTAGCTTCATGAGAAGATGGGATTTTTCTGTGTTTTATTCACTGCTATATCTCCCAGCACCTATGATGAGGTCTGGTACAGAGTAGATTCAGTATTTATCAAATGAAGGAATAAATATTGCACATGTGTGAACACACACACACACACACACCTGGATACCAATACAACATCCATTTCAAAATACAGGACAGTTAACAATGATCAAAATCAAAATCAAAGTTTAAGTGTGAAAGATACTTGCCTGAGATGCGTAAATTAACATCCTTCTCTTCCTTGTTAACTGCTCCATCACCTTCTGATGGATTCTCATCACTATGTGCTTCACGGGCATCAAAAAAGTGCTCTCCACTGTCATCAAGACCCCCTTCTGGCTCCATGGTAGGCATCTCTGGGGTCATAATCATGTGGTCCATTACTAAAATGTTACTTGCCTGGCTATCCTGGGGTGCCAGTCCCACTGAATCCCGTGGAGCAAAAGATTCAGTTGAAGTCCGTGGACTGTAACAAGTTGCAATGTCACCAGTTCCAGTTCTAAAGGGCATATGTCCTTCACCAGAATGATAGGCCTTAATATTTTCAGAGTTCTGGATGACACTGTCTGTCTGCGGCCCCTGAGAGGCTGTTCTGTATCTTGGGAAATGTTGCCAGTCTTCCTGAACGCTCTTCTCAGTCAAACCTAGCTGTTGCACCAGCAACTGCTTCAACAAACCCACTAAACGATTTAGGAAGGAGGGGGAAAAAAAACATATTCACAACTATAACCTCAGGCTGCAAGAATTAAATTAGCTGACTTACCAATGATCTATCTTTAAAAAGTATCTTTTAATGACATATTAAAATGTTAATTATTAATTTCATACAATCATCTTACTTCATACAATCATTTTCCATTTTGTTTTGAAGATGAAATAAAGCACCATCTTTTAGAGAAGATTTAACGTTAAACTAAACTTGAAAAGATCTAAGCATTCTGAATAGGGAGATACTACTATTTAGAACTCCTCAATAACCAATATCATGCCTCTATTTTTTCTTCTATATAACTAGAATAATACCCTAAAGGTACTTCTTAAGAATGTTGAAAGGCTGTGTTAAGCTAGACAGAAAAAGCTAAAAAAAAGTTCTGCTTTTTCCAGATCCAGACACTATATGCATATTATTTCCTCTAATTTTATGAGATACATACATTTACTGAAAATAAGAACCAATTTAATTTTGAATGGGCCAAGTGTATGCTATGAGGTCACCCAGACAATGATAGAGTTATTGGGACAATGTTATTCCAACCATCAGAAATTATTAAGACTGTTAATTCAGGAGAAGGTATAAAAAATATTGTAGGTTTTAAATAACCAATTCTCTGCTCTCATCACTAGCTTAATGTCTGTCATGTTTCTTTAGGCAACAGGTTCCACTTAGGTCTCTCATCCTCTGTCCTTCTGCTCTACAATCACTTCCTGAGAGATGCCAGGAAGTCTCATGGCTCTGATGCTCACATCTCTATCTCTTCCTAACCTCTCTCTAAAGTTTCACTCCTAAAACTCTAACTTCCTGCTAGTTACTCACTTTTTAGTGTTTTGTCATTCATTATCTTAATCTTGACATGCTTTAAAACTGAGCCTATAATTCTACCAAATCAAAAGAAAGAAAAAAGAAAGTACAATGGAAGGAGGTGGGGGAAGCAGTGGTAGTCCTTTTCTGACTCTTATTTCTGACTAGATTAATGAAATTATCTCTAAATATTCCCTTTCCTTTGACCTCACATTCAAAGAAGTCAATTATTTTAAGCATTTGATGACTTCTCAGTTTCTTCTTATTCCTTCTGATAACATTCTAGTCCAAACTCTTTTAGTCTCAGGCCAGACTATTATAATAGCTTATTTAGTAAGTACACCATTCCATACCTCTTTCCATTCAAATCCTTCCACCGCTTTCAGCCAGATTAATCTTTTTTCATACCTTTAGTCATACGCTGGTTTAAAAATTTCAAGTGGTTCTCCCCAGCCAAAGAAATTGTTCTCAGCCTTTTTCCCACCTCAATACAACTGAGAGATATGCTATCCTCCCATTTTAACAGTGATTCTGAACCAGGCAGGGGGGTGGGGAGCTAACAGAGTGGCATGTGTGTGTGTGCCTGTGGCATGGGCCACTGTAGAGAATACTATAATCTCCACAATAGAACTAGAAGAATAAGTGGAGTTTGATAAATCCACATACTTTAGGGATGGCACATGAGTGTCATACTTAGTAAGTATCTGTAATAAGTTATGAATAAAACTTACAATTTCTTAGTGCATCCAATGCCCACCGTTCTTCTGAGACAGGCAGGTGTGAATCTGGGATTGCGATTTGATAATCTTCTCCAACTTCCTTTAGTGTCCCATCTGTATGTTGTTCCTTTGCAAACTGTCTCTCAGCCACAAACAGATCACGTACCTCTGATTTCCCAGAGGTACTCAGTGAATGAGACTGAGGTTTTGACGATATTAAGGTAGATTCTAATCCCAAATCTCTGTCTGTCCAATGGAATAGAAAAGGTAGACTATATCTAAACAAAGCTTTTAACTTTTAACATGAAGCATTCAGGGAAGAATCAGAAAAAAAAAAAACAATCCATAAACTACAGAGATCATCTGTTAAGAAAAATACACATCACTTAGAACAGTGTTATACTGACACACAGAAGGCTCAAAGGCAAAGTTTGTTAAACTGAATCTCTGATGCTGGAACCTGCATAAACCAAACAGTATTAAAGTTTCTTTGCATTTTATTTTATTTTCTTTTTTTTCTTTTTTTCTTTTTTTTTTTTGGTGTTTCGGTCTTGTTGCCCAGGCTGGAGTGCAATGGCACGATCTCGGCTCACCGTAACCTCCGCCTCCTGGGTTCAAGCAATTCTCCCTGCCTCAGCCTCCCAAGTAGCTGGGATTACAGGCACCTACCACCATGCCCGGCTAATTTTTGTATTTTTTAGTAGAGACAGGGTTTTGTCATGTTGGTCAGGTTGGCCTCTAACTCCTGGCCTCAGGTGATACGCCTATCTCGACCTCCCAAAGCACTGGGATTACAGGCATGAGCCACCACATCCGGCCAGCATTTTAACAGATAATAGAGCACATTCTCCATTGAACTCTTCAGAAGAGTGTACCTGGACTCTGCAAACCAGTGACTGAAATGCCATGCTGCTCCTCTTTTAATTTTGAAGGATCTTCTTCATCATTATCTCCTCTGTAGAGAAAAAAAAAAAAAAAAAAACTTTTACCTTCCTGAGGTATCTAAACATCATCGCAACAAAACATAATAATTATCCTAGTCTTTTCCAACCCAAAACATAAAATAAGTCCTACTACAATGCAAAGGAACACTCACTCGCCAGGTGTTGACTGTGGTAATGGAATTGGCTTTGTGGATTGCTCCTTCACTGATGCAGCCATCCGACAGATTAGGTCCTGCCAGCTTCAGAAAGTTGGAAAGAAATCCAAAATACAAAAAAGAAAAAAGAAATATCCTTTAAATATACTCAGAAAGCAAAACTAAACAAAAACCAAATCAACCAACAACAACAACAACAACAACAACAACAACAACAACAAAACCCACTCTGCCAG
The DNA here is from genome assembly GCF_000001405.40 of Homo sapiens. NCBI lineage: Eukaryota > Metazoa > Chordata > Mammalia > Primates > Hominidae > Homo > Homo sapiens. The sequence goes on along the minus strand of NC_000011.10, from coordinate 120,477,066 downwards.
AGAATATCTTTATTTTGGCAACACACTATTAAGGCGAGAGTCCAAAACTATACCTTAAGAGAAATCTATGGACACATTAAAAAAACTTCACTTGACATTTTGCACAATTTTTTCTTTAGGAAATAAACTTTCAGAATAGAATCAAAATAAAAGGCATCAACCTAAAAAAGAACAAGTTCATAGTAGAACGTCTCTAAAAGAGTACAGAGGAAGTGCTTGGTTTCCATACATTATAAAAACAAAGTTAAGTTTATGGAATATTACGCTTGGGATAATGAAAATATTAGCTATAGCAAGGTAGCCATATCTGATACATACACAGTCTTTTCAGAAACTGTCTGTGCCACCAGTTCATAAATCTGAGCGCCATTGTCTGACATGGAAATGACGAATAAAGCTTTGTTATCTGGAAAAAACAATACAAGATTACTCTAATACTATGACCTGGGGAGGCCATGAGGGATGTTTTTAGGGTCTTGAAATAGTCTGCCCCTTAAACTAGATAAAGGTTACATATATTTACTTTAAAATTCATCAAGATGTACACTTAAAATTTGTGCAACTTACCATATTAACGTATTTATTGTACTATATTTATTGTACTTCAATAAAACAAAGATTATACGAATTAGCACTAATTCCACAATAATTTACTAGAAACTTTGCTAAAAGCATGTCAAAAATCCAAATTACTGGCCGGGCACGGTGGCTCACACCTGTAATCCCAGTACTTTAGGAGGCCGAGGCAGGTGGACCGCTTGGAGCTCAGGAGTTCGAGACCAGCCTGGGCAGCATGGCGAAACCCTGCCTCTACATAAAACAAAAAAATTAGCCAGGTCATGGTGGTGCATGCCTGTAGTCCCAGCTACTCAGGAGGCTGAGGTTGAAGAATTGCTTGAGCCTGGGATGTGGAGGTTGCAGTGTGCCAAGGTTGTACCACTGCACTCCAGCCTGGGTGACAGGGTGGGACCCTCGTCTCAAAAGAAAAAAAATAAATAAATCCAAATTACCAGATTAAATGCTATTACTCTTTTGCATTTATTTTGAACTGCACTTTTGCTAAGTTGTTAGTTAATAATATTCAGTGAGTAGTGGAGAAAAGAGGTCACAAATTTATTTTGCCACCATGAAACTAACAAGTTTTAAAAGGGACCCCGTTGTTAATAGAGTTAAAATATAACTTGCCAGTCAAATTTGATTTTTAATCAACACTACATCCGTCTCTTTGGTTTTTGATTTTTTTCTCACCAAATCAAAAAACATACCACCCTAAATGAAAGGCTTTTCATTGGGATCTATCAATGATTTGAACATAAAGAACCAAAGTAATAGCATAAAAATTTTCAAATGCAGAAAACTGTTCACAGAATCGAGACACCCTAATAACTTTGGGGTATAAACTCTTAGGTCTCTTTCTAAGCAGTAAATTTCATGTAATTTGCTTAAGAATATAAAAATAGCAAGACTCTATGCCACTTGTGTTATTGAGACAGCACCGAGTATCTTATGCAACTTCACAATGAATCTGGAAATTAGTATCCTTCAGTGGACATACTTGCCTGTTGCCACTTGTCGAACCAACACTGTACTCAACTTAATGACAGGGCTAAACGTGTGTTTGCTATCAGCTGTAGATGCCAGAATCTTACTATGACACCTTAAAACCAGTCTATCATCCTGCTTTTGTAACAATACAAGAATGTCTTCCAGCAGCAACGTGTATAAATCTAGAAATAAAAGTGCAGAAAAAAATGGTAAGTACAGAAATGGAGACGCGTTTGATTAACTTTATAATGATTCAACAGAGGAATTCTATTTCTGTTAAAGCTACAAAATTTTAAAAATTGACTTGTATATTATCTTTTAAAATTTCATTTTCAGTAATTCATTTTTATTTTATTTCACTGAAGTGTCAGTCTGTGACCAATAGGAAATAAAAAACAACAAGCTGGGTGTGGTGCTGTGCGCCTATAGTCCCGGCTACTAGGGAGGCTAAGGCAGGAGGATCCCTTAAGCCCAGGAGTTCGAGGCAGCAGTGCACCATGACTGCATCTGTGACTAGCCACTGTGCTCCAGCCTGGGCAACATAGAAAGACCTTGTTTCTGAAAAAACAAAAACGGTTCCTCATCACAGACAGTTTAAGATGTACTGGTCTAAAGAAAGCTTACAAAGCATACAAAGACTCACTAGACTATAAGAATGATGGAAATAGGACTAAATCAGTTCTCCACTACATTCCTAAATGAATATTTAACACATCTTACATATAATGAAATAACACAAGCAGATCTACAAATGTACAAATAACACGAGGTAGCACTGCAAACTGCTGAGAGAATGGTTCTCTCCTCTTCCCTTTGTCATAGGAAACTTTCCTATTCCTTCCCTTTTGCCACTCTCCCCAAAACTAAAAGACAATATCAGACCTACCAATAGTTTTATCTCTATTCACCTTCCAAACCAATGGCCCTTCATGAATCATCTTCCTTTTTGTTAAATCCAAATTCTGGCAAAATAAAGAAAATCATGCACAAATAATTTCCAAGCACTCAGTAACATGATTATCTATATAATACAGTCTCTTTTAAAGAAATTCTTAATATAAAATACACCATTTACATTCAACTATCATTATTGCTATTTGTCAGTTCTTGAAAATGGCACAAAAGCCATATTAAAGTAATCTGCATACAATTTTCTAAAAAGGAAAAGGTATCTTGCAGAAGAACATTCAGGAGTACTATCTTCAAACCTCACTCTAAACAGATGATAACAGATTATGAAGATCAAGTTACAAACATTCAGTCACTAGATTCTCAACGTATCCTTTAATTTTCCTATGAATAACTGGATGAGCATGGTACATATGCTTGTCTATAAGAAAGTGGCTTCTGAGTTCCAAGGCTCTAATTTCAAAGAAAGTTCTAAGAAATAGTACTCATGAAAAGTCCAGGTACTACTCAGACTTGGTCTAAATATTAACAACTTATTAGTAAGAGAATCATCTTTTAGTATTAGCAGCTCTAGAAAACTCTCATTCTTTGGAAGCTAAGGGGAATAAGCACATTTACGTGCTTGTTGACGAAGTATTAATATATGACATAAAAGTCTATTTTAACAGCCACCAAATAAATCTGCCAAAACCACCACCTAGTGAAATGGTACAAAAACACTTAAAATCCGAAAAAGTTAACACATAAGCCCACATACTAGAAGTGGCAATTAGTAAACATTTTACTATCGTTCCTGTAATGGTTCCAACTTTTATGCTTCTGAAGAGCCTCATGAGAAAATAGTATGCTATCTTGTGTTATTAAATGATCTGGAAAGTTACCAAACAGTCCTACCCTTATTTAAACTACAGAACACAGGCTGGGCATAGTGGCTCATGCCTGTAATCCCTGCACTGTGGGAGGCTGAGAAAGGAGCACTTGAGCCCAGGAAATCTGGACCAACCTGACAACACAGCGAGACCTTGTCTTTACAAAACACAGAATTAGCTGGGTATGGTGGCATATACCTATAGTCCTAGCTGCTAGGGAGGCTGAGGTGGGTGGACTGCCTGAGTCCAGGAGGCCAAGGCTTCAGTGAGCCAAGACTGCACCACTGCATTCCAGCCTGGGCAACAGAGCAAGACCCTGTCTGAAACAAACTACAGAACACAATAAAATTAAATTTTATAATAATTAGTGTCCCTTAGTCTCCTGCCAATTGCTGTCATGTAATATTACAGTTTTATGCAAGATATTCCTCTAATGAAAAACTAATTTCATACAGATCAAGCATTTAAAAGGCAGCAAAAAAAATCATAAATACAGATAATCTACGATACAAGAACTCCTTCAGGTGACGTATATTCCCACTGAGATGTTAATTACCTGCCAGGTCTTTAGCAAATTTTATTTTATTTTTTAAATTATGATTAGACCATCTCTCACCCTGAGCTCTTCAACATTTGGGTACTCTGACAACTTCAGGCTGGAGGTATCAAGGCGACGCTGATAATCTTCTAGGCGCTGAAAATTAGGCAGGGTGGAACCAAGGTTAGTGCTTTGGTCATTAATGACCTCTCTATTTCTGAATCAAACTTGGCATTTAAAATCTCCATTTTGGCCAGGCGTGGTGGCTCACACCTGTAATCTCAGCACTTTGGGAGGCTGAGGCAGGTGGATCACGAGGTTAGGAGATCAAGACCATCCTGGCTAACACAGTGAAACCCCGTCTCTACTAAAAATAAAAAAAAATTAGCCGGGCATGGTGGCGGGCGCCTGTGGTCCCAGCTACTTGGGAGGCTGAGGCAGGGGAATGGTGCAAACCTGGGAGGCGGAGCTTGCAGTGAGCCGAGATCACGCCACTGCACTCCAGCCTGGGCGACACAGCAAGACTCCATCTCAAAAAAAAAAAATCTCCATTTTACTGAGCTCTTTGCAATGCTAGACAGGACTGAAAACTCACTCTCTTCCCGTGGCTTTGGTGATAATATACTCTCCTAGTTTTCCTCCTGCCTCTTTGGCTTTTCTTTCTCAATCTTCTTTTCAAAGTCATTGGTCTCTTATTAGCTTATATTTATTTTCTGAATATGTAAATCATGCACACAGTACAAAATTCAGATGGCTATATAAGGCAAAAAATAAAAAGTCTCCCTCTAACCTTGTCCTATTGCCCCACCCCCCTCAATTTTCCCTAAAGAAGCAATCACTAATATCCATTTCTTGGGTAGCCTTTGAGAAAAATTCTATGCAAACAGATATGTATTTATTTATATATGTATATATAAGTATGCTTGTCTTTGTGCATGTTGTGTGTATATGTCCTTTTTTAAAACAAGATATGGTAGCATAATATATTCATATATGCATTCCTTTGGTATTCCTATATGTATTCCTCATTGAAATGGTAGAATACATTCATATACGTATTCCCCCACGTGTGTGTGTGTGTGGTGTATGACTTATATCTTGGGGACTGTTCCACATTAGCACATATAGAGAGTTATTTCATTTTTTTATAAATGACTACAGGATGTAAAACTCTCTGAATAAACTATAATTTATTTCATTACGCCTTACTGATGGGCATTTAAGTTACTTCAACTCTTCTGTAACAAACAATACTGTAATAAAGTGGACTTAAATATATGTCTTTGTACATCCATGTAGGATATCTGTAGGATAAATTTCCAGAACTGTTGGATCAAAGGGTATGTACATTCCCCCACAATATCATTTCCAAATACATGGAAAAGTCTGAGTGAGCATAGTGAACACCTATATATTACCATCTATATTCTACAATTAACATTTGCTCTATTTGTTTTATCATATATCTATTTATTCATCCCTCTATCCATCAGTCCATCTTATTTTTTGGATGCATTTCAAAATAAATTACAGACATAAGTACACTTTACCTCTAAACATTTAAACATCCATACAGTTCTTTTTAAAAAAGTAAAATTTGCATACAGTAGAACACACATTTCAAGTGTATGTTCCATGAATTTTGACAAGTGCTTACACATTTGTGTAACCTAAACTTCTATCATGATAGAAAATTTTACCATCACCCCAGAAAGTTTCCTCATACTTCTTCCCAGTTAATTTCTACCTCCTCATCCCCAATGGGAACCAGTTTTCTGGTTTTTCCTACCATAGAATAGTTTGGTCTCTCTTAGAAGTTCATATAAATGGAATCATAGGTATGTACTCTTTTGCATCTGTTTTTTTTCCACTCAGCATGTTTGTGAGATTCATCCATGTTGTGTGCCTTAGTGGTACATTCCTTTCCTATCACTCAGGGCATTCTATTTTATAACTATACCACAGTTGGTTTATCCATTCTGTTGATAAATTCTTGGGCTGTTTCTAGCTTTTCGCTATTATGAATAAAGTTGCTATAAGCATTCTGGTCTAAGTCTGTTTGTGGGTATATCTTTATCTTCAGATAAAGATATATTTTATTATTCAGAAAATCTAGGTCCATTTGCTTATGATTGGTGTTCCTACTAAAGTTAGTTAGTTAATTTGTTATGTGCCATTCCCGGCAGGCACAATGGATAACCAGCCTGAGTATGCCAGCTCATCTATACCAGGGGTCTGCAAGGTTTTTAGTAAAATGTCAGTTAGGCTTTGCAGGCCATATAATCTCTCTCCCAGTTGTTCAGCTCCACTGTTTTGGAACAAAAGTAGCCACAGATAATACATAAATGAACAGGCTCTGTGTAGTAAAGAACTCTAATATGGTTCATTTCTCTTGAGCAAATCACTAGGAACAGAACTGCGGAGTCAAAAGGTAGATATAAGGGTACCTACAGAGTTTTAATTTAGATAAATATTGCTACATAACCCTCTGGGGTTTTATCATTTTACACTCTGAACAGCACAGCTGAAAGTACTAGTTTTTCTACAGCCTCACCAAGAGAGTTGTAATCATACTCAGCTCCTAAGAAACTACATCCGTGTTCACGGATTCAATCAGCCCCTGTATGCTCACAATCTTGAATTTTTATCTTCAACATGGTCCTCTTAGAGGTGGGCCCATACAGCCAACTGCTTACTGTGCATGTCTACCTGATATCCCAGAGTGACCTCATCATCTTCCCCACAAACGTGGGGCTTCTCCACTCATCCTGTCCATCCAAATATGCAATCCAGAAACCTGGGGGTTTATTCTTGACATCACTTTTCCTTCAAATCCTTCTTCAAATCAGTCATCAAGTCCTGTCAATTTTACCTTCTAAATACTTCTCCAACTTCTCTAAGCTGCCATCATCTATCCTAGATTGCTGCAAGAGGTTAATAAATGGGCTCTTTCATCCACCACCCTTCTTCAACTCATTCTCCATAGAGTACTAGTTCAGATAATGAAAATCTGAACACTATATTCTTACTTGTCTATGCTGAATTCCTACTGCACTTAAGAAGACAAATCAAAATCTTTAACCTGATCTCTAGGGCCTTTATGAGTTGGCCTTGGTCTACTTTACCTCATTTTATGCCACTCTGACTTTGCTTTTTAGGCATGATCCACACTCATGTAAATTTTCAATTCTTCCAACAGACCATGCTTTCTTTTTCCGTCAGGACTTTGGTATATATTGCCTCTACCTCTAGGGTTGCACCCTTCACATCATTTTGGTTCACTTCCACTCATCCTTCAGAGCTTGGCTCAAGTGTCAATTCCTCAAGAAAATTTTCTCTAATAGGCACCACCTAACATCCCCAAACTAAGCTAGGCCCCATAGTTATATATCGTAGCATCTTGAAATTATCCTTGATAGTAGCTATCACAACTGATACAAAATATTTGCACTATAATCCTGTTAAATGCCTTTCTATCCTCCTAGCAAACAAGCTCAGTGTGGGCAGATATTGCACTCATTTTCTCAACTACTCTGTACCCTATGCCCAGCATACAGTAGATGTTCTATAAATATCTGCTGAATGAAGAGATAAATGAAAGAGCAAACAAGCAGCTTGAGGTGTTTCAAAAAGTCAAATACAACTCCGATATTCTATCACAGATTGATCTTGACCTGCCTACTATGCGAACAGTAAACAAATGTTCTCCCTGTCCATTAGGTAATGATAGTTTTAACAACTATTTCACAGATTCCAGGTAATATTAATTTAATGTTCTCCCAATGTCATCCTGTACCTTCTTGTTTTCCTTTTTTACCTGCTTGTTTTCTGCCTCCTTGACAGCCTGATTTACATAATTTAAGATCTGACGACAGTGATCTGCAGCTTTCTTCACCTTCTCCCTTTCTGTTGGCCATTCTAAATATGGGAAAGAAATCCAAAATGTAAAAGAACTGAGCAAAAAACCATAAAATATATGTAAATGAGATTTCATTTCATTTCAATACTTTTAAGAGCATATTAAGACCTTGAAGATTTTTGTACCAGCTTAAAGCCTCTGTCAGAGTCTCAATTCAAGCAGTCTTTGGACAGGTAAAACTTCTTATAACAGGACTTTAAAACATAAATTCTAATCTTTAAAAAGAAATCACAGTACAGAACCCGAAATCCAAGAAGAGATGCTTTACGTGAAGTACCAGGACCACTATACTATACACTCCAGAAGGGCAGGTCTCATTTACTTTGTAAATAATATAAATGGAAATCCCTTCTCCCCTCAGAATTTCACAGTGCATAGCCTACATAATTATGTCCAGTGAACTTGTTAAACAAAATTTTTTAATAACACAATTCAAAATAATTCCAAAACAAGTTTCTTTGAATTTGAGATTATATTTAAAGAAAGAAAATAGATTACATTAAAAGAAGATGAAATTCATCAAAACGTATTGAGGCGGCAAGGCAAGGTGGCTCATGCCTGTAATCCTAGCACTTTGGGAGGCCAAGGCAGGCGGACTGCCTGAGGTCAGGAGTTCAAGACCAGTCTGGCCAATATGGTGAAACCTTGTTTCTACTAAAAATACAAAAAAATTAGCCAGGTGTGGTGGCGTGCGCCTGTAATCCCAGCTACTCGGGAGGCTGAGGCAGGGGAATTGCTTGAACCCGGGAGGTGGAGGTTGCAGTGAGCAGAGATTGTGCCACTTCACTCCAGCCTGGGCGACAGAGCGAGACTCCGTCTCAAAAAAACAAAACAAAACAAAACAAAACAAGACAAAACGTATTGAGGCTATGTCATGTCTATAATACAAAGAAGACCAAAATCAGAACATTCAAAATTATAATCCTCCAAACCACAGTCTAACTACACTGAGCAGATATATTAAAGTGTAAAAATTAATATGTATGAGTGTAAACCACTTTTGTTACCAGGTACCATAATTTAAAATTTCCTGCTTATGCATTCAAATTCTCAGGCACAAGAAACAAGATTTCAGTTGCATTAAATTATTAATGAGAGCTAAGTATAAGAACCTAAAGCTCAGCTGAGAAACAGATTCATTTCATGTTTCAAAACGGGAGAGTTGGAATTACACCGCATTGATTTGGCTTAATAAAAGTCATTGATAGATATCCATGAAACATCTCTTCAGCCAAGGATGAACCTTCTTCAAAGCAAAAATGATGCAGGCTAGAACAAGGATGGTTGAACCAGATAATTTTACACTTTGTAGGCCAAATGGGCACCGATAAAACTACTCGACTCTGCTGTTATAATGTAAAAGCAATCAGGGACAGTACATAAACAGACGAGCACGGCTGTGCTCCAATAAAACTTTATTTACAAAAACAGACAGTGAGCATGACTTGGTCTATGATTCATAGTTTGATATACCCCGTACTAAAGCTACTAATGGAGTACATTATATCAAACAGCCCGAAGAAGACTAGATCATATCTTGTTAGAAAATCTTGGCTGGGTATGGTGACTCATGCCTATAATCACAGCACTCTGGGAGGCAGGAGGACTGCTTGAGGCCAGGAGTTTGAGACCAGCCTGAGCAACATAGTGAGACCCTTGCTAAAAAAAAAAAAAAAAAAAGCCAAGTGTGGTGGTGTACCCCTGTAGTCCCAGCTGTTCGGGAAGCTGAGGTGGAAGGAATGCCTGAGCCGAGGAGTTTGAGGTTGCAGGAAACTATGATTGTGCCACTGCACTCCAGCCTGCAAGACTGAGTGAGACCCTGTCTCAAAAAAGGAAAAAAAAAAAAAAAAAAAGAAAATCTTGTCATACTATTTGGAAATCCAACTCCATTCAGGACGCTGTAAGATATTATTTACAGGATATTGGGTGTTTCGTTGTTGTTGTTCTTAAGCTTTTTATTTCAGTGAAAATGCTGTACCTGTGTATTTGGCAATATTATCCAACAGAAGTGGGTACTTAGTAAGCCTTTGCATTTGAGTGGGAATAATATCCTTCAGTTGAAGACGACGACACAGTGGATTACTTTCAGCATCCTAAAATTAAAGTGAAATAAGTGAATCTGTAATTCTTATTTGAACTTATACATGTACCATGTATTCACCGTGAGGGTTTAATGCATCACAGTTCTGGTTATTAAATCAAGATCTTTAAAAAATGCCAAGATATATCATTGCCACAATATACTTCTGCTTTCTCCTTTAATCACATAATGGGGGAAGGGAGCCTCTATTACTAAATGAATGGCTTGTTATCTGTTTAAGGAAGGACTGAAAGCATCCATAAGCAGCTCTACGTATCGCTTCCTTGTGTTGAAACAGTTTTATCTTCACCTATTCAGAAAATCTAGGTCCATTCTCCTATGATTGACATTCCTACCAAAATTGGTTAGCTAATTTGTTATCTGCCATTCCAAGTATGCACAATGGATAACCAGTCGAGTATGCCAGCTCATCTATACCAGTGGTCTGCAAAGTTTTTAGTAAAATGCCAGATAGTAAATATTTTAGGCTTTGCAGGCCATATAGTCTCTCTCACAACTATTCAGCTCTACTGTTTTGGCATAAGTGAATGAACAAGGCTCTGTGTAGTAAAGAACTCTAATATGGCCTCCAAGGTTCCCATCCTCTTGTGTAAATACTCTGTGTAATCCTATGCCCTTGAGTATGAACATTTTTGGAATCTGTGATTACAATGGGATATCACACCTATGATTAGGTTGCCACCACATGATTTTGAGATCATAAGAAAGGAAATTATCCTGGCTGGGCCTGATTTCATTAGAGGAGCCTTTAAAACAAATCTGTGTCAGAAAGCCACATTCCTACTGGCCTGGAAGAAAGCAAACATCCACCTCTAAACTGCCTAATGGGGCCATATGGCAGAGATCTCTCTGTTCTCTAGGAGTTGAAACTGGTTCCTAGCCAATAGCTAGCAAGGTAGGACCTCAGTTATACATTTACAAAGAAATGAACTCTGCTAACAACCAGTGAGCTTAGAAGAGAACCTCGAGCATCAGATGAAAACTGCAGCTCCCGCTGACGCTGTGATCTCAGCCTGGTCAAACTCTCAAGGGAGGAACCTGCTAAACCATACCCACACACCACAACAACTGTGAGAAATCTGTCAAGCGGCCATGTTTGTATTTACATAAAACTTTATAAAAACAGGTAACAGACTAGATATGGTCTGTCGGCCATAGTTTACCAACCCTTAATTCATATACCCCAATGAGTGTGGCTGCTGTTACGTTTTTCCCTGGATAAACCCATTCTCATGCTTTGACAATATTCTCTTAATAGAGCATACGGTTGTTTACTGATAAAAGCCTCGTGGCAATGTGGATTTCTATATTAAGTATTTTAATCCTGACATATATTTTTTATTATTCTTCACCATTCCAAAGTCATTTTTGTACCTTCCAGGAATTTAAGAGATAATGTATTGCTTTTAAAAATGTTAACGTGGGCCAGGTGCAGTGGCTCACACCTGTAATCCCTTCGGGAGGCCGAGGTGGGCAGATCACTTGAGGTCAGGTGTTCGAGCCCAGCCTGGCCAACATGGTGAAACCCCGTCTCTACTAAAAATAGAAAAAATTAGCAGGGCGTGGTAGCATGTACCTGTAATCCTAACTACTAGGAAGGCTGAGGCAGGAGAATCGCTTGAACCCAGGAGGCAGAGGTTGCAGTGAGCTGAGATTGTGCCATTGCACTCCAGCCTGGGCAACACAGCGAGACCCTGTCTCAAAAAAAAAAAGTTAACACAGATGTAATCTTTGTAAAAGTCTTAGTCAGAATTCCCCCAGTTTATCTGATAATTGATAAAAACTTGCCTTATTTTTTTTCTTACATGACTCACTCAACTCACTTGCACAAAAGTCTGAAATCGAGAATCCTTTTTCTGACGAGATTTGATCATTTCCAGGGCGAAAGGTTGGTTACTGCAAAAGGTAGCAGCAGCATGTTTCAATTTCTCCTCTCCTGGTCCGCTGAACTGTGCCAAGAATGCAAAGAACACAAAAGAGAATGGGAAACTGAGCTTATACAAGCCAGACAAAGTGACAGACAACCAGAATCCTTTCAATATTTCAAGTGACAAAATACACAGAACTGCATATCTATGTGGAATATCAATGGTTCTCCATTAAAAAGGTCTGATCTTGACACAACCAGACCTTTTCTGATCATATTCCAATGTTTTCTTCTTCTTTTTTTTTTCTTTTTTTTGAGACAGTGTTGCTCTGTCGCCCAGGCTGGAGTACAATGGCATGATCTTGGCTCACTGCAACTTCTGCCTCTGAGGTTCATGAGATTCTCACCTCTGCCTCCCAAGTAACTGGGACTACAGGCACACACCACCACACCCAGCTAATTTTTGTATTTTTAGTAGAGATGGGGTTTCACCATGTTGGCCAGGCTGTTCTCAAACTCCTGACCTCAGGTGATCTGCCCACCTTGGTGTCCCCAAAGTGCTGGGATTACAGGCGTGAGCCACTGTGCCCAGTCCCAATGTTTTCTTGCTTGTAGCCTATCACAACCTATTACCTTTCAGCCTACGTTACTTATAAATTACACAGACAAGCTGACATTTGGAGAATATAAGATACAAAATGCCTGAAGACTGAGACTAAATTTTCATTTTTTTTTTTTTCAGACAGTCTCATTCTGTGGCCCAGGCTGGAGTATAGTGGTGCAATCTCAGCTCACTGCAACCTCCGCCTCCCAGGTTCCAGTGATTCTCCTGTCTCAGCCTCCCAAGTAGTTGGGACTACAGGCGTGTGCCACCACGCCTGGCTAATTTTTTTTGTATTTTTAGTAGAGATGGGGTTTCACCATGTTGGCCAGGCCGGTCTTGAACTCCTGACATCAAGTGATCCGCCTGCCTTGGCCTCTCAAAGTGCTGGGATTATGGGCATGAGCCACTACATCTGGCCTAAAATTTAATTTTCTTACACCCTGAAGCCTTTACAACAACTACTGTCTTACTACTCTGGGAAGCAAATCCTTGGCATACTAGCATTCCTTCTTACTCAGTATAAAACCCACTATGACCATGGGCAGGCCGTAAGTTTTCTGTGTTGAAACAAAATTAAATCACTGCTGTTTCACCTGTGCAGCAGCTGGAGCTGGCTTGGGGGAGATCAATGAGCTTATGAATTCTTTTGCTAAAAATTATACTTCTCACTAATGTTTTTTAATTTGTAAATTTAAGTTTGCATGTGCCATGATTTTAAGATTTCTGATGGTTAAACACCTAAAAAGTGATTTACTAGTAGGTGCTCGTAGAAGTCAAATACATTGTTTTTTAATACAGCCTCTATACTTGTAGATAATTGCTTTATGGTTTACGAAGATGTTTTCCATATAATCTTCCATTTAAAGCCATATTCCCAAAAGTTTGTACATAAAGGCATTTTGTAAAAAGCCCGCCTGTAGCGCATTTGTAGATAAATTCAGAGTATTTTTTCAAGTAGGACACATACAAAGCAATATTTTAATAGGTCACTCCAATTTTGTATTCTTACTCTATGATGAATATGACATTTAACATGTTTAACAAGGAGACTGGCAGCATTTTTAGCATGTTAGTCAATCAAAGCACCACACAACTACAAAAAGCAGCTGGGTTTACCAAAGAAAATAATGCCCCCAAACTCAAGCAGTTCTACAGTAGTTTTTTTTGGTTTTTTTTTTTTTTTTTTTTTGAGACTGAGTTTCGCTCTTGTTGCCCAGGCTGGAGTGCAATGGCTCGATCTCAGCTCACCGCAACCTCCACCTCCCAGGTTCAAGCGATTCTCCTGCCTCAGCCTCCCGAGTAGCTGGGATTACAGACATGCACTACCATGCCTGGCTAATTTTGTATTTTTAGTAGAGATGGGGTTTCTCCATGTTGGTCAAGCTGGTCTTAAACTCCTGACCTCAGGTGATCTGCCTGCCTCGGCCTCCCAAAGTGCAGGGATTATAGGCATGAGCCACTGCGCCCGGCCTCTACAGTAGTTTTACAAGCAGTTTAAGTATAGATGTTCCTTGATTTCTGATGAACTTATATCCTAATAAAACCATCAAAAATTGAAAATATCTTAAGTTGAGAAAGCATTTAATACACTGAACCTACCAAATACCATAGCTTGGCCTAGCTGACCTTAAATGTGCTCAGAACACTTGCATTAGCCTACAGCTGGGCAAAATCATCTAGCAGTACAGTACACTGTAGAGTGGTTGTTTACCCTGTGATCACATGGCTGACCAGGAGCTGTGGCTCACTGTTGCTGCCCAGCATCAAGAGTAACATACCACATATTGCCAAGCTCCGGAAAAGATTAAAATTCAAAATTCAAAGTATGGTTTCTATTGAATGTGTATTACTTTCCCACCACTGTAAAGTAAAAAAACTGTCGAAGTTGGAACCATAGTAAGTCAAGGATTGTCTGTGTATGTAAAGTGATCTTAAGGAAACAATACTGGAAAAATACTTTCCAAAATGATTTTATTTAAACAGCAAGAGTAAAATCTAAAGGCCTATTTATGATTTTTGCTTTTATGATTTCTGGCCAATGCCTTCTTCTAAATTAACGCTTTGTATGTGACAGTTACAAACCACCATTCTGCTTTTCCTCAACTTTTTACAGGTACAGGCATACCTCACATTTTTATTGTACTTTGCAGATACTCCATTTTTTACAAATTGAAGGTTGATGGCAACCCTGAGCAAGTCTGTTGGTGCCGTTTTTCCAAAACCATGTGCTCATGTCATGTCTCTGTGCCACATTTTGGTAGTTCTCATAATAGTTTAAGCTGTTTCATTTTACTCTGTTACGGTGATCTGTCATCAGTGATCTTTGATGTTACTATTTATTGCTTTGGGGCACCATGAACTGCACCCACATATGGTGGCAAACCTAATGGAAAAATGTTGTGTGTGTTCTGACCGCCCCACCAACTGACCATTCCCCCAACTCTCTTCCCTTTCCTTGGGCCTCCTTATTCTGAGACACAACAATATTGAATTTGGGCCAATTAACAATGCTGCAATGGTCTTTAGGGGTTCAAGTGAGGAGTCACATATCTCTCACTTGAAATTAAAAGCTAGAAATGATTAAGTTTAGTAAGGAAGGCATGTCAAAAGCTGAGATTTGGCTCTTACGCCAAATGGCCAACTTGTGAACACAAAGAAAAAATTCTTGAAGGAAATAAAAGTGCTACTCCAATGAACAAATGAACAAGAGGAAAGTGAAACAGCCTATTAGTCTGTATAAAGAAGATGAAATCAGCCACAATATTCCCTTAAGCCAAAGCCTAATACAAAGCAAGCCCCTAATTCTCTTCAATTCTATGAAGGCTGAGAGGTAAGGAAGCTGCAGACGAAGAGTTTGAAGGTAGCAGGGGTAAACTGATGAGATTTAAGAAAAGAAGTCATCTCCATAAAAATAAAAGTACAAAGTGATGCAGCAAGTGCTGATATAGCAGTAGAAGCTATAGTAAGTTATCCAGAAGACGTACCTGAGATAATTGATTACAGTGGCTACACTGAACAACAGATATTCAATGTAGATGAAATAGCCTTCTATTGGAAGAAGATGCCATCTAGAACTTTCATAGCTAGAGAGGAGAAATCAATGTCTGACTTCAGCATGTCAAAAGAAAGGCCAGCTCTCTTGTTAGGGGCCAATGACTTTAAGTTGAAGCCAATGATTGTTTACCATTCTGAAATTCCTGGGACCCTTAAGAATAATGCTAAATCTACTCTGTCTGTGCTCTATAAATGAAACAACAAAGCCTAGATGACAGCATGTCTGTTAAGACCTACTGCTCAGAAAAAAAAAAAGTTACTTTTAAAATATTACTGCCCATTGACAATGCACATGGTCACTTAAAGACTTCTGATGGAGATGTACAAGGAGATCAATGTTGTTTGCAGGCCTGCTAACACAATATCCATTCTGCAGCTCATGGACCAAGGAGTAATTTTCACTTTCAAGTCTTATTATTTAAGAAATATATTTCATAAGGTGATTCCTCTGATTGGTCTGGGCAAAGCAAACTGAATACCTTCTGAAAAGGATTCATTATTCTAGATGCCATTAAGAACATTCATAATTCACAGGAGGAGGTCAAAATATCAATATTAACAGGAGTTTGGAAGTTGATTCCAACCCTCATAGGTGACTTCGAGGGGTTCAAGACTTCAGTGGAAGAGGTAACTGCAAAAAAACTAGGATTACAGTGGAGCCTGAAGGTGTGACTGAATCACTGCAATCTCATGGTATGACTTTTAATGGATAAGGGTCTGCTTCTTACAGATGAGCAAAACAGGTGGTTTCTTGAAATGGAATCTACTGCTTGACCTTTCTCAGCTTTGCATTAACTTTGCAACATGGATGAGTTTGCATATTTGGAAAGGTTAGTTACTCAACTTGAATCTAACCATCAAGTGTCCATAAAAATATTAAAAAGAAACAGAAAATTTCCTTACCCATGTCAGCAAATCTTCCCCAATCTGATCGATAACAGAGGTCTCATTTCTCTTTCGAACAGCCTTCATTTGTTCATTCAATCCAACTAAAGATAAAAAGATAGAAAAACGTTAGTAACACATTCAGTGTAGACAGAATTACTGGTAGTACAGAGTAGCTAATTTTTTTTTTTTATAAAGACGATTTTCACAGTAGTACAGCTGCTTCTTATCTCCTTAAATATAAATCTGGACATAGTGCTTACACATCTGGATATTATAAGCTCTATCTGAAAAACAGGTGCTAAACAAAAAACATTTTTGGAAACTAGCACATTACATACACGGTGGTTGCATCAAATATTCATTGAACCTCAAGACTCCATCTATAATCATGCTCAAAAAGAACTTGAATTTAAACAGTACAAGTAATTCTGTTCACTGATCCTCTCAAAATGTGTTAAGTGTGCAGGCAATGGATGTAATCAAGCCTGAACTTGTCAATGCATGCCTGTGAAACCCAAGATTATCCACAAAGGAATAAAAGGCATCAATTTAGTTAGCAGATGTTGATAGTTAGTGATGACATGAAAAAGAAAGATAAAAAAATTAAGGGTCATAGAGAAATAGTGACCTATAAATGAGAGGAACATCATATTACTGTCCACAAAAGTCCAAGATGACTTCAACCAATAAAATGTCAACAAGGTAGAATTTTTATATACTTATTCAAGTGTTCCAAGCAACAAAACAATAAAATAATTCCTGAGGCCGGGGCAGTGGCTCATGCCTATAATCCCAGCACTTTGGAGGCCAAGGCAGGCGGGTGGATCACTTGAGGTCAGGAATTTGAGACCAGCCTGGCCAACATGGTGAAACCCATCTCTACGAAAAATACAAAAATTAGCTGGGTGTGGTGGCGCACGCCTGTAATCCCAGTTACTCAGGTGGCTGAGGTGGGAGGATCCCTTGAACCCAGGGGGCAGAGGTTGCAGTGAGCCAAGACTGCACCACTGCACTCCAGCTTGGGCAACAGAGCGAGACTCCATCTCAAAAAAATAAAAACAATTCCTAAAAATTACCGAACCATGTGATTATATACCATACACTACTATTTACAAAACACATTTATACGTATATTATTATATTGGATATATATATTTAAAGAGATATATATACTATAATTGATAGAAAATTTTCAACGGTGAATTTGACTATTCATGTTTTTCACCTTAGGCAATGACTTTAGACTGGAAGCCCTATGTTGACACATTGTACATGAAAGATTGATTGTGAGGAAAAGGATCTAGTCAAAGTTCCAATCATTCCTTTATTTATCTTACATTCTCACACATAATCTCAGGAATACTAACATGGGTACATTTACAAAATTTTAAACTCACAATCTTTTCTCTATTGGAAATGTTAGGGGCAAAGATCAGAGCTAATTTCTCTTACTATGAAGTTGAAGAATATCTTCCAAGTTTGAAAAAATTTTCCGTAGCTCTGAGGGTGACAGAATTCCTTCTCTGGATACTCGCTGATAGAACACTTGATCAAGAACCTTCAGTGTTCGAACATGAGCTCTTTCAGTGTAGAACAATTCTGAACAGGAAAGAGATATGAAATGTTGCCTTACTTAGAACAATTCCATGGGATCAATCATAGTCTTTAGCTGGAGTGAAGTAGCAAATGAATTATATAATAAATTATTTATCATTTAGAAAGGATGAAATATCTCTGAAGTCATTCTGATTCCAAGAAATTTTCCTACATACTGGCTCTGAGAGTTGAATACTGACAAATAAAAAATATCATTCAAAACTATTTTTTTTAGTGTATTCCCAAACACATCCAGCTGTTTACAATAATACCCACCTATCACAACTACATCATTAAGAAAACTGTAAGCCCCAACATCATATAGCCTTTAACTTGAGCCCTCTTAAGAAATAATAGTACTTTTGGTTATCTAATTTGCCTATAAACACTCACTTCTGGGGTCAGGCTTATAATTTCATTATGTCTCAGTATTGTCAGAGACAAGATATTTATTCATATCACATGCTAAGGATAGTAAAGGGTACAGCACCCATGCCACACATTTATCACATACATGCTAGGGTAAATAAAGAACACTGCACTTCGATACAGAAAGACCAGGAACTGAATTTTTTTCCTTACACGTTATTAGCTGTATGATCTTAACGAATTCAATCTCCCTGGGCTTTACCTTCCTCATTTAAAATCTATGCATAAAAATAACTTAGTTGTTGCAATGACTTTTCAACTTTAAGATCTATAATGCTATGAATCTTAAATATCTTTAAGGCTTAACACATTTTCCTTTTAAATTATCAATAAGAATCAGAGAAACATTTGCATTTTCTTGAGTTCAAGGATTATCTGTCCAGTTTAATTTCCTCTTTGTTTAAAACAAAAGGCTAGGAGAAACTTTGAAGCAAACTCCAAGGCTGAGAGACTTAATTCACTCTGACAAAACTCAGTATTTGTAAACAACAACAACAAATTGATTACACTCACCATTAATCACTTCCTGTCTTTTGATTTCACAAGGTTTTAGTCCCAGTAACACTTCTCGACTAACAAGCTGCTGCCAGTTGGGTGGATCTGTCTCTAAGTCATTTTCAAATTGTTCATCCTCACTTTGACTTTCTCCAAAAGCTACACTGTCAAACCTATGAAGAAAAAAGAGTGAATTCAATTTGAAGACTTTAGGTGGACAATGAGAAACAGCACAAATCTTTATATTACAATAAATTCTAATCAGATTCCTGAATCTGACTTAGCACTGAAATTTCATCCTCTCCTACAAATGGCTGTTTTATACATACTTCAAAATACAGCTTTTGAATGACCAGTGTTTCTTAAGAGCTTTCTTTTATACTACATAACAGATTGGTATACAGGGTTTCTTTTCCTTTAAAATGAAACTTTAGAGGAAAAAAGGTTACGTTTCTTAAAATGCGCCTTTATTGAAAGCTGCTTAAGATTTACTTACTTTCGAAAGGGCTTTGGTGTCCCATGTTCAGTCACCCTAAAACAATGGAAAGTAAAGAGTAACATGAAAACAAAATGGTGATCAATACATTTATACCAAAGATACTCAAAGCTAGGTTAAACTCCAGCAGCTTGATAAATAATTCTTTGGGATATTGTAATAATTTAATATAAAATAAATTGAAGAAAATTTGAGTACCTTTCTACATTTCAGTTATGAGTTCTGAAATGGTGTTTTAGTTCTTTTATGCACCCAACTTATTTATTTATTTATTTATTTTATTTTTTACAGTTTGAAGTGGGGGCTCACTACGTTGCCCAGGCTGGTCTCAAACTCCTGAGTTTAAGTGATTGATTCTCCTGCCTCAGCCTCCCAAGTAGCTGGCATTATAGGTACATACCACCATGCCAGGCTTCAGTGCTAGAATGCTACTAAGTATAGGAATAGCATATAATTTAAAAACTTTAAGTAATGCCCTAAGCTTCTCTAAGAGATCACTGAATTACCTTTCTACTTCACATTCCTCCTCCTGCACTTGGTCTAATGGAGGTGGTGGGAAATCAAAGACAGTATTGAGAGTACGAGGTGTGCCATCTAAGGTGTCTCCAGGTGCTGATGTTTCTCCAACTTGCTTTGATCCTGTAGACAAAAGTCAGACATTTGAAGAGTGTTAATACTTAATAAAGTCACTGGTCACCAAAAAAAATTAGTTCCCAGAACAGCTTCAGCCTAATCCATAGCTACATTCTTATTTAAACAACTGCAGGTTCACTAGAACTAAAAATTTAATATACAAAATTATGGCATCTCAGGCTCACATGATCCTCCCATCTCAGCCTCATATGATCCTTCCATCTCAGCCTTCCAAGTAGCGGGGCCTACAGTTGCGTGCCACCACACACACCTGGCTCATTTTTAATTTTTTTGTAGAGATAGGGTTTTGCTACTTTGCCCAGGCTAGTCTTGAATTCCTGGGCTCAAGCAATCCTTTCGCCTTGGCCACCCAAAGTGCTAGGATTATAGGTGTGAGCCACCATGCCTGGTCAGAAAAATAATTTTTAAAACTGTTTCTTAAAAATTAACGTAAGAAATAGCAAGGACTCACACAGTGCAGAAGAGTATATGATGAGGAACAACATTTTCCCATCTTATCCTTTTCTACTCCCAGTATCAATCCTTTTTCATGTTTTCAAATGTGAGTTATTACAGTGGTCCAACTACAAATAACCTCTTTTTCATGATTTATTATCTTTAGTTAATATCTATTTCTTTCCCCTCTGAGGATTTTGTTGACTTACACTTTCCACTTTCACTTTTCTACCATTTCTTCCCAATGTTTAATAGTTTTATCATTATTACTAGCTGGGTTATTAGTTACTACCTAAATTTAAATGACATGTCTATGTTTTTGTTCTATCAAAAAGTTAGTATCTCAACTCTCTTCTGTGTCAGATTAGGTATTCAGTGTCCACATCCTCCCTCTAATTGTATTTCCTTCCTTCTACCTTCCATTTCTTTCAACTACATTTTTACTTGCATCATTAAAAGAATTTTTTACATTTATATTCTAACCTGCAGCCATAATGAACTACTCCATGCTTGCCTGGTAGGGTTATTCTAAAAGTCTGAAAACCAAGAAAGAATGCTTATGACATATATATACTGTCGTCTACTACATACATATATACATCATTCCTGCCAGATTAAGAAATATACTAGTTAGGATTATATATTTTTTCCTACCGGTCCAATGATGCAATCCATGGGCCACTTCAAATAGAACATTTATTAAAGTCTTTCTTACACACCATCAATTGCTAAAGATCATGCCACTTTTTATTTTGCTTCATGTTTAAATCATGACTTATTTTCCTGAACAATTCTGTTTTTCTTAACATTTCTAAATGCTTTTCTTTTATTGCTGTCAAAGTTATATAATTCTATCAAGTCTCAAACTATTTCCTCTGCTGCTTCATACTATCCACTGCCTAAAATCCCCATTTTCTTATCTGTGATGTTCTTGTGTTCCAATCTGGAGCAGTGGCTCTCCTGGCCTGTTACACAACCATCATTTTAGAATTGCCCTTTGCCACTTTCCTGGGTGTTTCCAGTGTTTCCTGGATCCCAGGACATTTTCTTTCTTAATTTTTCCTCTCATGTTGCTAGAATGTGTATCCTCAAATGATTTCAAAGGGAAAGGTACATTCCAGTTAAACTGTGGACCTTGTGTATCTGAAAATGTCTTTATTCATTCTTCATATTTGATGAATAGCTTGGATGGATACAGGATTCTAAGTTCAAAACCATTTTCCTTCAGAAAGTTGAAGGCATGGCTCTTTTGTATTTCAGCATCCAGTGTTATGATGAGGAATGTGATGCAGTGTAATCCCCATTTTTTTTCCTCTGAAAGCTTATCCCTGGTGCACTACAGTTTCAAAGGACATGTTAGGAATGGATTTTTTAAAAAGCATTCACTATAGATGGTTCTCAGTGAGCCCTTTCCACCTGAAGATGGGTATTCTTTTTCAACTCTGGGAAACTTTCTCCTGTTGTTTAACCATCTCTTCTCCATGTCCTCAGCTGACTTTTTGTGAAAGAGACAGATGTTGGCTCTCTGTAGTGGTTCCCTATATAATTCTTTTCTCTCAAATTTCTATCCTTTCATATTTCTGATGTACACTCTAAAATATTTCCTTGACTTTAATTTTAGGGACTTCTTTTTTTTCCTTTAAACTCTGATCGCTGTGGTGGTCTGAAAATATACCCACACATTTTTTGATATTTCTCCCCTCAGGGGTGGAGCCTAATTCCTCCCTCCCTGAGTATGGGCTAGATTTAGTGACTTGTTTCTAACTTGCAGAAGTGACAGAGTGCACCTATAGAGACTAAGTCAGAAAAGACATTGGGGCTTCCTTTTCGCTCTCTTTTTTGGGATACTCGGGAAAAGCCAGCTACCATTTCATGGAACACTCAAGTATCTCTATGGAAAAGTCCATGTGGCAAGGAGCCAAGGCCATGAGTGAGGAGCTAAGGCCTCCTGCCAACAGCCACCTGAGTGGGCACAGAAATGGGTTCCCCAGCCCCAGTTAAGCTTTCTGATGACTGGCTAATATCTTGACTGCAACTTTATGACAGACTCCAACCGAGACCCACGCAGCTAAGCTGCTCTGGAGTCCTTCATCCACCAAAAAGTCGAGATAAATTTTTTTTGTGTTAAGCCATTATGTTTTGGGGTAATTTATCACACAGAAATTGATAATACAACAGATGTCACTGTGTTTAATAGTTGTATTAAAAATATTTTGTCTCTGAATGCTCCCTATTCTTGCTTTATAGAGATAATAACTTCTTTAATGTCCCCAAGTATACTACCTAATTTAGAAGTATTTTCTTAAGTTCTTGTCTATTATCAGATTATCTTTCTCTTGTAGGGAAAATTCTTCTGTTTAACTGTATTCTCTCTTTATGTCATTGTCTGATATGTTTGGCATTATATATTATCTTACGTCTTGACTCTGACAAGGGTGAGTAATGATGTTCGTGTTTAATGATGAAAGTGAGTAGCTGACTTGGCTTTCTTTTGCTGCTATATAGTAATAGGTCTGTTTCAGTTGAGAGCTCTCTGAGCACAGTGGGTTGCCGGCATGCCTAGTGTCAGGCTTTGGACTCCCAAATGTCAGAACTCCAAGCGATCAATACTGCGGAGGGACTTAACTCTCCCTACACAATTCACTGAATTATTTTAAAAAAGAGCACTGTTTTTTTCTTCTAGTCTACAAGTGACAGAGACTGCTCATACTCTGTAATTCAGGGATTAGAAGCTGCTGATATAACTATTTTGATTATAGACCTGCAATTAGTTCATCATTTTTGCTCTTTTTCTTATTCCTGCACTGCATAACATATGCTAACTCTGAGCCCAAAGTCTCTCCAGGGTTCCAATGAGCAGACTGGGTTCTATCTTGGACTGTTTAAACAAATTGTGGGCTCTGGCTTCCTTTATGGTTTTATCTTGTGGTTCTCTGTTGTTGTTTTTCTTGAGATAGGGTCTCATTCTGTCATCCAGGCTGCATTAACGGTGGCAAGAACATGGCTCACTGCAGCCTTGTCTTCCTAGGATCAAGTGATCATCCCACCTCAGCCTCTTGATTAGCTAGGACTACAGGCACATGCCATATGACTGGCTGACTTCTTCATTTTTTGTAGAGACAGTCTTTTCATGTTGCCCTGGCTGGTCCTGAATTTCTAGGCTCAAGCAATCCTCCTGCCTCAGCCTCCCAAAGTTCTGGGATTACAGGAGTAAGCCACCATGCCTGGCTTCTTTACACTCTTGTCTGCTTTCAATCTCCCAAGTATTTGTTAAAATCTCTTATTTCCTGATAACACATTCCCTTCCTCTACTTTCTTTCTCTTTATGGTTTCTGTTCATCCGCCACCTACCATGTTTTTATTTTAATAAGTCACAGGAGCCATGAAATATCAGTGCATATACCCAATCTAACATCTTCAGAGTTCCATATTTGACAAAATCCCCAGAATTTTCTCCAAATGTCACTTGTACTTCTTGGCCTTATGTAGAAACCTGCCTATTCCCAGCAGCTTACCTCTTCTGCTACAGCCCTCTGAGACAGAAACTAATATTTCTGTCTTATATGGTGTATGTCAGGGTGGAGATGAGATGAATGGCCTTCTTGTTCCTCAATATGATTTTTGGACCATTATCTTGTCGTTTTTTTTTGTTTTTGTTTTTGTTTTTTGAGATGGAGTCTCACTCTGTTGCCCAGGCTGGAGTGCATTGGCACGATCTTGGCTCACTGCAACCTCCACCCACCTCCTGGATTCAAGCAATTCTCCTGCCTCAGCCTCCCGAGGACCTGGGATTACGGGTGCATGTCACCATGCCTGGCCAATTTTTGTATTTTTAGTAGAGACCGGGTTTCACCATGTTGGCCAGGCTGCTCTCCAACTCCTGATCTCAGGTGATCCACCCGCCTCAGCCTCCCAAAGTGCTGGGATTACAGGCATGAGCCACTGCACCCGACCTTGTCTTCCTGTATAATCTCTTGCTCCACTGAGGCTCTCATGCTCTGGATATTATCACATTCTCTTCCTCCTCATATCAATCATCTAGCAATGCTAAACCTTTGGCTGGTGGCTCACAGTTTTCCTCTCCATGATAAAAATCACACTTGGTGACGTCACTAGCCATGAATATTAAGCTATTCAAACTCCTGGCTTCTTGGTTCCTTGCCGTCTTCATCCCTAGTAGCCTCCTCTATGGCACCTCAGGGACCACTCCCAGAGCCTCATTCTTGATCATGTCACCACCAGAAATTGAACCGCCTCCCAAACAAGGATGAAGACATGGTAATAAGCTCCTTGCCCAATTACCTACGATTGCTTCATATCTTTCTTTACTCTTCAAATTCCCTTGCTCTTCTCACTGAACTCTCACTCTCAGTAAATAGTCTTACCCTTTACATACACTCTACATCTCATCTCCTCTCTCCTCACAACTCTGTTCTACTACTTATATACTGTCTCCCACATATTCTACCCTTTCTTTCAGCTGGCTTCCTATTAACATTGAAAAATAAAACCTCTAGTTAATCTCAGATTTTTAAAAAGTCTTCTTTAGATACCCACATCTGCCTCTAACTACTGACCAGTTCCCTCAATACTCCCTTTACCTTCCCTTGATTGGACTTGGCACAATTTGCATTTTTTACATTTGTGACTATCGCTCTCAAGAGAGAAAGCTGCATGAGGCAAGCATCTGTGTATAATTATTGCATGTTAACATCCGGGACAAAGCTAATGCCTGACAGAGAGCTTAATAAATATTTTTTTGGACAAATGAGAACTTAAGTTATCATTCGGCATAGATTTCTTATTGGTTGTAGCATATTAAAATGTCAAAATTAAATTAAACTGGGATTTAGTCTTGATTAACTTGCCACTCTATTTTTCAGTTAGTGTGTTTGTTTTAAAATCTTGATGCTTAGTTAAGCTGAACTACAGTAATAGCTCACCTGTATCATTCTCTTTCCCTCCTTCCTGGGAAAAAGAGGCCCCTGAAGCTACAGAAGACATGGAATTGGCAGGCAGGTATCCAGCGTCTGTTCCTTCATTTGCTAACCCACTCTGGCGCAACTTGGCAGAGTCCTGAGGTTCAGGACTCACAGATGAGGGTGTGGATAAGTGCTTAGGGTGGCGCGCCTTCTGTAGTTCCATGGCTCTGCCAACTGATCAGAAAATGATGGTTAATAATCTGTATTGCGGCTGGGTGCGGTGGCTCAAGCCTATAATCCCAACACTTTGGGAGGCCAAGGTGGGCGAATCATGAGGTCAGGAGATCGAGACCATCCTGGCTAATATGGTGAAACCCCGTCTCTATTAAAAATACAAAAATTAGCTGGGCGTGGTGGCACATGCCTGTAATCCCAGCTACTCGGAAGGCTGAGGCAGGAGAATCGCTCCAACCCGGGAGGCGGAGGTTGCAGTGAGCCGAAATTGCGCCACTGCACTCCAGCCTGGGTGACAGAGCAAGACTCCGTCTCAAAAATAAATAAATAAAATAAATAAAATAATCTGCATTGCAAATTAGCTAAAAGCAAAAAAGGACAATGTAAAAGAATCTGGTAAAATGTGTGAAACATGGTAGACCCTAAAAAATATATATAGTGGATTGTTATGCAGAGAAACATACAGACAGACAGATGAAGGAAGGAAGAAGAAAAGAGAGAAAGGGAGAGGAAGGTAGAGCAGAAAGATGAGGAGATGGAGGAGGGGTGAGGCAGGACGACGAAAGCGAGGAAGAGGAGGATGTAGGGAAAGAAGAAGGGTCATGAGAAAAGAAGGAGAGGAATGGTGGACAGAGGGAGGAGGAATGCTGAGAGACATGGAGCTGTGTTCATTTGTAAGAATGAAGATGAAGTCTTTATTTTTGTGAGTTCTTAGTAAGCTCCCACCCCAGTTCTCCCCCAACACTCACACCTTCATCATCATAATGTACCTCAAAGACCATCCAGACCAATCCCCATCCTGCTAATTATCCTTGTTCACAAAGTCACCACAAGAAGCCAAAGACTCCCACTCAGGTGTTCAATATCCAAAGCATCCTACACCCTCACACAACTTTTTATACCCTAATCTCTTAATTCCTCAAATTCTTCTTTTGTATACCTTGGAACTCACGGTTAGCATCTGTGAAATCCTCCATCTCTTTAACTTCCTCTAAAAATTTCACACCTTCTCAATGTTTCTCAACAAGAGGCACTCATGGCATTTGAGGGAGAACTCGTCATTGTGGGGGACACTCACTATCACAATCCTACTCCCACCACTCTACCATGCCAATATCTTTTTTTTTTTTTTTTTTTTTTTGAGACAGTGTTTCACTCTGTCACCCAGGCTGGAGTTTAGTGGCGAGATGATGGCTCACAGCAGCCTGGACTCCCCAGACTAAAGCAATACTACCTCAGCCTCCCAGGTAGCTCAGACTACACACATGCACCATGATACACAGCTTATTTTGGCTGTTCTTGTTGTAGAGGCAGGGTCTCACTATGTAGCTCAGGCTGGTCTCGAACTCCCAGGCTCAAGTGATCCTCCCGCCTTGGCCTTGCAAAGTGCTGGAATTACAATCAAGAGTCACCGCACCTGGCTTCAGTATTTTCAAATGTGCTACTGCCTGAGATAAGAACCATCACATGACCCCTCCCCATGGTACCACCATCCCTATTTCTCCTGCAGCCATCTCAAGTGAGCTTATCTCTCTTTATTGGGCCTGGGGTGAAAGGGAAATCAGAAAATAAAGTACAATGGAGAGGTGGAGAAATTTTAGAAATATGGAGACTAAGTAAATATGTATAAAGAGACGTTCAGTGTGGTGGAGAGATCTATACACACTTTTTTTTTTTAATTTAACAAACACAAGTTGAATGGAAACAGAATCAGAAGAGGTAAGTAAACTATGTTACGGACATTTGACAGAATACTGCCACTAAAGATGTGTGTTTTCGTTTTTTTTTTTTCTTTTCTTTTTGTTTTATTGAGGCAGAGTCTCGCTCCAGTGTCACCCAGGCTTGAGTGCAGTGGTGCAATCTCGGCTCACTACAACCTCTGCCTCCCAGGTTCAAGCAATTCTCCTACCTCAGCCTCCCGAGTAGCTGGGACTACAGGCGCATGCCACCACGCCTGGCTAATTGTTGGTATTTTTAGTAGAGACAGGCTTCATTGTGTTAGCCAGGATGGTCTCGATCTCCTGAACTTGTGATCCGCCTGCCTCAGCCTCCCAAACTGCTGGGATTACAGGCGTGAATCACCACGCCCAGCCCACGAAAGATGTTTATGACAATTATGTAGCAACATAGGGGGTACTTAGTTCAGAAATAACGCTGAATGGAAACAAGGCATATTGGGAATTCAGTAAAATCATCCTAACAACTCCTTTCTCCAGAAATTCATTCTAGCTGAAGAAGCCTCTGATGTGAAGAGGGCCTGGAGTACTGAAAATGCAGCACTTCAAACTTCAACATACTTGCACTGTTGTCATGACGGCTTGGTCTCCGTGGGGGTCCCAGGATGCTGGGGAATCCTCTTCGCTTCCCTTTTTCTTCCCCTTCTTTATCTTTCTTCATACTTTGCTAGAGTTGAAGTACAAAAAATAAGAGATACGTAACAGAGTAAATTTCTTTTGCGATTTTCATAGTGTAATGCTAATGGTTAGTTCAAAGAAATTGTTAAGTGTAAATGAAAACCCGTACACGTGTGTATGCACACAGAGCACTAATTAAAAGTTCGCACACAGTACCGTGTACACCTCAAACTCAAGATGTTTTCTTCAAACTCTTTATCACTGACAGCTTTGGAAAATCAAAGGGTAGTTTTATAGCACATTTACCAGGAACTTATTCTAAACAATTCATTCATCCATTCAACAAATATTTACTAAGCATTTTGCTAACAGTTGAAAATACAATAATAAAGAAGGTCCTTGTACTCATACAGCTTTACAATCTAGTAAACACTAAACAAAAACACAAATAATTACAAACTGACAGAATACTCTACTGCCACTAAAGATGTTCATGACGATTATGTAGCAACACAGGGGGTATTTAGTTTAGGCAAAGTAAAAGGAAAGTATAAGGCATGAACAGAATCAGAAATAGCACTCTTTGTAAACTGCTAATTTCACTTTTCACATTGTCTAATAATAGTTTATATGTCTGGATTTCTCACTGTATTTTGAGTTTCTTGAGAACAGAGACAGTATCTTATAAATGTTTGTATGACTAGCATTAATTTGCTGATTAAGTAAATACTAAGATGATGGAAGACACTGCAACCAAATGTAAAGAAGCCCTAAGGCCTGAACATGCTATTACATTATTTCATTCTTACCTTGATTTTGGGAAGAAATCCAATCCGACCCCGTTTGTGCTCCAAATTTCGAGGCTCTTTCACTTTTACTCCCAAATGCTTCATATACATGAGAATAACATACTGCATGGTGGAGCTGGAGGAGAAAGGACGAAGTAAATTAAGACTTCTGAGAAGGGAGGGTTGGTAGAATAAAGACATCAAATGATTTCCAAAACCCCAAGGTTGGAATTATTGAAATAAATCAAACAAACACTAAAGAACTAACTAGTCATTGCACAGAGAAGAGAATTCTACTCAGGACAACAGTAGAATATTAGTCAAATAACATACAAGCCACCAGAGAGAGACCACAAACTGTATTTGTAAGTTAAAAGAAATAAATTGTAATTTAGGACTGAAAGGAAAAAAACATAGTTCTTTTTTTCTTAAAATTCTAGGGGAAAAAAAACAGTTATGTTACCTCTTATCTTCCTCTACAGCCTGAGCAGTCATCCTTAAAAAAAAGAAAAAAAAATTTAAAAATGAAATATGGAAGTTTAATTAATTTTTTTGAGACAGAGTCTCACTCTGCCACCCAGGCTGGAGTGCAATGGCATGATCCTGGCTCACTGCAACCTCCGCCTCCTGGGCGCAAGTGATTCTCGTGCCTCAGCCTTCTGAGTAGCTGGGATTACAGGAGTGCCACCATGCCTGGCTAATTTTGGGGTTTTTAGTAGAGATGGGGTTTCACCATGTTGGCCAGCTTGGTCTCGAACTCTTGGCCTTACGTAATCCGCCCGCTCGGCCTCCCAAAGTGCTGGGATTACAGGAGTGCGCCACCATGCCTGGCCTTAAAAATTGTTATTAACTCAGATACCTGAAATAACAGAACAGAGCCAAATGCTTTGGGCCACACCCTAGAATAAAATACCAAAAGAACCCTGATCCCCTAAAGAACCTTATCTGTTTCACCCTCATGTCACCAACTGTATATGCTTCATGGCAAGAAATATTTCCAAGGCCTATAAATTGAAAATAATGAAAGTAATCAACCTGTTTTTGATCACTGATTAGAAGTTTTAGAGTTACCCATTTACCACCACCCAGAAAAAGGAACACAAGAAATTTATCTAAAAGTATCAGAAAAAAGAAAAAAAAAATCCAGTTTCTCAAGTACTATGACAAAATAAACGGCTCCACATACACAATCTGACAGTTTTTCTAAACCTACCCAAAGGACACTTCAAGCATAACTAGTATCTCAGCAGAGAGGGCATTTCCACATATACTTCTATTACTTACAATACTTCTTCAATTTTGGCAACAATCTGTTCTGCACATGTCCGCTCCTTCTCCAAAGTCAATCGGTCCTTGTCTCGCTCTGCATCAAGTTTAGTCAGCTCGCTTTCAGCCAAGGTCAGTCCCATACTACGTTTCTGCCTGAAGGGAATAGAGAAGTTTCCTGAGGTAGCCTAAAGAAAAACTACCTCATTCTGGGGACGCTTCATCACAGTCTTCACAGCTATGGTTTCTAGGAACAGGAAAAATGTCACTTTTCCACTTATGGGTCCATGTCATCTAGGATACCAGAGGAAAAAATTCTAGAAGCAATGACTCCAAGAACACATACAATATCTTAAAGGAACACACTTAGCATAGACACAGCACTGAGCTCAGATCCTGCAAGTGCCTGGAATGGAGAGTCTGGACTCTCAGTTCCACTCTAACCCTTTGGCTCCAGATGTTCATTATGTTTTAATAACAATAAGACCATATGGTTTATCTAGTGCTAAGCTAAGTATTTAATGAGCAACTTTTTCTTAACTAAAAAAATTAATTTAGAATAATCATATGAAATTCTATCTACCACTAAGCTTACCGAAAATCTTCTAAGTGCCTTTGAACTTCTGGATGGACTCTTTCTTGCATAGTTTGGATATAGTGGCGATGCAGATCCTCAGGAATGAGCTCAGGTCTTCTCTTTTCTTCATAAATGAAAGGAATTATGTTATCTAAAGGTATGTTCTGGGCAACATACAATTGGCAACATAGCAATGCTACTTCGTACAAATTAACTTAGAATATGCCAGAGGGAAGTTCTTCAGGGCAGTTCGTATATTTCATCCCAGAATTCTGATTTCATTTACTCTATTATTATTATTATTATTATTATTATTATTATTATTATTTGAGATGGAGTCTTGCTCTGTTGCCCAGGCTGGAGTGCAGTGGCGCGATCTCAGCTCACTGCAAGCTCCACCTCCGGGGTTCATGCCATTCTCCTGCCTCAGCCTCCTGAGTAGCTGAGACAACAGGCGCCCGCCACCACGCCCAGCTACTTTTTTGTTTTTTAGTAGAGACAAGGTTTCACTGTGTTAGCCAGGATGGTCGATCTCCTGACCTCGTGATCCACCCGCCTCGGCCTCCCAAAGTGCTGGGAGTACTACAGGCGTGAGCCACTGCGCCCAGCCATATTATTATTTTTTTTGAGACAGAGTTTTGCTCTTATCACCCAGGCTGGAGTGTTAATGGCATAATCTCAGCTCACTGCAACCTCCGCCTCCTGTGTTCAAGCAATTCTCCTGCCTCAGCCTCCTAAGTAGCTGGGATTACAGGCATGCACCATCATGCCAGCTCATTTTTGTATTTTCAGTAGAAACAGGGTTCCACCATGTTGGCAAGGCTGGTCTCGAACTCTTGACCTCAGGTAATCCACCCACCTTGGCCTTCCAAAGTGCTGGGATTACAGGCGTGAGCCACTACGCCCGGCCTCATTTACTCTTTAAATGTATTATAGACTGTCTTTCTGTTGTGATTCAGGTGATCGACTAGTCACCATGTGACAGATAAAACCTGAACAGATGAGCTGAGCTACATATCTATTAAGATGTAATTCTCCAGGATGTTAGTGCTCCAAGCTTACCTAGATCTGCAGACATTTC
Source organism: Homo sapiens (assembly GCF_000001405.40). NCBI lineage: Eukaryota > Metazoa > Chordata > Mammalia > Primates > Hominidae > Homo > Homo sapiens. The sequence continues at coordinate 120,445,445 of NC_000011.10, read as the reverse complement.
ATCAGGAACAGAAACTTTCAGGTGCTAAAATGAAATGCAAACAAAAGGTGTAACAACGCTAAAGATATTTGAAGATGTACATAAGTACTTCTGTAAAGTAAGGGGATACAACTTGGATACCCACTCTACAAGCACAATCAAGTACAAGCTCATTTATTCATTCACATTTCACAACTCCAGAACATTCTATCGTTTAAACTTGAAAATGAGCCCTTTTCCCGAGGATCATGCTATAAAGGAAAAGTCTACAGTCGTTTAGCTAGATGACTGAATGCTTCTGTGACACACTTAATGAATATACTGGCTTTGGCTTTGGCTTCCTAGAATCATTGGTCAATATAATCAGTTATATGTCATTTAGATCAATATAGGTAAAACCTAAATTATGTGTATATTATCATATGAAAAATGTACTCACATATAGCCATGATTTTTCTTTCCTATATTTGAGATGCTCATTCTGAAGACCAATAATATTCCTAATCGTTTTCCTATGTAAAGTTTAAGAGCCCTCACAATGTCACACTCCCAGTGAGAAAATATTGAATGTCAATGTTGAGTTTTTGGAGTTTTAAATCTCCAGCAACCATCTACAGTTCTTGCTACTGAACCAAATAAGGTGACTATCTTAGAATTTACTTATTCCTAGCTAGGATTTTCCCCATAATATTTGCATAATAATTACCAGTCTGTTGTTTTCCCCCACCCCCAAACTAATGGAGGGGAATACTTTATTATTTTGCATTAAGAGAAAATATCTTAACCTCTTCCTGCTTATTTTGTATTGTATACCTATTTAAGTCATACAATTTCAGAATTTAAACACATCCTATAAGATCTGAAGTTTTAAATTTGAAAATAAGTCACCGCTAAAAATTGTAAGATCTCTTTATATTCATTTGAAGAAAAGTAAAATGGATTTTAAAACTTTCTCTTTGACAGGCAGTAGCTCAAATCAACTTTCTTAAAAGCATTTCTAGCTCAAGTGCAAAAAAGTAATAAAAGCTCATTTCTGTATGATGGTGTATATATGAAATAAATGTGAGCTGTAGCATAAAAGTATAATTAGCAAATTAATCAAAGTGTAAGGATTCTTCTTATACTTTAATATTGATATATAGATCATGTGTAGCAAAATGTAAAGTTTTGACTTAGCTTGGTGCCCTCTTAAGAAATGCAAAATTCAAACATGCTTCAATATATTGTCATTTTTTTAGGAAAGTAAATTATTTTAATAAAAATAACACAATATTTTAAACAATGGGAGTAGGATCAGAACACTAATTCACTTAACACATACTTAAGTGACCCCGCTATGTCCCAGGAACTGTTCAGTGTTAGGGACACAGCAGTGAACAAACAGAATAAAAATATCTGGCCTAATAAAACTTATATTCAGGGTAGGAGAGTAGGAATATAGTCATCCCTTGATATCCACATGGGGTACCGGTTCTAGGAACCCCCATGGATACTAAAATCAGCGAACTCTCAAGTCCGTTGTACAAAATGGCACTGTATTTGCATATAACCTATGCACATCTTGCTGTATACTTTAAATCTCTAGATTAATTATAATACCTAATACAATGTAAACGCTATGCAAATAGTTGTTATACTATATTTTTAAAAAATTGTTTCATTTTTTATTGTGGTATTGGCTTTTGTTTTTTTCCTTGAATATTTTCAACCATGGTTAGTTGAATTCGTGGAAGCTGCAGGCACAGAAGACTGACTGTGTAAACAAACTAACTAACTAAATAAAAGTTCTATGGACAAAAATAATAGAAAAAGTGACAAAGTGAAAGGGTTGAGATTTTAAGTAGGTTGGTTAGGAAAGTCACTGAGTAGGTAATTGAATGTGAAAGTGTACAGACAATTTTGTAAAGGCATACAAAGAAAACGGGGCAGGAGTTGGAGGGAGAAGTAGAGCCAAAATGTGTGTTTGTTTTTAGAAAGGGAAAATAACAACATTTGCAGACTAATGTGAATGATTATCTGTAGAAAATATAAAACCGATGATGCAGGAGAAGGGAGGATAATTGTTAGAGTAAGATCTTTGAGTAGGTATAAGGAAATACACTGTAAACTGGAGCAGAGCTGGCCTTGGATAAAAGATGGACAATCAAGGCCAGGTGCGGTGGCTCATGCCTGTAATCGCAGCACTTTGAGAGGATGAAGCAGGCAGATTGCTTGAGCCTAGGAGTTCAAGACCAGCCTGGGCAACATGGCGAAACCCCGGCTCTACAAAATACAAAAATTAGCCAGGCATGATGGTGTACACCTGTAGTCCCAGCTACTTGGGAGGCTGAGGCAGGAGGATCACTTGAGCCCAGGAGGCAGAGCTTCCAGTGAGGTGCAATCGTGCCACTGTGCTCCAGCCTGGGCAACAGAGCAAGACTCTGTCTCAAAAAAAAAAAAAAAAAAGACAGTCACTCCATAGCATCAGGAGAAAGAGTAGAGTACATGGTATGGTATAATGAGGGCAGATGATACATCTGGTAGAAGTTCTCTTCTATATACTTTAAATTTCTCAGAGAAACAATAAGGTCAAGGTTATCAGCTGAGAAAGGACTAGGAAAGGAAGTGATGGAGGTTTTAGGAGGGAAAAAGCATGAGGCAGTCGTCTAAGGGAACTGCAAATGTGAAAGGACTAGGGACCTGCGGCATGATTATCCAGTATGCATTAAGGGCTAGGTGCTATTTACCCATAACAAGACTAATAATAAAACTTACTACTTTAAAAACCTTATTAACACTTTTAATGACAAAATATAACGTTATCATCATTTATTTCAGTGTAAGTGAAATCTTTTCTGCCACTTTTTAGTTAAAATTATGCCTCCAAACTTCAAAGAGGCCACCCAGAGTTCAGTTATTCAAGTATTATTCCTTGGGTCTTAATATATATGTATTCCCTTTTTCATTTCCTCACTCTAATTATGCACATGCAAAAAACACAAATATGTGTGTGTGTGTGTGTGTATATATATGTGTGTGTGTGTGTGTGTGTGTGTGTGTATATATATATATATAATCCCCTAAAACCTACTGTGAGAATTCATATGCCTAAACTACTTTAGAAATGATAAAAAAAAAAAAGTCTAGAGTAATCAATAATTGAAATATAATACAGGTGTGAGAAAGCACAGTAAAATCCAAAAACATGGGAGGGAAGATAGGAAGCAGGAGGACAATAATTCCATGTACTAAGGCAAAGATTACAACATTAACTTGGCAACTTACTGCTGATCGATCTAGAAAGAACTGATGAAACTCAAGGAAGATGCGACGAGTTTCTTTGGAATTGGTATGTTTATACAGGTCTGAATAGAGATAACAGAGCTGTAGTGGAGAAAGGAATGAAAAAGACAAAATGAGGAACCATGAAAAATGTAATTTGCTAGGTCACCATTGAGTAGGAATGTCTGGAACAGGTAGGTCACCATAAACAATGTAGTTATTACTATATAACCAAGTCTTTAAAAATAATGTTTTAATTATCTTTTGTATCTGTCTTTATACGGAAAACTGAAAGAAGTCTGCCCACTCGTTGTATAGCTAGGAAAAGTTCTATGGCACATGAATCAACAGAAGAACTCTGAATCTGCTAGATTGTAAAATATATTACCAAAGTCGCAGGGTCAAATTGTGAAACTACATGGTGTAAGAAAACAGCCAAATGAGCCGGGCGAGATTTTAGTAATTCAATGCTCTGGAAACAGCTGCACTGTCCATTGATCTAGAGGAAGAAATGATTATGCATCAGTAACTCCAACATACAAATACTAAATGCAAAGTAGGCTCAATTGAACATAGCTATCCAAATTTCACTTTGATCTCCCTATAAAAAATTCAAGATTTAAAAAACTTCACTAAAATTTATTAGCAACAGAAGCTATGGAATCTCTTTCTGTGAACATTAACCACCTCTTGGGGATAGGTTAGAAGAAAGACCACTGTGGGAGAACGGAAATTTAGGAGACGATTATCAAGTAGCTCGGATGTATACAAATCAGTATGTAAAAAACAGTCTAACATTTCTAGAAATGCAGTGGAAGGCTTTTTGCCCAATCATAAAATAGCTGTTTATCCTTTTCTTCTGGGCTAATTGCAGAAATGGTGGGAAATGAAGTTGTATGATTTTAAGTAAGACAAATCCTAGAATATTTGTATAATCCCTAAATATACTGAACACAGAAAACAATAATAATGTAAACTAGCATCACAATTTTCATATTCCCAAATCATTCTAAAGACCAGCATTACCCCCAACTATCAAACCAGACAAAGGTATTACAAAAAGAAAAACAACACACCAATATCCTTCATCAACAAAGATGTAAAAAATCCTCAGTAAAATATGGCAAATTGAAACCGACAATATATAAAAGGGATAACATATCATGACCAACTGAGGTTCATTCCAGGAATGCGAGACTAGTTTAATATTCTAATATCAATCAACATAACTTACCATATTAATAGACAATCAGAAAAACCACATAATAATCTCATTCCACAAAATTCAACATCCAGTGATGATAAAAACTCTCAGCAAACCAGGAGTATTCCTTAACCTAATAACCCTTAACCTTATAAAGAGCCTCTAAAAAATACTTATAGCTAACATCATACTTAATGATGAAAGACTGAGTGTTTTCTCCCTAATAGCAGGAATAAGGCAAGCATGTCTTGTCACTCTGATTCAACCTCATAGTGGAAGTCCTAGCCAGTGCAATAAAGGCAAGAACAAGAAATAAAAGATAAACAGCTTGAAAATAAGGAAATAAAAACTATAGACAACATATTTATCTATGTAGAAAACTCCAAAAGACTTATTTTTAAAAGCACCAAGAAATAATAAGTGAATTTAGCAAGATCACAGGATACAAGGACAAGAATCTAGCTAATCATATTCCTTTATAGCACCAATGAACTGGGATTTGAAATTTTTTTTAAAAATACTATTTTAAGAAACACACTCAACCCCAATAAAATGAAGTACTTAAACATATATTAATGATCTCTCACTGGCTTTAAAAGCAAGGTCATTTCTGTTGGTCAAAGCTAAAATAAGCAATTAACCCAAGGAGCTATTGGTTCTAAGATTTAGCTTCAAATCCTTACAAATGTTATCTTAATCTCCAGAACGTGCTCATTTTTGCAACAAATCAGATATTGCAGAAAGTAACAATCTATTTTTTAGAAAGAAAAAAGTCATCACCTGTTCATGTTCAGTACCAAAATCATCATCTTCTGCTCCAATAATATGAGGTGCTATACGGGTTGAGGGACTTCCGACAAGTGATTGAGTGTCCTGGCAACATTCAGGGAAAAGAAACAGAAAAATTACCTGGTGGTCAAATTTAGAAAAAGAATAAAGCCAACCCATCAAAAAGACATGGTTCACTTAAATGGTGAGATTTCTTTTTGTTTATTTCCTTTGAAGTACTTTATTTTCAAAGTAGGGGTTCACAAATTTTCAAGGCCATGTACCACTCTGGCAGAGAAAAAGACCACAACAACGAGTTTTTTTTGGGGGGAAAAAACCACTCCCCTTGGAAACAGTAAATATCCTTTGCTCACTATACACTTGGTTATCTGACTTTAACACTTTCTGTACACTTCTGTACATTCTTTTATTAATTCATACATACTTAAAACTTCTTACAGAAAAAAATAAAGTTGGCTTACATAAATGGTTACAATTAAAAAATTAAAGAAAAAGTGAATGAAGACAATAGGAGAAAGGAAAAATAAGAGCAGAAATGGTAAGACAAAGTTAGCAGAGAGGCTAATATACCTGAGAAGTACTAACCCAAGATTTCCATTAATGATACATAATTGAAGGCTATCATCGAACTCTATGTTTTCATTTTTAATTAATTTTCATAAATGTATAATGCAGGGTTTCTCAACTGCGGCACTGTTGACATTTTGCGCCAGAGAGTTCTTGGCTGTAGGGTCTAGCCCGTGCATTCTAAGACACTTAGCAGCACCCCTGACCTCTATGCACCCACCAGATGCCAGCTGCAGCGTTTCCAGACATTTGTCAAATGTCCACGGAGGCATAATCACTCTTGATTGAAAAATCACTGATACAATGCTCTAAAATCATCAAGTAATCTCACAAACACTGCTATAGAAACAAAGATAACAAAATTCTAAGAATAAATTGTAGATTGTCAGATAGTTTCCCATGCAATAGCTCCTCCATTTGTCAACTCACAAAGTTAGATTCAGCACAAAAACGGCAGTACAGAGGCATTAATATATAAAATAATAAACATGGGTGCTGGGCACGGTAGCTCAGGCCTGTAATCGCAGCACTTTGGGAGGTCAAGGAGGGAGGATCACTTGAGGCCAGGAGTTTGAAACCAGCCTGGGAAAAACAACAAGACCCATCTCTAAAAAAACCAAAATAAATTAGCCAGGCGTGGTGGCGTGTGTCTATAGTCTTAGCTACTTGGGAGGCCAAAGTGGGTACACAGTTTGAGCCCAGGAGTTTGAGGTTACAGTTAACCTCTGTACTGCAGCTTGGGCAACAGAGTAAGACTCTGTCTCATTCATACATATATACATACATAAATACATGCATACATAAATACATACATACATACAGGATGTCTGAAGACCATAAGTACTAAAATTAAAGACCATATAGGATTGGGGAATAAAAATTTTGGAAGAAATAGGAAAAAAATGAGTTTGGCTTAAATCTAACAGCAGTTTAACATTGCAAGATCTGGATGGAGTTCAGCAAAGAAGGGTAGGCCTATGATTTGAGAGTCATTTGCACAGCAGTTATAGTGGCTATAGCTGAAGTTGTATAAACAGATCCGCAAGTTTTAAACTGAGTGAATAATATGTACCTGTAGTTTTTCCTCCTAGTGTTGCAACACTACATATTGAGTCTCCTAAACACAATTCTGCCTTTTAACAACTCTTATTATTTTCTTTAACCTCAAGGCTTTAATATTCCAAAAAAAAATCAGGTGAAACTGGCCGGGCACTGTGGCTCATGCCTATAATCCCAGCACTTTGGGAGGCTGAGGCGGGTGGATCACCTGAGGTCAGGAGTTTGAGAACAGCCTGGCCAACATGGCGAAACTCCCTCTTTAAAAAAAGGAAAAATTAAAAAATTAAAAAAAAGAAATTAGGTGAAACAACATAAATTAGTTTCGAGCAGTAGTCAGACAATTTTGATTTTATAACTGATTTGATGTCTCTGATTTTTCAATAGTCCTTATGTTGCTAACAATAAAAAGATGACAAAATGCTGTTGTATCTTTTACTACAAAACTGTAAATAAATGTAATTAGAAGATAAAATCAGAGTGCTTAAAAGCATGCAATTAAGAATACGTAAGATCAAACAATTCTTCTTCTTGATGAACACCCACAAAAACTGAAGGCAAGGCAGCATATTCACAATAGCAAAAAGTGGAAGCAATCTAAGTACCCACTGACAAACGGACAGATAAACAAAATGTGGTGTATATACATGTCATGGAATATTATTTGGTCTCAAAAAGGACGGAAATTCTGACACATGCTACAACACGGATGAAAGCTGAAGACATATGCTAAGTGAGAGAAGCCAGTCATGAACGGATAAACATTGTATCATTCTTTTTACATGAGTATCTAAAGTAGTCAAATTCATAGAGACAGAAAGTAGAATGGTGGCTGCCAGGGGCTAGGGGGAAGGGGGAAATGTAGACTTAGTGTTTACCGGGTACCAAATTGCAGTTGGAGAAGATGGTTGGCAGTGATGGTCGCACAACAATGTGAATATACTTAATGCCACTATACACTTAAAAATGGTTAAACTAGTACATTTTATGTTACCACCACGACAAATATGAAGGAACCTAAGAATACTTACAAACCATGGAATATCTCTTGACTTATTCAAATCTTTATTAAGTTTCTTTAATAAATTTTAATTTTTTTTCCAAAAAATAAAAAATAAAATATGTAAACATCAGATGTGTCTATACCATACTTTAAGTATAAGGAAAGCCAAAGACAGCACTATCATTGCATGGATTTCATACTCACAGTGTCCTGAATTGTTTCACTTTTCTCTGGGTTTTCCTCTAGATAAATTCTCTCTTTTGGGCCACTCTTGGGACTCTAATGAAAAAAACAAGATCTTCAGTTCATTTCAATAGGCACACCAAAAGGAGATGAGGGAAAAAAGTGTGAAAAAAAAATTGTTCTGAATTTCATATTTGTATTTACAACTACTAAATATCTTTCGTAAAATGCTTGGTTCTGCTACTTTTTCCTTACTTTGGCAAGTCACTTATTCTCTCACCTTTTCAATTTTATATTGATAAACAATACAGAATCAACAAAACAATTTTACCTAATCTCCAGGCCTGGAGGTTACTTTTCTACCAAATAATTAGATATACTGCATACCTCAAACTCATTATGTCAAAATCAAACTCTCTTATCTTCCTTAATCCTTACCTTCTCAAACTATCCTTTCTATCCAAGCTAAAAGCATTTTGCCCTACTTATGAGTACAATTAAGCTTCTACTATTCTGTTACTCGCTTCATGTGAAAGGTGGATTTTAATACATTTATATGGTATTGTATAATACCTAATACAGTTGTTCTTCAGTGTTTGTGGGGGAATGGATGCTCAAGTCCCTGATATAAAATGGTATAGTATTTGCATACGCAAATCTTCTATATATTTTAAATCATCTCTAGATTACTTATAATACCTAATACAGCATAAATGCTGTATAAATAGTTGTTATACTGTATTGTCTAGGGGATAATGACTAGGAAAAAAGTCTGTGCATATTCAGTACAGATGCATTTCTATCCCTGAATATTTTGATAAATGGTTGGCTGAATCCACAGATGCTGTCCACAAATACTGAGAACTTCTGTATAAAATATGAACTATATGAGACACAGAAACTCACTTTGTGGAGATGAGGAACACCCCAAAGCAACGGGAGACATTCTTTAGAGCAATGAAAATGAGGAACCAGAGACCTAACGAGTGCCAATAGGGAAGATACATTTTACCTATGCATATAGCAAGATATCTTGGTGGTATCACAGATATTTCTGTTACCAAGAGAAAACAGCACTTTCAAATGTATGCCCCACCTTGGAGAAATGAATGACTTTCAGGTCTTGGACAAGATATATAAAAGATTAGAATAATTCTGTCACAAAAAGCAAGAAAGCTATCAAAGATATTGGAGGGGCATGTCAAAAGAACACAGGAGAAAATTTGAGGGGGCTCCCACCAACAAAAGAAAAGAGTAACTCATACTGAAATCTATGAGTTCAAAATATTACACACATATACCCTTCCCACTTGTCACCTTTGGAGTTTGTAAGAGTATCATCTCTCCTGAAAAAACTCTTCTGAAAAGAATCAAGAGAAGTATTTACCCTACATTTTCTGTATAAGCTGTATTTTAGGGTAACCTATTAGCTAGTAAGGGAAATCATTTTTTGTAACATAACTCCATGTAATAAATACAGAAATACTGACAAAATTATAATAATATCCTTTTGAAACTCTGAATTAAACAATGGATCTAGGCATTTTGATCATAAATGGCATGTGAAAACATTTCACAAAAGCTTGGGGGCCGGGAGTGGTGGATCACACCTGTAATCCCAGCACTTTGGGAGGCTGAGGCGGGTGGATCACGAGGTCAGGAGATCGAGACCATCCTGGCTAACACGGTGAAACCCTGTCTCTATTAAAAATACAAAAAAAATTAGCCGGGCATGGTAGCAGACACCTGTAGTCCCAGCTACTCGGAAGGCTGAGGCAGGAGAATGGCACGAACCCGGGAGGCGGAGGTTGCAGTGAGCTGAGATTGCGTCACTGCACTCCAGCCTGGGCAACAGAGCGAGACTCCATCTCAAAAAAAAAAAAAAAAAAAAGCTTGACAGGGGACGTTATAATGAAGGAAATCATGTTGATATCACCTAAACACCTTAAGCTTACAACCACAGTAAGACAGCCATTCACATCCTCATGTGATATAATGAGATGTACATAGTATCATCTATGAATTATTCCAAATAACAACTATCAAACCTAATGTGATCAAGACTTGTAGATTTAACTAGGAGTTTTAAGAAAATTTAGATAAAGGAACATGTCATACGACACCATGAAAATATAATTAGAAAATGGATTGTTTTACTGAACATCTGACTCAATTTCTTTAACAACAACCACAACAACAAATGGCCAAGGAAAAAAAAGAAGGAAACTATTATAAATTATAAAGACTTAAAATGACTTATTAACCAATGGCAATATGAAAGCCTTGACTGGATCCTGAATCAAATAAACTGTAAAAAGATCATTATAAAACAAGGTAATAAAATTGTGTATTGAGAAAATATTAATTCTTAGGATTTAATAAGAATATTATAGCTATATTTTAAAAACTTCTTATCTCTTAGAGAGAGACATATTAATAAACGAATGCCTTGGATTTACTTTAATCTGGTGTTTGGAGGATGTGAGGAATAGGGGGTACAAACAAAACTGCTGAGACTAGGTTCTCAGGGACATGAGGAGGATTATGTTAGTCTTTACTTTTGAATATGTTTAACAATTTTCCAAAATAAATAATTTTTCAAAAATATCACTCACAAACTGAAAATCAAAATGATAGATGCTCTGAATTTCAGATGATGATTTGTTACCAAGTTGCTTCTCTTGTGAGAACTGGGTATCAGGGCATTCTTTAAAGCCTTCTCCAAGGTAAGCAAAAGCAGGGAACTTTCACAAACACCACCAGGAAATTATTTTATAAAAATGAGAAGACAATGAAAAAAGTTAAAAGCACTGATTCAAAAGATAAAATGTAAAACCGCGACTCAAAGTACTGTTAAAACAACAACAAAAGCAGACCGGGTCCTCCATACTTAAAATTGAAACAAACATGGAAATCCATAAGCTAAAAGCAACACATCTTTAGCCTCAGACACTTGTAGAAATTAAACCTGTGTGTTCTGTGTTCAGAAGATAGCCTAGCTTGGACTTTATCATTTCTCACTCGGATTTCCACAATATTCATTTATTTATTTGGCCTCAGTTTCCTCATCTATGAAATGGTGATACTGCTTTTTTAAGATTATTATGAGTGTTAAAAAAGAGTATCTGTAAAGCATTGGGTACAACCTCTGGCACAAAGTAGGTACTGAATAAATGCTAACTATTATCCATTCAGCACACATTTGTTAAAGTTCCTATTAAGCCAAGCAGTCTTCTTTTCTTACAGATCTCCCTCTTTACACCAAATCATTTTCCACAGATATGTTTCTGATGGTGTCTCTCTTCTGCATGCAAGATAAAGCCCACTTTATTCATTGATTTCATGTATTCAAATACTAAGTATCAATTACATGTCAAACAGTCTTAATTGATTGGAATGCCTATTTCTATACTAAACAATTCACTCTTTTTTTTTTACCCACCCCTGAGATGGAGTCTTGCTCTGTCACCCATGCTGGAGTGCAATGGCGCGATCTTGGCTCACTGCAACCTCCGCCTCCCTGGTTCAAGCAGTTCTCCTGCCTCAGACTCTGCAGTAGCTGAGATTACAGGCGTGTGCCACCACACCCAGTTAATTTTTTTTTGTATTTTTAGTAGAGACGGGGTTTCACTATGTTGGCCAGGCTGGTTTTGAACTCCTGACCTTGTGACTGGCCTGCCTTGGCCTCCCAAAGTGCTGGGATTACAGGCGTGATCCACGGCGCCCAGCCAACAATTCACTCTTTTATAAGGTTATATTTCTAAGTCACATGTTTTATTGTAACATTCCTCTAAATACAAGATAAAATTCAAATTTCTCATTCGTATCATTTGCTCTGAATGCCTACAATTTGCTACACTTTGGAAACATAAAGTCAGACAAGACAGTCCCTCTGCTCTCAAGGAACTTCCCATCTCATGGTAGGGACAAGCCATGAAAACAGCGAGGAGACGCATTACTAAAACAAAAAGAAGAGTACGAAAAGCATTCCCAAAAGCGGTATGTACTGCTAGAACAAGTTGAAGCCCTTTATAACCTGGATTCATGATTTGGCTTCTAAGATAATCTCTAGCCATTCCATCTATAACCCTAATATGCCAGGTTGCCCTAAAATTCTCACTGCTCTCTCAAAATGTTACGCATTTTCAAACCTCAGTGCTTTTGTTTATATTTCGATTACTGGTATTTTGGAGCTAGGTGGAAGTAGATCACCTATTGCCTGAATAAGTTTGGAAAGTTAGTTAACTCCCTTTGGCCTCAATTTTTTCTTTTGTAAAGTTACAGTAACAACAGTACTACTTCATAAGGCTGTTTTGAGAATTAACTAAGGAACATAAAACCTTATCACCGTGTATGGGACATATACCCAACAAATATTAGTGACTACCATTTTTTCCTTGAGCCCAAATTGAAATTTTCCATTAAAACCTTTAGCTAACCCAATCACAAGACTCCTATCACTACCTTAAAAAACAAAACAAAACAAAACAAAAAACCCACAAATCCTCAGTTTGTTTTTTGCATGAGGAACTGGGTCATTGGGCCTAAGCCTCAAGAGATAGCCTGAATGATGGCTTAGACCACGGCTTCCTTTTTAAAAAACAACAAAACAAAACAATCCCCCAACAACAACCTTCAATAAGAGAGAAACTTCACATTGTTAAATAGTAGATGTGTGTATATGTAACAAAAGTCCCAAGAAGTGACACCTCTTCTATATGCAAAGCACTGTATTTCCTATTCTTTTTTTAAAAAAGAAATACAACCCACAAAATTGATTTCATGACCCACAATTACAAAACATTCGTTCAGACTTCTTCCCTCATCACTTTTAAAGAGGGTGATCTACATTTAAGTCATTATTCCTACCACTGCATACAATTTACAAAGTATTGCTGGGTAAGTAATACTGAACTTAGCTTTTAGGTATTCATATGTCTATGGTGTTACATCATATTCAGCTTAAAATGTTTTATTATCATCTTAACAGATAGTCATGTTCATCTGGCAGTTTCTGGGTTAATCAAGAAAGTGCTGTCACTAAACCTGGGCTATTAACTGAAGCCTATCTAACAGGACTGAGGTTTTTCCTCTTGGTAATGGCAAAGTGCCCCATGATTCAAGACTGAGTCACTCTGACCACAAATGGAATATTAACATGCTCTTAAAGATATCAACAGTTGGTCTCTCGGTTCAGTAAAAATGCACTGGCATTAGTAACTTCTCTACCCACGAACAAGATGCCTGCTGGGAAATTCCATCCCTGTAAAAGAAACAGTTGGCAATGGGTGTTCAAGGGAAAAAGTGAACTCTGGAATTAAAAGCTTATATATAACAGTAACCAGATTTCTGTTTATCAAATTGGTACATTAAAAATGGGGATGGTAAAAAGTGCTAAGACACCTCTAATTCACATCACTTAAAATCAAATCTAGAAAGGGGCTGTAAAGAAGAATACAGAAGAAAAAAGATTTAGAAAACTGAAAGCTTACATCTGCATTGTCACTACTGGGCCGAGAAGCATCTCCACTGCTACAGTCAGTCCTGCCCAGTACATCTCCAGGATCTGTTTCTGCCTCACTGACTGTTAGGGTGTCCCCTAAAGGTCTGGAGGGTGTAACTACAGCTCCATCCTAAAACAGATGAAAGAAAAACACGCGCACACAAACACATAAAAGAAAACTTTCATTACTTGCTGCATAAAGAAATAGTGGTACTACAATCTACATGGAGACTACTAAAAGTTGGACATTCTGATATGCTCAAGTATGTTTAAAATTCTACGAGTAAAATCCATAAATAACTACTAATTCCGGTATTCTAAAATGTCATGACCTTAAAGACAGGGCAAGTGATATTTTGGTAAAAAGAATGTAAGTTCAAACTTCTAAATATAGCAAAAAGATAAAATGGTTTGTTAATTTATGTAATTTATATTTATATAATTTATATTGTCTGCCCATTAATAAAGGTTATTACCCTATAGTTTCTTGTTAACTACCTTCCAATGCTTCAGAGTGTCAATCAATGGCCAATTCTAGGACATAATACTATAACATAAATTATTATAAGCATTTAGATCAGGTTATAAGCATTTATTTATTTATTTAATTTGAGATGGAGTCTTGCTCTGTCACCCAGGCTGGAGTGTAGTGGCAGGATCTCGGCTCACTGTAACCTCCGCCTCCATGGTTCAAGCCATTCTCCTGCCTCAGCCTCCCGAGTAGCTGGGATTACAGGCATGCACCACCAAGCTTGTCTAATTTTTTTATTTTTAGTAGAGTCGGAGTTTCACCATGTTGGCCAGGATGGTCTCAAACTCCCGACCTCAGATGATCTGCCCGCCTCGGCCTCCCAAAGTGCTGGGATTACAGGTGTGAGCCACTGCGCCTGGCCAGGTTATAAGCATTTAGATTGCTGTCCAAACAGGGTAAGAATATTATATTTGCCTAGTAATAACATAAAACTGTCAACATTACTGAGGTGTAACACTCAAAATGTGACATCGCTACTGGGACTGAAGGTAATGAAAAAAACAATGGAATGAAAAGTACACTAAACCAGGATGTCAGGGGACCTTACATACTGTATGGCCTTGTATAGGTGATTTAACCAGTTTAGACCCTAGGTTTCTCAATTATAACATAATTTTTTTAAATCAGAAAGTAAGCAGATTAGGCTAGATGATCTCAAAGAATTCTTTTGCGAATATGCAGCCTTCCCTTCAGATTTAACTCGGGAACAGTGACAAAAAAACAGCTTTTACCTATTTTAAATGTATAGGCAATTTATCTACTTTGCTTTAAGATGAAGTACAAGGTGCTTTACATATCCCAAATCTGAATATTACAGAATGTAAGTCTGGTTAACATATAAATGCTGAGCTTTTTTTTTCTTATGAGACCATTATCTCTATAGCTTATAACTATACAGCAAATTCTACTGAAATCTATTTTTAAATTACAATAAAAATATAGTCATTAAGAGTATGAATGTGCTTTTAAATCCTCAGACTGGGTTTGAATTCCAGTTCTATTACTTTGCAGCTATATGACCTCAGACAAGTCATTTAATCTCTCTAACTCTCTCTAAGTATATATGTAAACTGGAGGAAAACAACCATAAGTAACCTCAGAGATGTTATGCAGATTAAATAAGAAAATGCTTGTCCATATATTTAGCTCAATGCCTGTTGTTGTAAATTCTTAAATTCCTATTTAAAAACATATCAACTGCCATTCTGTTTTAAGATGGCAGAATGAACCACAAAAAATATAAATATATATATATATCTAAATACATTTTAGTAGTTTGTCACATCAAAGCAAAAGCACTCAATTCTTTTTTAAATTATTATGGAACAAAGAAATGTGATCTCATGAGCAAGCAAACAATCAGACGCCCACATTTATTTTTGTTAATCATTACTTCTGTAACATCCTTAACAGGACATCCTGTTGTCCTACGCTAGAAAAATAACTTTAAAAAAGGCAACTGCAACATTCTCTGACACATTCCCAGAAGAAAATTCTCCTGCAAAAAGTTGGGTAGCACTTGTAATAGTGATGCTACCTGAGCAGAGCCTGTGGCTTTGGATAACTGCTCTTGCAGCTGAGGAATGTGTTTCTTGGCCTCTTGGATCTCTTTTAGCAATCTTTGGGCAGGTGTTCGGTTGTAATCTTCCTGCAATAACTGAAAAGTTATAAAAATATTTTCAGAATTAATTACTTATGTAAAAAAGATACAGAAATAGTCCATTCTTAATCAATAATATAACTAATGGCATTGGTTACAATGCTGCTTGATTGTGACTGATAAACACCAACTCAACCATGCCCACTCACATTTTTATTGGCCTGTAAACAGCCCTACTTCTCATTTAATACCTGTAGCCGTTCCTGTTCTTTCTGTAACATTTTTCTCAGAATTTCTACTTTCTGGTTATGAACCACATTGTTTTCCTCCTAGAAAAGAAAAAGATAAAAAACAAACAACAACCAGTATAGACAAAATGAAGCTAAAATAAATAGAGAAAATGTGGCATACAAAGTTCTGCCTCGGCTCCAATTATCAATACCTATTAGGTTTTTACTTCCGGGTTATGTGGACAGGCTTTCAGACATGACACTTACAAGAAACTACAAGGAAATGTCTGCCCTTCTATTTCATTTTTACTAAACTGGATTCAAGAGAACACTAAATATTGATATTGGAGAAATGAAGTTGTCTTAGTATAAGAATAGTATCTTTTACTTTCCCTCATTTGGATCTTTACTATCGATCCCCATGCATAGCTCAAACTCCCAGTACCTCTTACCTGAAATATGAAGACAGCTCCCTAATTCATCACCCATCATCCCTCCTTGTTTCACAACCCTATAATATTTTACCAAATTAGTCTTCCTATAATCCTAGGATAATCATGTACTCTTTTGCTTAAAAAGAAACAACATTGAATGGATTCTTACTGCTTATCTAGTTACATGTAAATTAGCTTGGGAGATGTGACTTTTCAAAATATATAGTCAACCTACTATTTTCAAGTTCATCTCCCACTATGCACATCCTTAACAGGCACCAACCAACCAAAAATCCTAGCTACTTCTCCACAATATTTGATGCTTTTTTGGCTCCTTCTATTTATTGTTCTTCTTCTATGTGCTTTCTCCCTCCTTTGAATCCTCATAGAACTTAGCATTTTTTTTGCCCTCATAATGTCTACATTCTGCCTTGTATTATAGTTACTTGTATACTCTTGACTTAATCTCAATCAACAAAGCTTTGTTAAGCACCTTCTACATGCTAAGCAATATTTCAGGTACTGGAAACGTAACAGTAAACAAAATAAACAAAAATCCCCGCCCTCCTAAAAGTACACATTCTAAGATGACTATAATCTTGAACATAGAGTACCTTAACTATATTTCTGTGGGTGGCACACTGTTTTACATATGGCAGGTGTCTAATACTTGTTAAATTAAATCTGCTATGACAATATTCTAATCATTCCTATTATGTAATTTTTATATTAGTAAATCATTTTCTAAAATCTTAAATTTAATTAGTTCATCAGCCGAATACTTGAAAACTCTCCATATAAAGTAAACACATCCTTATAAGACTGAGCATTTAACTAAGAAATTTCCCCATTCTTACCCCCATGAGCACAGGACTAGTGATTCTCTCCATATTCCCAGATGCTCCAGGTGAATGAGGAGATGTCATGATGGGAGACATATGTCCAATGACTGACGGCTCTACTTCAGAGTCGGCAAGTGGAATCTGGGGCGACCCAGGTGGGCGTCCCTGAACAGTGAGAGCTACATAGGAACCAGCTTGGGGTGGGGAGACGGAAAAAGGGAAGGGAAGGGAAAATAACATTGTCAAGAAACTTTTTATACCATTTTACTACTTAATCTTCGATAGTTCTAAAAGATCCAGTTATGTAAGACAGTCCCATCATCTGCTACATCATGTCTCCACAGAAAAAAAAACTAATTTGTCATTTCTCTTTTATGACTGCCCTAAAAATCCAAAAGAATGATGCCGTTTTCAGATAGCAAGTTACTACTAGTAAGATCAGATATTACTTAAAAGCAAATAAAATTTATAACTCCAAGAATATATTATATATTTTCTTTATTTAGAGGAGTGTTAAAATCAACCATCTATTAGTGGCTATGTTTAATTAATTTCTTAAATGTAAATTTTTTAAATCTTCTTTTTTTTTTTTAATTAGGGTCTCACTTTGTCACCCAGGCTGGAGTGCCGCGGCACGATCTCAGCTCACTGCAGCCTCGACTTCCTGGGTTCAAGCAATCCTCCCTCCTCAGCCCCCACAAGTAGCTGCAATGTTTTTTTTTTTTAAAGATAGGGTTTCGCCATGTTGCCCAGGCTGGTCTTAAACTCCTGAGCTCAAGCGATCCACCCGCCTTGGCCTCCCAAGGTGCTAGGATTAGAGGTGTGAGACACAGCACCTGGCCTAGATCTTCATATTTTAAGATGACACTAACTAGGCAGGGTTTAGTGAATATGCTAGAACATAAAATGCAATTTTAAATTAACTTTACAAAATGAGTATGACCAAAAAATATTCCACAATAACAGGGAAAAACACAATCAATAATAAGTAGTAAATTTTAGTAGAAAATATTTGGAGGAATGGACAGGAATTCAGTAGACATATTGCGGGGGGCGGGAATCTAGACAGCAAAAATCACCATAATCAGGCCAGGCATGGTGGCTCATGCCTGTAATCTCAGCACTTTGGGAGGCTGAGGCAGGCAGATCACAAGTTCAGGAGATCAAGACCAGCCTTGCTAACATGGTGAAACCCAGTCTCTACTAAAAATACAAAAAATTAGCCGGGCGTGGTGGCACATGCCTGTAGTCTCAGCTACTAGGGAAGCTGAGGCAGGAGAATCACTTGAACCTGGGAGGCGGAGGTTGCAGTGAGCCGAGATTGCGCCACTGCACGCCAGCCTGGGTGACAGAACAAGAATTCGTCTCAAAAAACAAAAACAAAAACAAAAACAAAAAAAAACACCATAATCAGAGTCAGTAATAGATATGGCAAAACTTTTTTCTTAGATATTTCAATAGAACTTTTAAATGTATTTCACACTTGTCTCCCAATTTAACCCTCCCATGGAAATCATTATCAATTATTTCACAGTGTTTTGGTGTTCTAAAAACTAGTTTTGCTATGTATAATACTCACAAGTGTTATAATTTGGAGGAATTTTACATATAAACACTTTCTAAGGCTCTTCAATCTTATTGCTCTCTATCAGAAAGTCATCTATTATATCTCACTTGCCTATGTATTTGGTTTTAATAGCTTCCTAGCTTTTCCCTTCCTTTCTTTAGCTGTTTCTAAACTGCTCTGATTTGATATCACTTTTATTATATCCAGAATACACATTAGAAAGTAGGACATGCAGGAACTCTGTTACATACACCCAGGCTTTACAGATGTGATGTCAAATTTACATCAGTTTTGGATATGCAGAGGTTTTTATGCTTTACTTTAAGTTTTTAGCTATGCCCTTACTATTGGGTAAGTAATTTATTGCTAGAATCCCAGGATTTAATTTTTTAAGTAAAATTTATACTGGAATGAGCAAAAAATATAACCTAGAAAGCTAAAGAAATGTTTTTATACACCTCAATGGACATCAGGCATAAACTCATTAACATAAACCATATTTATGCAGCACATAACAATTTATAAATCACATTCTCATTAAATAAGTGGTCAAGTTTATTCAAGTATGGGGATCTAATTTTGATCACTGCACTCTTTTAAACTAAAGAACGCTGATCAAAGTGACCATTTGGAGCACTGGTACTCTGATGAAAAAGTTTAAAAAATTTCATAGTTGCTTAACATAGCAGTAAAAAGGCCAAGAAAAAAGTTAGTTTATTAAATTTCTTTTGAAGATGTCCATCCACCCAATACAGAGAAACAGAATTAAATAAAACAGTAGTGATTCTGATTGATCACAAACAACTATCTCTTATTTCTAGTCTACTTTACTGTGGAATAATCTGATGCAGAAGATCATAAATTCTTTTTTTAATTCCTTTTTTAAAAAAATTTCATTCAGTTCAAGCAGTCTCTCTCTTTTTTTTTTTTTTTTTAAGAGATACAATAACAAATACATACGGCCCAAACCAGGCCAGAACAAAGAAAAAGGAAGTTATATTTTAGGTGGTGGACTCTCATGTGACTTTCTTTACTTCTGTTATAACTGTCATGCTATTTTCCATTCAGTATGTGAAGCAATTAGAAAATATAAAATCTTGGCCAGGTATAGTGGCTCGTGCCTGTAATCCCAGCGCTTTAGGAGGCTGAGATGGGTGAGCCCAGGAGTTTGACAGCAGCCTGGGGAACACAGCAAAACCCTGTCTCTACCAAAAAAACAAGACAAAACAAAAAACAAAAAACAAGGTGGGAGGATCACTTGAACCCAGAAGTTGGAGGCTGTAGTGAGCTATAATTGCACCATTGCATTCTACAAGACCCTACCCTAAAAACAAACAAACAAAAAAAAAAAAAAAACCAAGAAAACATAAAATCTCTCTTGGAAAGCAGGTAAGGTTAAAGGATAACAACAAAATGAAACCAAAGCCCAGGTTGGGGAAGATTCCACCTGACTCAGATTCAGATGACCCACCCCATCACCACCTGCTAGCAAAGCTCACAGGGCCACTGAACCTTCCCTTCTCCCTGTGCAGATGGGAAAACTGAGGCCCTGTGAGTGGCTGAGGCCTGGCTTGCCCATAACTCACTGCCAGCTCGAGGTTCGTGAATCCACCTTTGACCCTGCAAGTGACGGGAGGTTAGCTGCAGACTCCCACTGCTTCAAGCCTGTTTCTCCACAGAGAACTAAGTCCAAGTGGGCTATTCACTCAAACCTGAAGATCACAAATTCTTAACCCTAAAGATTTCCAAGAGAAGATCGCTACTCTGGATTATATAATCATTTACTTATCTGAGGGAAAGTGATTGTGCTAGATGATTTTTAAAGTTCCATTTCAGTTCATCAGGCCATATGTCTGACTTCTCAACCTCCTTCCTCTCAGGTGACTCATGCATTTCTTTCAAATATATGTATCAAATATTACCAAGAATGACAGGAATATTATAATCAACCATATAAATGGAGTTGACAAAAGATAGCTATTAGTAAGCTAAGAGTTTTCACCTCAGATTTTCCTTCAATGCAGGGATCAGCAAACTCCAGCCAAGGGGCTAAACCAGGATCACAGACTTTTGGCAAATAAAGTTTTACTGAAGCTCAGCCACACCCATTCATTTACATATAGTCTATGGCTGCTTTCATGATACAATGACAGAGTCGGCAGTAGACTATATAGTCCACATAGCCTAAATATTTACTATTTGGCCTATTACAGGAAATTTGCTGCTCCTTACTTTAAGGGTTTCAGAAAACAATTAAAACTAAGAATAACATTCACCTACATTTGATTAGCTTCACCACCTCCAGATGATTTGAATGAGTCACCAGAGTTCCATTCACCTGTAAGAAAACGAAAGTAGTGTATGTCAGATACATTCTATTGAGACAATGGATAAAATGACTTCAAGAATTATCATACATAATATAACCAATATAATATAGTAATCACATTACATTAAAATATTTATGTATTTGATTCAATATTCATTTTCACACCATGATTCTACAGGGCATATTCAGCAACAAAATGAACTTAAACATAAACCGAGGCCTTGACATACAAAACAGTACAACTTATTCACCATGACAAATGACAAAACATAACATGAAACAGATTTACAAATCGTTCACGGTGAAGGGCTCATACAAATAGAAAAGATCTCTTTGCTTTTAATTACCAAGTCATCAATTTGTCAAAATTAATAATAAAAAATAATTTTTAAAATAAGTATTTCCACAATATTCAATTTGCTTTTAGTTTTTCAACCATGATCTAATCTTCACAAAGAAAATTAATTTTCAGACCGGCTAAATGTAGAAAATGTTATCCCGATTCTGAATTAAACCAAACAAATCAAGGCAAAACTATCAAATGTGGATTTAACATTAATTTTCTGATTAATTCTCTGATCCAAGTTATCTAAAATACAAATATATCAGTGTAAAAAACAGAAGTACAAGTATACTCATCCTGCCCCATGAGGCAGTTACTGTTAGCTATGACATTTAATTTTGGAGACACTTTTCTAGTATACACACACCAAAGAGACACATAAACATTATACATTACGACTGGCTTTTTCCTGGAAAAAAAAAATAAAACTTTTTTTTCACTGTACGGCAGCTATCTTTCAATAAAGATACACACTGACCTAATCCATTCTTTTCAAAAGCTGCAAATGGAATATAATTTATTTCTCTGTCCCTCAGTTTATGCACAGTTATGTAATAAAGCCAGTACAAATTTCCCTGTACACACGACTTCACATTTGTACACTTATTTCCTCAGATAAGTTCCTAAAAGCAAAATTGCTTGTCACATGTTATATACTTTCTTAAAGGCTTTTGATACATATTCACAGACTTTCATCCAAACAGGTTTTACCTAATTTATACTCACAACGAACTCATGAGAATAGTCATTTTACCATACCCAAACTATACTAAATGTGTATTACCAATCTTTAAATTTTCTGACAGCCAAATGTATTTTTCACCTATCATTTTAATTTCTTCTTCTTTGTTATCAGTGAGGTTGGCCATATCCTCATTAATATGTTATGTATTTCAGTTACTTTAGGGAACTGCCTGATAAAATTCTTTGCCCATTTTTCTTTTAGAATATTTATTCCTTTCTTATAATTTAAAAGTGTTCTTTAAATTTAAGGATATCTGGTCTGTGATACGTTTCAGATATTTCTTCCAAATTATTTTTCATGGTATGTTTTCTTATGTAATAATTTGATTTTAAGTAATCAAATTAGTCAATTATTTAAAGAATAGTTACTAACTAACCCATTCTTTCTCTACTGATCTGAATTCAAAATCTATTTCTAGTCTCTCTGTTGTGTTCCACTGGTAGGTCTATATCTAGATTAGAGTCATATACATCTCTTCTCATACATACACATACATATAACATGTTTTTATCTTTAGTGATTCTTATATCTTTATAAAGTTCATCTGGAAGAATAATCAGATAGACATCTACCACTACAATTCTATTTGCATACAGGTCAGGTATCGCTTATCTGAAATACCTGGTACCAGAAGAAGTGTTTTGGATTTTTTTGAAGTTTGGAATATTTGTATATACATAATGATACATCTTGGGGATCAGACCCAGGTTTAAATATGAGCCTTTTATGTTTCATATATACCTTATACACATAGCCTGAAGGTAGTTTTATACATTTTAAATACTTTTGTGCATGGAACCAAGTTTTTTGTTTTGGTTTGGTTTTATTTGTTTTGTAAAGACAGGGTCTCACTATATTGCCCAGGTTGAAGTGCTGTGGCTATTCTCAGGTATGATCAAAGTGCACTGCAGTCTCAGCTCCTGCACTCAAGCAATCCTCCCACCTCAGCCTCCTGAGTAGCTGGTAATACAGGCTCAAGCTACTGTACCTGGTGAAACCAACTTTTGACTGTGACCCATCACATGAGGTCAGGTGTGAAATTTTCCATTCATGGTGTCATGTTGGTACTCAAAAACTTGCAGAGTTGGGAGCATTTCAGGTGTCAGATTAGAAATGTTCAACTTGTACTTTGATGAGAATTGCTTAATAACAGACTAATCTAGACAGAAATGATCTTTCCAACCCTGAATTACTCTCCTACTCAAGAACATATATTCCTCCATTATTTTCAATCCTTTTATTACGTCCTTCAGTAAAGGGTAGTATTAATTTTAAAACAAATGAAATAAGTTTGTATAGTCAACAGATCTATCATACATAGAAGTATGATGCTTTTTATAAAAATCCAAGTGAAAAAAATCAGAATATGACCAATATATGTTGTTTTTTAATCCTACCGTAAATTCTATAATAGCCTATTCCTTACCTTGATGATTCGATCACCTGTCTGTACTCCAGCCCGCATGGCTGCTCCATCTGTATGAGAAATTAATTGCTTAAAATGTGATTCATTTGCATTTACTGATCATCTTCCTGACAGAGAGACAGTATAACAAACTGGTTAAAAACATGGGCTGTCCTTTGGGAGGCCGAGGCGGGCGGATCACGAGGTCAAGAGATCGAGACCATCCTGGCCAACATGGTAAAACCCCGTCTCTACTAAAAATACAAAAATTCACTGGGTGTGGTGGCACGTGCCTGTAGTCCCAGCTGCTCGGCAGGCTGAGGCAGGAGAGTCGCTTTAACCCAGGAGGCAGAGGTTGCAGTGAGCCTAGATTGTGCCACTGCACTCCAGTCTGGTGACAGAGGGAGACTCCATCTCCAAAAAAAAAAAAACAAAAAAAAAAAACAAGGCTGTAAAGTCAGACTTTACATTCAAATGCTGCTTCTGCCACTCACTAGTTGTGTGACCTTGGACTGATTTGATGTTTCTTTACTCTAAGCCTCAATATCACCTATAAAATGGGGATAAAAAAATTGTCTACCTCAAAATTATAGCACCCAACATAAAGGAAGTATTCAATATATGGTAACAGCAGTAGAAAATATTATCACTGTTGTTTTGGGAAAATAAATGGTATTTCTGAAGCCATAGCTATCTCTTTAATCTGTCTTTGCCAAAATATCAGTGGTGCCATGGAAAACTGAAATTTCAGAAACTTTTGTGTGGACAATAAAGTATCATGACCAAGGAGTCACATGATTTCTAAAACTAAATAAAAACTGATTTCTTTCTAACAAGTACAAAAAAAAATCAACTGGAGTAAACTCCTTCCTGTAACTATGACATGATAGACGAATCTAGCACAATAGTCCACATGACCTGCAATCTATGTAATTATTCTATTCTTGGCAATTGCCATTATTTAAGCTTTTCTATTCTTACTCTGTTTACTGAGTGATAAATTGTTTTTTAAAATGCCTTGCCTTCTTTGACAGACTGTACGAAGACTGGATTGTCTCCACTGACCGTCAGCCCAAATCCATTGTCATCTTTCTGGATGATTACGCAACGCTGAACAAGACCTGCACAAGAACCACAGTGTAAAACAAGAAGGAAGAGAAAACAGAGAAAGGAAAAGACAATAATTATATATTAGTAATAAACTGTGTTCCATCTGGAGAAACAAAAAGTAGCACATGTAAATCCACATGGTAAAATAAGAACACTAACCACCATCAACAAAGCAAACACAAGAACACCACAGAGTCACACATACTGTTTTCTCACTGGCGGAGTATAATAGAATTGCTCCAATATTAAAAACAGCTATGGCAAACTGCAAAATATTAAGTATTAGACATGAGACAGCTAGAAGGAAAGCCCATTCACATCCATGCTATTTCTCTGTAGTAAAAAAATTCTCCCCCTGCCCCACTGCCCTGAGTTTTTGGTACCCTAATTGGTGTTTAACCCAAGAAAAATCAACCATCTTAGGACATGGGGCTAGGAGCATCTCAAGGAAAATTCTGCAGAAATCCAGTCTCACTCTCAAGAAAATATACTCAGGAAAACAGTAAAAAGAAAGGAGGTGCTTACAGAGTACCTGAAGTTATTCCCCAAAGAAGGGAAGAGAAAGGAAGAGTTCAGGGGGAAGAAAAACCCTGGCTTATAGAAAACAGAAACAGAAAAGAGAAAAAAATAGAAAAGATAAAGAATCTGTGAGCTCAACCAGTTCCTTCATCTCTTTCATATACTTACCTGATTCCTAAGGGAGAATTTGTGTTTCTTCTAAACAGCAAATGAAAACTGTCAGGGCAAGGTGAGAGAAAGAGGGCCCCAGCCAGAGGAATAGAAATGTCCTGCCAGGGTAGAACCCTGATTAGTACCCAGGGCTGTTTTATCATAGACCAGATCTGAAGATCTTGAACTCTGTGTTAGCCAGAGACAACATATATTTTCAGCTTTGCAGGATCTAAGCATTTCACCGAAGTCAATATATAAAACAGGTAAAACAACACAAAGATAATGAATAGAAAATAAAAACTTTTTCTAAAGATTTTTATACAAAAAGCCACAATCTTTTAAATATAAGTCTGATTTACCAACCAAACGATATGCTAAAGATATGTTAATAAAAAATATATATAGACTGTGTGTACAATGGCTCATAGAAAACATATACATATAACAAATTATATATATATACACACAGTGTATATACATATCTATTTTTGCTGATAATGACACATCATGAGTACATGAGCCTACTGTAGCTTAACATGAACCTTAACCCTTGAACTCATGACCTACACAAAAATTAAAGCAGATCATGGGCCTAAACATAAGCTAAAATTTTTCATAAGATAACACAAAAGGAAATCGTCAAGACCTTAGGGTATTAAAAAAACAAAAAAGGAAGAAAGAAAGAAAAAGAAAACAGATAAAATACATGTAACAAAATATTTTATAACATTAAAAAAAGACCTTAGGGTGGGTTTATAAACCATAAAAGAAAAAAAACCTAGGAAACTGGACAAAAATTTAAAACATTTGCTATTCTAAAGACACTGGTAAGAAAATGAAAAGGCAGGCCGGGCCTGTAATCGCAGCACTTTGGGAGGCCGAGAAGGGCGGATCATGAGGTCAGGAGATCGAGACCATCCTGGCTAACACAGTGAAACCCTGTCTCTACTAAAAATACAAAAAAATTAGCCGAACGTGGTGGCGGGTGCCTGTAGTCCCAGCTACTCGGGAGGCTGAGGCAGAAGAATGGCGTGAACCTGGGAGGCGGGTCCAACCTGGGAGGCGGGTCCAGCCTGGGCGACAGAGCGAGACTCTGTCACAAAAAAAAAGAAAGAAAAAGAAAAAGAAAATGAAAAGGCAAACCACAGAGAAAATATTCACAATATGGATATCTGATAAAGAATTTGTATCCAGATTATATGCAACTCTCCAGCCAATAATGGAAGACAAATGTTAAAGGGGGCAAAATACTTAAATAAACACATTACAAAGATAGACCAATGGCCAATAAGCACATGTAAAGGTGCTTAACAGCTGCAGTCGTCAGGAAAATACAAATTAAAACCACAATGAGATACCACTATACACCAACTAGTCTGGCTAATCATAAACAGTGGTAGCAAAGAGGTGGAGCAACTAGAACTCTTAGAACATTATAACATTGCTGGTGGGAATGTGCTAACATTCTGGAAAACTGTTTGGAAATTTCTTATAAAGGTAAGCATATATTTGCATATGATCCATTAATTTTACTCTGAAGAGAAAGAACAATTTGTGTCCACAGAAAGACATACACAAATGTTCACAGCAGTTTTATTCATAAGAGCCCAAAACTAGAAACTCAAATGTCTATCAACGGATGAATGGATAAACAAACTGTCGTATGTCCATACAATGTATTAGGAAGGAAGAAAAGGACTACTCATACAACAAACATGGATGAAACATAAAAACATCATGGTAAGCAAAAGAAACCAGTATGTAAGAAAGTAAACACTACATGACTCCAACATAGAAAAGGAAAAACTAAACTAAAACAACAAAAAGCAGAATAGCAACTGCCTAGGGGAGAAGCACGGAAGAGGAGTGGGAATGACTGCAAAATGAAATGAAGGAACTTTCTGCAGTGATGGAAATGTTCTGTTTCTTAAGATAATGTTTACATGAGTATGCATAGTCATTTGTCAAAATTTTCTAACCATACACTTACAATTAGTGCATCTTATTTTATGTAAATTTTACCTCAATAAAGTTGATTTTCAACATTTAAAAATGTGTTACCCCTAAATTCTAGAGACTTCTAAATACTAAATAACATATTCACCACTCTCACAAAACAATAAATTGTAATGAGGTCAGGTGATAACACATTAGAATTCAACCTTTGTTATCTGTTCAGTGTTACTTCCTTCAAGTAATTAGGACACCTATAAAATAGGATATGAATATATAAATCAAGTTTAAAAAAAGCATTCTTTATAAATTCTAGCATATAATAAATAGAATCAGAGATTCTGGCCAGGCATGGTGGCTCATGCCTGTAATCTCAGCACTTTGGTAGGCTGAGACAGGTGGATCACCTGAATGAAGTCAGGAGTGAGACCAGCCTGACCAACATGATAAAACAAAATCAGCCTGGCATGGTGGTAGGTACCTGTAATCTCAGCTACTTGGGAGGCTGAGGCAGGAGAACTGCTTGAATCTGGGAGCTGGAGGTTGCAGTGAGCCGAGACTGCACCACTGCACTCCAGCCTAGCCTGGGTGACAGAGTGAGAGACTCCATCTCAAAAAAAAAAAAAAAAAAAATTATTAGACTAAGCAGCATTTTACAGGAACCTTTTAAAATCCATGCTTGCTTTTGGAAACAAATATTTCACAACCTCCCTTATAGTTATTTGAAATTTCAAAATAAATTAGATACTGTGACTTTAGAAATCAAGGCAATTATAACACTGAATACGTTTTTTCATACTATATTCGTGCTTCTCCATTCTCCCACCTCACCTCACAAAAGCTGAAAATTAATGAATTAAAGGTTTCTAATATGGGTGACTGCAGTGCTAAGCAACCTGGGCTTCTTAAATAGACCTTTTTTCAGATGCCTGCAGAGAACAGGACACCTGTAAAACATGAGGGAAACGGGTATTTGGAGTCAAGGAGTTTGCTATGTTTGCACCTCTCACTTGAATAAAAAAATATATAAAGTAGTTAGCTTAATGTCTAACAAATATTAAGGGTTCCTACACGTTAAATATTATTTTATTATGATTAAGGGGAGGTTGACCTTGGATTTTCTCCTCTATCCATGCTACTAGTACAATTGTAAGTACTTTTATGTTAATAAACTCCTATCAATTAATGCAAATGATCCTTAAGAGAATCAATTCTGGCTGGGCGCATTTGGAAGGCTGAGATGGGCGGATCACGAAGTCAAGAGATTGAGACCATCCTGGCCAACATGGTGAAACCCTGTCCCTACTAAAAATACAAAAACTAGCTGTGCGTGGTGGCGCGTGCCTGTAGTCCCAGGCTACTCAGGAGGCTGAGGCAGGAGAATCGCTTGAACCCAGGAGGCAGAGGATGCAGTGAGCCGAGATCGCGCCACTGCACTCCAGCCTGGCAACAAAGACTCCATCTCAAAAAAAAAAGAGGATCAATTATGATTTATGTCTAAGTTTTGTTTTTTAGCAAACAAGGAAAGTAGTTTTGGATGGGTAAGGAAGACAGAAGGGAAATTTAAAAGGGCAGAGCTTCTTGTTATAGGCAGCTTTAGAAGATGAGAGACAGCTGGACGTCCTTAAGAAAAGAATCAGTCTTCTTACAAGCTTTTCCTAAATATGCATACTGAAGTTAGGTGCCCCTCTTACAGACTCCCACTGCACCCTCTGTGTACTCCTACTGTATCACCCTTACTCACACTGATTTGTATTTGTTTTTATTCTTTCATTGGATTTTATGCTCCAAAGGTGCAGGGGCTGTATCTTCATCACAATCTTATCTCAGAACCTTGCATGTATTCTGGGACAGAAGGAAACTTAAAAAAATTGCTTATGAATTAATGAAATTCAGACAAGTAGACAAGTCTAGAGATGAAAGGAAGCTCAGAAAGGGAGGTCATCGGAGAGAAAAAAACAGCACCATGCACAGTCAATTTTATAAATATGCCTAGAATCCTAACAGATTAATAAGAATCAAGAAAACCTATTAGTATTACTTCAGAATACAGCAAATCTCTTATCTCCAATTCATAACAGTCTCAGTCTGATAACCTTCCCTCTTAATTCTACAGCAAAAGGAGATGAGGGACAAAGAATAAAGAGGAAAAGGAAAAAGAACTATGCACACATCCTATTCAATTTTTTCTTCTCCCCAAATCCACTGTATTAGCCACATTTATTATTTTATATTTACCTGCTAATGTGAGATTGATGTACTTTAACATGTACTTTAAATCAGTAGACCAATATAAAAAGTGTTACACATACAGTCAATTCAGAATCTATAAAATTCAAATTAACAATACTATTCTGTCCTGTCTATCTGTGGTGTCTGCATAAATTTAGATCTGTGGTAATAATTAACTGAAAACGAAGCCATCCTACCATTCAAAATTCAGAAATCCAGTCCTTCAAATGCTCAAATCTATTATGTTCCCTCTCATTCAAAATCAAATGAAATGTTTTCCCTTTTTCTTCAGAGAAATATTCTATTTGTTGACCAGAAGCTGTTTTAACCTACCACAGAGGGAAAAATTCCACCCTCTGTAGAACTAAAATCACCAATACTGGCTACATTATCATATCTTTGTACTATCCTTTTTGACATACACACACAAAAATCCTACTTCTTTTGTTTGTTTTAGCAAATTTGCATTGAGCATCTGTCCATACTAGTTATTTAACACTGCAGTTCATAGGTGCTGTGAAGAACCCAAGACTACTTGGAGTTTCTGTTCTCAAAGAACATAAAATCCTGGCAGGACAATACTGAAAACAAATGGAGAAAAAAATGACAATGTTTAAGAATCAGAAAATGGTACAGAAAATAGGCCCTGTATGTTACAGAGAAAGCCAAAGATAAAAGTAGACTCATAACTCCAAAATAGCAATCTTCAAATTTCATTAATTAAAAAAAAACCCAAAAACCAGCTTTCATCACTTTTACTTTTTCTGATTTCTACAACTCATATAGTCCATGGTTTTGTTTTGTTGCTAAATCCTTTATCATCTGGTATAAAGATTATTAATCATAACTTCCATACAAATGTATCTATCTGTGAATATGAGTTCTGTAAGGCCACCTAATTACTTTGATATGTGCTATATGCCAGCACTTTGCATAGACACAGGCAGAGTGTTCAAAAAGTAAAACCAGTGAGACTGGTATAAAAAGTTAAACTTCCTTCAAACGTAATCCTGACAGGCAGGCACCGTGGATCACACCTGTAATCCCAACGTTTTGGGAGGCCAAGGCAAGAGGACTGGTTGAGGCCAGGAGTTTGAGCACAGCCTGGGCAACTTAGCAAGACCTCTTCTCTACAAAAAATAACAGTAATAATAAACACGTTTTTCAAAAAAACAAAAGACTTAGTCCTAGTAATACTTCTTCCGTCCCATTGTTCTTGGTGCCATATGAGTATTTCTTCACAGCTGTTTTTTTAAGTGCATATAGAGTAATGGTAAATGAGTGCATATCTCTATCACTGCACTTATCAAAATGTATTGCAATTCTTTTGTACCAGACTGTGAACAACCAGAAAGTAGGTAGAGTCACTTATATCTTTGTATCTCTATGCCTTAGTATAGTGCCTGGCATGTAATGGGTGCTCACTAAATAGTTATTAAATAAATTTGAATTTTATACACAAAGGAAATTTTAAATAAAATACTCAAACATTTTCTAATTAGAAAAAAAATCACAGCCTTGAAGACTATGCAAAGTAGAGGAACATTTCTATAAGAACGCTAATTAACCTTCTGCCCTGGCAAAATTCCAACTATAATAATTTGATTTTTCCATCTACCCCAAAATAACTCCTCTAGTTACAAAACAAACTTTATTTCCTGTCTCTTAAAAATCATATTTTGCCTAGAAGCTGATAAACCTGATATCATGCTTCATCTCATCAGTGAAGTAAAGATGTTATATCAAATTTACATAAATACTATCCATTTCTTTTATTTCCTTATCATAACAAAAGACATATTTTTTCTGTTATTACAATGTGGCACTTAAAACCAACATAAAAAGACTGCTTCCTTCTTACTCAATAGATAATTACCAATGATCATATTTTGAAAGTGAAAAAAAAATGAAGTGTCATTCTATAACTGTTCCTGAAAGAAGGCCATAACTCCTATAATGAAAATAGGGTGTGGGGCATATTAATGAAAATGGAGTGTTAAACATGTAAGATAACCTGTTAAATCTTCCATATTACATTGACTTTAGTGAAAGCACATTAGTCTTTCTTCACCTTTTATTTTATTTCATGACCAAACTTCTCTAGGTTTCAGCTCTTAAGAATCAGCTTCAGGGAAGGGAGTGGAGAAGGGCCATGTGCAACCTCATAAAAACAGCTCATTTTAAACTGGTGCCAGACATACATGTTTTATGAGTAAGACCTCAGATAATCCTTTGATTAAGAAGCTTCTTGATTCTAAATGCACAGTCTTGCCAGCAAGAAGAGCCTTAAATTCCAAGTATGCTGATTTCATTCTTTCAGACCACTACCAGAAAAATGTCTCCAAGTTACATTTTCTTCTATCTTCAAGTTTTTCAGAAGGAAAGAAAGATTCAATTAGGATGAGTGAAGATCTTATTCCATCAATTTTCTCTACTAAAATACTTCCTATGTCAATCTCAACAATCATTCATTCAAAACTCACTTAATGAGTGTCTCCAATATGTTCAGCATTATGGGAGATGTAAAGATAAACATAAATATAAGTAATTAAATACAAAACAGATGTCAACATTCAGAAACAACAAAAGTAGCTGGGCAATCCTAGGAAAAGGCAGTACTTGAATTAAGCCTTGAAAGATGAGTAGGATTCTAAGTTATAGGTGGTAATTCACTCAAGACAACAGAAATGGCATGTGCAAAGGAAGAATGCCAAAACATGTTTTGGAAAATGAAACGCTGAAGGAGAATCAGAGTAGAATAAATTGGAAACAAATTGTGGCATTATCTTAATAACTACCTGTACTTTCTTAGCAAGTGAATGACCAAATTCTTACTTTAGTAATATTAATCTGACAAGTCAAGGCAGAATATAGAATGGAGAAAAGTTAATGAATCAATGTGAAACTGAAATAAAAGTAAGTTACGAATCTATTATAATAGTCTAATAAAATGATGGACAAGGCAGTGGGGTTGAAACCAAAGAGTGAAGGATGAAAAATATTGTGATGGTAGAATCAAGGGGACCTGGCAAATAGCTGACCACAGGGGACGACGGAAAATGGAGAAGTCAAATATAACTTTAAGGAAATATAAGACTAGGTGAGTGGAAAAATGACAGTGTCATTATAAGAATTAGGGAAATAAAGAGGAAGACTGATTTCCAGCTGTAGAGAACAATGATGAACTCCAGTTTGGTCACTCTGAATTTATGGGACACTTAGACTGGAGACTGGAAGAAAGATTGGGGACAGAAACTTGGGTCATGCCTACATGTATAAAACAGGAGGGAAAAAACAATCAAATAAAGAGAGACAAAATAATTACAAAGAATAAAGAACCAGGTTGATGTAATATCATAGAAACTAAAGAAAGGGCATTGGCAAACACGGAGGAAAGGCCATGTGAGACAAACAGCAAGAAGGCAGCCATCTGCAAGCCAGCAAGGGAATCTTCTGACCTGATCACACTGACATCCTGATCTTGATCTTCTAACCTCCAGAACTGTGAGAAAATAAGTTTCTATTGCTTAAACCAAGCAGTCTATGGTATTTTGTTACAGTGGCCTGAACACACTAAGACAGCTTTAAAAAGACATAACTTATTTTCTTGAACCAAATACTGTTAGCAGGAATCTGTTCAGACACCATGACAGCGGTTAAGCAGCAGCTATGGTCTAACTCAGAATTCCCTTGCTGAATCTCTCATTTCCTACAGTAACCCACAAAAGTATTAATAAAATTAAGTATTATTAAAATTGTAGATCAGAAAACGCATCCATACACGTTTAATAGACTCTAACAGGTAGAAAGGGACAAATAAGGGGAAATGGAATAAATAACCAACTGACCGCACTGGGCAGAAATGTAACAAAAAAAGTCAATACAAAGCAAACACTTGGTTTCCTTTTAAGATGCACAAAGTAAATCTAGTTCACAAAGTAGCTCTAAAAATGGCTAAGAAGCCAGGTGCGGTGGCTTATGCCTTTAATCCCAGCATTTTGGGAGGACTGCTTGAGCTCAGGAGACAGAGATCAGCCTGGGCAACATGGCGAGACTTTGTCTCTACTATTTCTTTCTTTTTTTTTTTTCCCCTGGCAAATCATTCCTTCAACAACCTCATCTCTATTAAAAAAACAAACAAACAAACAAAACAGCTGGGTGCAGTGGTGTGCACCTGTAGTCCCAGCTACTTTGGAGTCTTAGGTAGGAGGATCACTTGAGCCCAGGAGGTTGAGGCTGCAGTGAGTCATGATCCCGCCATTATACTCCATCCTGGGCCACACAGCGAGATCTTGTCTCAAAAAAAAAAAAAAAAAAAAAAAAAAGCCAAGAAAGTTTAAAATAAATAATATGTGAGTAACTAGCATTTTTGTTAAGTACTCAGCTAATGAATTTTACCCCGAGAAAGCAATGTATAATCTCTAAAGTTTGAAGTGGGCTTATAATAAGACCCTACACTAAAGCAGAATGTCACCAGTTGCTATGATTCTACTCAGTAGTTTCAAGCTTTTCTGAATCCCCAGAGAGACTTTTTCATCTATGCTAACTGTACGTAATCTAAAGACGTCTATTCACACAGGTGATAAAATATTTGTAATGTCAAAGAGATTTACGTTAGCATGCTAATTCTGTTCTAATCAACTCATCCCTCCGATGAGTGCTTTTTGAGGACTTGTGGACTCAGTTCCTTCCAAAAAAGGTATTTCAAGGGTTCTCAAAAAACAAACACACAGAGAAGCCACACCTTACTTCCCAATTACCACTTAAAATGTTTCTATCACTACCAAGCCAATGGCATGCCTGAACTAGTATTAATGTTTCTATCACTGCTAAGAAAAATATTAGTATAGTATTTCTAGTCAGAGGTTCCTAAATTGTTAGTCTTCATCCAAAGCATACAACAAGCTTCTAAATACACATCGCAGATCTAGGAAAATGGAGAGGAAGACGAAATAGAACACTGCAAAGGCTACCGAAAAAGAATAGAGCTATAAAGATAATGTTCATGTTCCTAAGGAGAGGATAAACTATAGAAAGCTCTTTATATAGAACAGAAATATAGTCTCCAGGAATTAGGTAGTTCTTACTTATCAGTAGCCAAAATACTCTGGAAGGAAGAAAAAGCGTAAACTTGATGTGTCACAAGGCACAGTATACATTTACTGCTGAACTACTGTAAAAGGTATACACAGAAAAAGCACTGGTCACAAAAACCCAAGTAAAGAACTATGTGTATATATCTAACATAGAAGAATTAACTGGTTTAGAACCAAACACTGAGCTTTCATAATACTAAAAAGTATCTGATATGGGCTCAAGTGCCAGCAGATGTGAATTATCAAATGTCTTAAAAAGGGGAGGGCAATTCCTGTATTTTTTCCTCTCCTATATATCAAGCTAGGAAACATCTATCTGCACCTGGGGGAGCTTCTGCTCTATAGATTTGTGGCTCTATTAAAGATGACCTGATTTCCCTTCGAGGCCAAATTTGGAATCTTCCTAAAAAAAGAAATAATTTATCAGTCTTTCAGAAATTATTTTTAAAATCTTAGCTCCAGGTAATTCCTCTCTTATTCACTTTTCTCAAAAAACAAAAAACCAAAAAAAAAAAAACCCCAAAACAAAACCCTAATCAGACTCCAAAAGAAGGAAAGAGGGCAAATAAAACTGCAAAGGAAAAGGAAAAATAGGTATGAACTTCACAAACATGGTTATTGTATCTTTGGAAGACAGGACACAGTCTAGAAATATTAGCATTTCAATCATCTGCTGCAAAAGTTGACCACTCAGGTTAAACTTGCTCTTTGTTAAGATTATTTAAAAGGTACCATTCTGAAATTTTCCCATTCCGATTAAGCTTCAGAGAAACTTCTCAAAGGCACAAATTCTTCAAGCTATGAAGATAAAATACTTACGTATTTTTGCCATCGTGGATAAATTATACAAGAATGACTTTTCCACATGACGAGGCAATTAAAAATAAACAAACAAAAAATGAAATAAAAATTCCAAAGAACTGCTAATACGTCTAAATTACACCAGTATTATACTTAGAGGAAAAGACTTAATTCCTCAAATTCTTCATAATCCAAACTCTGCAAATGAGATGTGGGAAGAAGATGACAAGAATTCAAAGCCCATTCATGTTATTTGGAGGAACCTGACCCAAACATATTAGAGATAATCACCTTCCTACCATAAACAAGACGGGAGAAGATGGGCAATGTGGCCTACTCTTAATCTACAATGTTAGTTTCTAGCAACCTTAAGCTTCCACATCACAGCCACGTTAAAACCCCAGGCTCCCTTTCCCTGCAGTAGATCATGCCATGCACAGCAGACACAAGAAAGGCTGCAGTTATTTAAAAAGAAAGAAAGAAAGGAAAAAAAGAACAGAAAAGGAACACCATGAAGCAAGCTCCAAAGGGCAAGGCTGAATTAGCTACATTAGCTTACCATATATCTCGGATCTACTCTCCTCTGAACTAGACTTTGTCTTCTTGGAGGAGCTATCTGCACAAGAGCGGGAGAAAAGGAGAGAGATATAGAAAATATGGAGACAATGTAAGGGGAAAAATTCATGGGGAAAAAAGAATGAATCATGATCAAGTTAAATCGTGCAAACACAAAGTATGAACATAACAGATGACAGCACTTAGAATAGTCACAAACAGCACAGGTAATGACATATTTTAAAGATTTATCGAAGAAAAGACAGTGCAATAAAAATATGTTCAAACAAAACAACACATGAATAGTATACAAAATATATCACCTGATAATTGTAGAGAT
Source organism: Homo sapiens (assembly GCF_000001405.40). Lineage (NCBI taxonomy): Eukaryota > Metazoa > Chordata > Mammalia > Primates > Hominidae > Homo > Homo sapiens. Next base: position 120,409,114 of record NC_000011.10, on the reverse strand, counting down.
GACAAAAGCACTAAAAGCTATAATGATCTCATTATGAAGCATTGTATACATCTTTGCTTAAATCTGTCTTTGGAGATGGGCACAGCACAGATGTAGATACAAAATAAACCTAACAAGATTATATTTTTCTGAACATAGGGCAGAAACTTTTGACCTTATTGGCAAGACAATACCTAATCATGTAAATGAAAGCCTCTGAGCCCCATGACTACAAAATTAGGCATCAGAATGGAAAATTCTCTCTTCATGGAGATCTGTAAGTGACATAATACATAGTCCCACCACCAAAGCCTCCTAAATTGATGATTGGAATTTCATTTTACCTACTACCCAAAATGCAGAAAATGATTATCTATGTGCTTCCTAGATAATATTTATAATATTTTTTCAAAATAAAGGAGTTTATACTAATAAAGTATGAAATGTCTTAGATAAATAAAACATACTATTCTCTATTAAATATTTAAAATTATATTTCTAAGTAAAAATACCTAAAAATAGATACATTATTTTTATGTATCTGAGATAGCGGGATTTACTTCGTCTCTTGTCAAAGGGACAGGCAACTGAATAAAATAGTATGTGCACAAAAAATATATATCAGTTTCAAATGAAAAAAGCAAGATTACCAAGCACTTTCTATGAATCAAATATGGAGTAAGCTTACAAGGAGAAAGCAAAAGGAAAAAGCCTAGATGTTTTAAAAGGAGATCAATCTGAAAGTCTGTTAAGGTGACAACCCTAGGAAAGATCGACACTGCTTAGGTTGAAAGACAGCTCTTTAAGTTCAGAATACTTTTTGACTGAAGAGAAAGGGATTTCTATTCATTTGTTTACTCTAAAATGAGACCATCATTAATTTGTGAAACTGATTTATCTAAAACTCCAATTCACCATAATCACAATTGAATTTTTAGATGACTACGCAAGTGTCGAGTTGTTAGAGCCTTGGTTTTATGACATATTACTGCTTATACCATGATTCAACTTAACACTGAGTTCTTGATCTGACCAAATCTCCAATTATTATATAACCATTTCTATTATTATCACTATTTAAAGATACAATATACTCTACAATGATACTTCTGTAGTGGAATGTACAGTGTTGGAAGTTAAAAATGCTTGCATTCCTACTAAATGCAAAGGCTTTATTATGATATAATTGGAGGAATGTGAGAGTCCTAAAACAGATCAAACAACTATTCCTGAGTGTTTCGGGTAGCTTAAGCTCTATTATTCTGAACTTCACTACTCTCAATACTCTTTGAAAGAATGAATAGTGTTTTACCTGTGGGGTCAAAATCATGTGATGCAATGCGCTCAACTTTCTGCTTCTTATCTGTTGGTGACTCTCGGTTCAAAATACTTCCATGCCTAAATTAAAGCAAAGTAATCAAATGCTTAGTGCAAGAAAATCATTAGAATAAAAAATTTAAAATTCTAAAAGTGGATCTTACAAGAAAAACCAGGAAATCAGTTTACTTTACACAGCACCATAAGCCTCTCTAATTTACATTTTTCAATAAGTTTTGGTTATACACAGTCTATTTACTTGATTATAAAAACTGCTTAAAATAATTAAAAATAGTATTCAGCATTAAAGTCTCTTTTATTCTCAGAAGTAACTGCTTACATTTTTTTTGTGTGGTTTTCACAGGTCAATACTATCATTTCCATTTAACAGACAAAAAAAACACAGTGCCTAAAAGGAATTAAACCCATTCTCCAACTCTACATATACTATGATCAAGTTCAAAATCACTGCATAAATAGAGCATGCATGAGAACGGTTTAACATTTAAAAAGCAGCCTTAGGCAAGCCTCATTTTAAGCCTGCTGATGTAGTTCTAGCCACAGAAGTCTTAGCCAACCACTTTAAGGACCAATGACATTATTATTATTATTACTTCTATGGCTTAGCCAATTACACTGATCAGATAATGGTTGGGTGACAAGACCATAACAATAATACATATGTACACATACACATATTCACTGAAATGCCAAGGTTAGCATTGGATCCTGGACTATGCTGACACTAAAAATGATAAAATATAATAATTAGGAATGACATACTACCTACATTTTAAATAATATTTATGATAAGATAACAGAAGAAATGCTGAAAGCAAAAATACTGAGGAAGAGGCATTTAAGACCTGGAAATGAATAAATATATAGACATGGATATAGGCATAGATACATTTTAACATTTTGGATTTTTTTCTTCACTGTCTTAAAGTAATTAAGACTAGGCTGGGTGCAGTGGCTTACGCCTGTAATCCCAGCACTTTCGGAGCCTGAGGCGGGCGAATCACGAGGTCAGGAGATCCAGACCATCCTGGCTAACACAGTGAAACTCCGTCTCTACTAAAAATACAAAAAATTAGCCAGGCGTGGTGGCGGGCGCCTGTAGTCCCAGCTACTCGGGAGGCTGAGGCAGGAGAATGGTGTGAACCCGGGAGGCGGTGCTTGCAGTGAGCTGAGATCGCGCCACTGCACTCCAGGCTGGGCAACAGAGTGAGATCCCATCTCAAAAAATAAAATAAAATAAAATAAAAAATAAAGTAATTAAGACTAAACTAGTACCAAAGTACATTAACTAAAGGCAATTATAGTCACACAAGTGATAAAACACATCAAAAACTAGCATTCTATTTTCACCTCCTAAGCTACTCATAATTCAAAACAGTCACAAATAGACTTCAAAATTAAGTCTCTTCAGTGTGACCTTAAATATCCTTTTGAACAAAATTTTTAAATGCTTATATTAGAAGTATTATCAAAACAATGCTGTCTTCCAGAAAAAGTAACATCTTTTACATTTTAAATTTGTAAAACATTTTGAAATTTTGAATTACTTGAATACACATTCTCAAAAACCACAAAAATCCACCATAATTTCAAAGGGATGCTTATAATTAAAATATAACCTAAACTTGAGTATGAAGTGTAATTGAGCAAACTTACCTTATAGGTTTTTTGAGGGGAAACCTGAAACAAAGAAAAAATAAGGATAGATGTAGTTACTTTACTTGTAAGATTTTGTTACTAAATTTATTCATCCTACTGAACCAGAATAAGAGATTTAAATCTTATGGTAACTTTCCAATAGCAAGAATCAATAAGCTGGAGGAATAAGAAGTTGAACACCATGTTTAAGTATCTTAACTACTTTGTTAAATCTTAAACTGCCAGTGCATTTACCATCAGCTGTCCTAGAATATAGCTTTTCTTTTTAAAAATCCCAATAATAAGAGCAATTGCTAAATTTATAAAGGGCTTACCAAATGCTATGCATTATTTCCACATGTATTATCTCGTTTAATCTTGAAAAAAAGAAATCTCTATGAAGAGATATACTTTCCATTTTATAGATTTTTAAAAATCAAGACAAAAAGAAATATTTTGCCATTAAAATATTATTCTCACTGTTTTCCTAGAAGGGAAAGTTCCTTCCTTCCCATCACTTCACACTACTTCCCAAAATATCTGGGTGTTGATTACTGCACTATTGATCTATGTCATCGTGATCCTCAATTATTAGGTTTAGATTTAATAACAGATTATCTAGAAAAAAATTAACATTAAAGTAATTATCGGTTACAAAAAATACCTTCCAAAAGTAGAAAACAAAGGGCACTTTCCTGTTTTGTTTTTCTGGGGGGGTCCTATAAGCTGAAAGAACTACAGCATTTCCTCCTGGTTCTCTCTCTTTTAAATGAATACTGCCGGAAGCTTCTTGATAAGCGTTTGATGCTATATATAAATGCTAATCTAAGTCTTCTCAAATATCATCCTACATTTTGATTTCTGTCTTTTAAATTATTTCAACCTATGGCATTTTATGTAAAGATTATTTAGTAATAGGAACCGTACTTTATTAAGAACATCAGTAAAACTAGGGTTTTAAAAAAGCCTATTAGTAAAGACAGAAATAAACATAATACAATGATACTTCAATGACTACATTTCATTTGGCATGGAGGTAGAAACAAAACCTCCAAAATACAAGCTGACTTACAATTCCCTTCGACACCTATTTAAACCAAAATTGATCCATAGAAAAAGACTAAGAATCTAAAACCTTTCCTAATCAGTGATAGCATGTTAACTTACAAAGAAGTAGTGGTAGTAAGTAAAGGGGGTTCTGGGACAAGATGACACTGCTCTAGAGAACAAACTGACTTTACAAAAGACCACGAAATCTTCAGAAATAGGAGTTCCTAAGCAGTCTGTCCATAACTGTTGAGGTAGGAGAGGGAGGGAATGGGAACATGTTTCTTAATTTACAGATGAACATACAAGTTGACAGAAAGGATTCCAACTGAGTTTCTGCAAAGGATAACAACTGCCATTTATCAACCTTAGGCACTCGACCTCACAGCCATTATAAAAACTCCTACCCTAAAACAATGCTGCTTGCGTCAGGGACTGCAACATCCAGGGGGATGCTGGTAAAGAATCCCGGAAGTTCCCAGACTACTGATTGTAAACCCGTTTCCTGAGCTATTTTCTCTTACAAGGTAATGAAAAAGGAGAGGAAAAATGGGGACAAAAACGGAATGAGAAAATGAACAAGGACCACGCCCACAGTCCAACTTGCTTATCATAATCTACTTACTACTTCAAGTATAGATTAAGAACGTCTCAAATAATATTAAAATCATAATTTTTTCTCTAATCATTGAATTCTACTTTAAAGTATCTGCTAAAGCAAATAAATATATGTGTACATATGTGTGTATATATATGCTTATATGCATAAGTAACAATGTCAAGAACCTTCTTGGCTATTTCATTAGTTCTCTCTGCTTCAGCTAGGAAAGTCACCAAGATAATCCCATAGTTTTGCAAAATCCCTACCACATGCTGAATATTGAGACAGATGTAATCAGAGAGCTGGAAATAGAAAGCTAGAACCTCAAAGAAAGCCTGGGGCTAAAGTTGCAGATTTGAGTTATCAACCTACTGATGGTCACTGAAATGTAAAACACCAAGGAAACTTGAAAAAATGCTCAGGCTCAAATATGGGGGAGAAACTAGCATCTGCATGATTGAGAATGGAGGTAGGAGATTAAGAAAATGAATTAGAAAAGAGAAAAGCCTGTCCCAGAAGGGAAGGAAGATCAGATAATCCATACTATCAACTGCTACAGAAAGGCAGGTCTGAAAGCTACAAAGTGGCCAGGTCATAAGCAACAAATCAGTTCAACCATTAGTCTGATGAAATACATTCTGGTGAACAAAACTCCTATATTTTTAAGTCCCTGTCCACTGTGTAGTCTAATCATGAAATCATGACAATATCTTTTGGATCGATATTATGTAGAACAGCTGTATGTGACTATGACATAATGTTACAGGTGCCTAATGAAACTGTGCCTGGTTTTTGAAAATATCATATTGATAACTTGGACACTTGGTCAACAATGAATATACTGTGTTTACTTATATGTGTGTGTGTGTATTTTTCTATTAACAGATAGCAAAAAAGTCAAATTCCAAAATGAAGAACGATGATTAATAAAGCAAAGAATTATCAGGAATTTGAATCACTGGGATATGGTGGCTAGATGCCTTTTTTTTTTTTCCTTTTCTTTTTTCGATTAAGTCTCGCTTTGTCACCCAGGCTGGAGTGCAGTGGTGAAATCTCAGCTCACTGTAACCTCCACCTCCCGGGTTCAAACACTTCTCCTGCCTCAGCCTCCCGAGTAGCTGGGGTTACAGCTGCGTGCCACCATGCCCAGCTAATTTTTGTATTTTTAGTAGAGACGGGGTTTCGCCATGTTGGCCAGGCTGATCTTGAACTCCCGACCTCAAGTGATCAGCCTGCCTTGGCCTCCCAAAGTGCTGGGATTACAGGTGTGAGCCGCCGCGCCTGGCCTGCCTTTACTTTTGATTTTGTATATTAAGCACAGCTACATTTTAGAAATCTTAACCAAAGGCCTTAAACGTTCAGAATACATTTATTCACTCAACTCAGAATACCTTTTCCTTGTTAAATTCTGAGTTCTAATTTTAAAGCCCTAGGTGGCCCTTCCCGATGTGTTATTACAGTGTAGAGGGAAATGTGATTTGGTAGTTAAATAACACTTACCCAATAAATAATGTATACTAGAGTAAGACTTACATTTTAACCAAGTTTAATTATTCTAATAAGCATACACAAACACACAATTTTGTAACTGGAATAGTCCTTTAATATTGTTAAACAGAATTTCTTTTGGACTTAAAAAATTGCAAAGGACCAGAAAGTTTTGTGTCGTCACATATTTGCTTATAATAAATAGCCTGCTAGAAATTGTTTTTTTCTTTTATTGATTTCAGTGCATAAAGAGCCTTTTGACAATACTTCAGTGAGAAGTGTTCTGAAGCCATATGAGAAGAAATGCTGATATCACACTCAAACCTTAATTCATACCCTTTTCTCTCTCCTCTAGGGTGTTAGATATGTCTTCCCTGGGCTTAGTTATAAAGGAGCATTTGAGACTGTAGTTGGTTCTTCTTAATAAGGAATGGTTGAAATGAAGGGGAGATGGTTAAACAAATTTTTCTTACATTGGATAGTGGTTAAGATTTTATTAGCAGTCAAAGAATGTTACCTATTAAATTTAGAATTATCAAGAATTCCATTAGTAGATACACTCTGATTTTAGTGATGTTAAAATGAGGAGGAAAAAACACTGCAACTTGATTTTGAGTGAAATACAGCACCATTTTATTGGAACCCACTCCAGTGAGAAGAGTTACTAGACAAAGAATTGCAAATCAGACAACAATGCAGGTAATTTTAAGGCTCAACCATCGTAAGACGATGTAAATATCAGTGCAGAAACTATACTATTGAAAATCAGAAATGGACAGGGTGGGATGGGAATAGTATTATTGATTGCTATAAATGAAAATTCCCTAAAATTTCAAGGCCTTGGGGGCAAAAGACTCCTCAGAAACAAATGTAACTGGGTTAATATTCTAGTTTCATAATTTAACAGGTATTTGAACTTGAACAAGTTGCTTAACCTCTTTAAGCATCTCCTCTAAAACATAATTACTAATACATCTACCTATACCTCACAAATTTGTTTTGGGGATTAAATTAGAAAATAAGAAGCATTGCCTAGCAAGCAGTAACCACTTATGTATTTACTATTAAGAAAAACAAAAATAAAATCTGAATGTTGGTGATATGTATTCAAATAAGCAGAAAAGAAAAAATAAATTTAAAGACTAAATATTCAAATAAGTTTTTAGCTAAGTAAAATGCATAGAAATATATAATTCAAAGCCAGTGATGAAACCACAGATTTAATTTACCAAGTGGTATCATAGAAAATTCATGTCAATACTTGAACTTCTCAGACGTTACACTGTAAGAAAAAAGATCAGGTTACAATCTGCACTTTAAATTTTCCTGGCAAGCAGGGAAAGTGATTTTTTTCAAATGTAGTGAAATTGTGTTGACCATACCTGCCACTTACTAGCAAAAAAGTCCATTATTTCCTCATCTCCTTTAAAATATCAAAGGTGATTAAGGCATCCTGTGGGCTGGATTTAAATCAAGTTTTTAATTTATCTGTTTCTACAAAACAATTAGAATGGCTTAAAACATGGTACTTAAAATTTGAAACTGATATGAATCTAAACTGCCTTGCTCTATTATTATTATTTTTCACAAAATAACAAAACAGCTAAGAGGACATTTGTCTGCAATACATAAGAGCTCTTAAGTATAGGGATTTAGCACATAGTGCTGACTCCAGCTGAACTGCTAATTCAATCTTTAGTTCTCTGGACAGTAAGATTCACAGAACCAAAAGTATTAAGTGACCACTCGCTTACCTCGCAACTACAACAAAATAAACAGTCATAAATCTTTTCACCAGTTACAATTTATAATTGGTCTAGCTTAGAGCCATTAGAAGAACTAAAAATTGTGGAATCGGGAGAAAAAAAAGTCTGAACGTTATCTACAATAGCCATACTGCCATACTTTTTTATTAGCATATAGAACCAAAGCATGAAAAGCGGCTAGGAGAGCTGGCATTAAAACACTAGTTATATCCGAAGGACTATAAAACAGAAGCTACAGCTGACGGAATGACTCATGGAGAATTTCCCATGGTGTTCTTTGTTTTAAGCCTCTGGACCTTGCAACACAAACCACAGACAGGCAGGGACCAAAGAGCTCAGTTCTGGTGCAAAATCCAAAAATGATTCACTAGCATGTAATATAAAATCTCAAATTACCTTCTTAAATATAGCTTAGTACACCACCACTTTTACTGAAGAGCTTACATGCACAACAGCCCCTTGGTTAGGCTCTCTTACTTCCTGGACACACTTTGACAAATCAAATAGTAAACTTTTTTCTAAATTACTTTCATTCCCTCTGCTGGAGCTATTATAGATTGACTATTAGTTGTTGCTGACTGAGAAATGCAGCTCACAATTAATGTGACAGCTTATTAGAGACTTTCATTTCCTCATTGACAATCTGGAAAATTATCACTTTTGTGAATATTCCTTAAAAGGTTTCTCCACCACTTTCATTTGTGATCATGAGTATCTGATTACTAGTACCTTATACTTTTTTTTAAAGACTATATTCACTTCAGAAAACCAAGTAAAAAGAACTGCTAGGAAAGTATGAGATCCTCAAAATACTTAAACAAGTATCCTCACCTCAGTGAACACCATGCAAACCACCAAATTCATGCTTATGGAAGAGATATTAATATCATTTAACAAATGTAAATAAACTGGACTCTACAAAATGATCTCATTACTTATAAAACAGGGGCAATGCATGATTCTGTTTGCTAGGAATTTAAATCTTCATCTCATTTCACATTTCTCTACTTCAGAATATACTGGTAAAAATAATAAAAATAAGAGTAGAAAAAAATCCCCTTAATCAAGGATGGGCATTTTTCACATAAATATTGTATATAAAATATATTATGATTAAATGTTTAACAATCTATAAACTGAAGTGAGAACAGGTGAACAAAATTTGTTAGGACAGGCTGCTTTCTACACATTTGCCAAAAGATACAAATGTACTTCTGAAAAAGTAGAAAGTCTTAGCTTTTAAGTGTCGTTGAGACAGGCTCCAACATACAGTGTTTACTTTTCAGTCTGAGCTTGAGAACTTTATTTAAATGCAAAATTAAAATAAAAAATACTGTCTAATAATATTTTACTTTTTTGAATAAACATAGAGCATTCTATGATTTAAAAAAAGAGTACTACTCAAAATTTAAATTCTGACATTACCACTTTAAATCACAGTACATTTGCAGTTTGGTTGCATTTTTTATTGAAAAAACCTAAGGCATTCATAAAAATATCATTCTGCAGCAAGAAAAAGTGATTCGACAAGTTAATTATAATGACTTATCTTATGTATCAAATATGTCTTACTGTGTGCCAAAAAAATCACAGGAATAGGAATCTTTTATTTCTGAAATCTCAGGAGAAGGGAAAACAACCAAAACTATACTAACCCCAAATCACAGAGTATTTATTCATGATCCTACCTTCAGGTGTTACAGTTGGTATGCATTCATTGGTTGAGTACAAAGAAGCCCAACCACAGTCATACATATGCCAGACAGCTAAACAGACAAGGATTTGCCAAAAAATCATCAAGGAAACCCAGAAAATCAGAAAAGTATAAACTTCGTTCTCATGTGCTCTAAAAATGTGTACCATCTCCTCGAATTAACTAGACATAGATCTATTTATCTTTCTTTTCTTTTTTTTTTTTTTTTTTTTTTTTTTTTTTGGAGACAATGTCTCACTCTCTCACTCAGGCTGGAGTGCAGTGGCACAATCATAGGTCACTGTAACCTCGAACTCCTGGGCTCAAGGGAATCCTCCTACCTTAGCCTCCTAAGTAGGTAGGACCACAGGAGCATGCCACCACACCCAGCTAAATTTTTTAAGAATTTTTTTGTAGAGACCAGGTCTTGCTGTGTTGCCCAGGTTGGTCTCAAACTCCTGGCCTCAAGCAATCCTCAAGCCTCAGCCTCCCAAAGCACTGGGATTACAGGCATGAGACACTGTGCCTGACTATATAGGTCTATTTCTTATGGAGAAATAAAAACCTTACATATTAATACTTTCCAAGTAGAACTCTAATGGAATAAAGATTGAACATATTTCCTGTTCTGTACTCAGAATTTTTTTAATTATATAAGAAATGTATTATGGGTAATTTGTAAAATTTAGAGGTTATACGAATATAAAATACAGGTAAAGATAAAACAAAAAACGGATCATAACCAATATCATTACAATTAAATCTTCTATATAACACCTTCTGCATTAATAGAAAGCATTTTCTTCTGCGGAAATTCTTTTTCATTAAAAATACTTTTATTGGCTATAGTTATAACAAATGCTGTAATTAAATTTTTGGTTTTGTACTAAAGAGACTTCTTTTCACAAGTGCTCTGGTTCTGGTGTCAAACATTACGAATTCCTCAATCAGAATTAGCAATCCACCTAGTTTATCACACACACACAAAAAAAACACACTTTCTGCTGCCAAATCTGAATACCCCAGACTTTCAAACCACCATCGATAAAAGGACCTCTGATTTTATGAGGAAAAGATGAGGAAATTAATTATATGCATGCCATTTTACACTGGCTTCTACAAAAGCTTTTCTTGACCCAAAACAAAGAAATCACAAGTGGGATATACCCTTATCAGTAACAATGGCTCACCACAGCACTGAATTTGAAAGGTTGGAGGATGAGTGTTTTAGGAATTCTGACATTCCTCTTACAACATCTCAGAATTGGGAATCACTGCTCTACAAAGTTCACTGTGTAACACTGACATTCAGTTATGTTTTCTCCGTTAGCTGTTACAAATGTGGCTTATCCTAATATACTTAACACACAAGACCACTGACACTAGTAAATCTGTTACTAATATTTTTTATAACATTTTCAAGATAATTCCTCTCTCAAGGGATTGAGTAATGAGACTGCCGTTTTTCCAAACTGTAGTTTCCTATAAAGCAATGGTTCTCTCTGCCTTTTCAATATGAAGAAATGTCTCACTTTCTTTATGTCCAAAGAAGTACACGTATAAACTTTTAAAAACTAAAGACAAAATAGTAAACAAAAATCACCCATAATCCCAACACCCAGCATTGTTATGCATATATTCCCATTCTTTCCCAAAATAGAGATAGATTTCTGTATACAATGTTTAAAATTTATTTTCATAAAAATTAAAGCATACTGGACATATTGACAACTTTAACTTCATAAAATATCAACATATGTTTACATATTAAATATTTCACTACAGTGCTGGTTTTAAACTGTGCTCTATAAAATTCTAGAGGTTTAAAAGAGGTCCCTCACAGAGCGGGAGTGTGTAGATGGGGCTCTAGACTTCCCACATATCAGAGCTGCTTTGTTTTTTATTCATTCTATATATTGAACTTCCAAATCAGATAAAGATTTAAAAAACATAGTTCTAAATAATTCTTGATAACTGCAAAGTATCCTGTGATATGGCTATTTAATTAAGAAGTTCCCTTTTGTAAATATTTAGGCTGGGTCTAATTTTTCAGCATAATAAAGAATGTTATAACAAATATCCTTGTAACCCAAGTTCTATACTCCCCCTTGATTTCTTCCTTGGGATGAATTCATTTATAGTAAGGAATCCAGGTGGGAGTTTGGACTAGAAATGACAGGAGTTTCTGTGGGTACTAGGTAAACAGAAAAGAGAGGACACACTCGTCCCCGAGATCAATTCCATGAACTCATGTCAAATCTTTATGGAAACAGCAGCAGAAGCTGAAGAAGCTTGTTTTGGCAACAGACCTTGTAAGACAAAGGGCCAGGGTAAAATTATTTTAATGCCCAAGTGACAAAGTGTGGCACGAAATCGGTGAGAGAGACTCTCTCCCTATTTGTGTTGAAAGTAGAAAACAAACACACAAACAAAACCCAGGGATACACATAATAGCAATTATTATACTATCCACAAACTGAATAAATGCCCAAAGCTACAATTCATAATATTTTTAGGAGAATTTGTATTTTGTTAATGACAACACCAACACATTGGAAGACTAAATGTAAATGTGGAAGATGCATTTCTTAGGTAGTATGTGAAAAGCACTAAACTCATATAGAGATTCTCAGTTTCTCTGTATTAAACATGAAAGCAGTCCTAATTGGGAACCATTATATTTGTTGCAGGTTGAATTGTGTTATCTCCAAAGACATGCTGAAGTCTTAACTTCCATACCTGTGGGACTTTATTTGGAAATTAGGTCACTGCCCATGTTTATGGTATCATACCTAAGAAATCTTTGCCTAACCCCAAATCACAAAGATTTACCCCTACATTTTCTTCTAAGAGCTGAGTGACTTTCTATTTTACTTTTAGGTCTACAATATATTTTGTAATAATTTTTATATAGAGTGTGATATCCAATTGAAATCCAATTGTTCCAGCACCGTTTGTTGAAACTGAATTGCCTTTTGCACTTTTGAAAATCAGTTTTCCATATATACGTGGGTCTATTTTTGGAATACCACAGGGGTGAAGTACCCTTTTCATCACCCATCAGAGGATATATGACACCAATATGACTTAACACTAGTAATGTTAACTTTGGTCATTTGGTTAAGGGAGTGGTTGCTCGACGTCTCCCTGTAAAGTTATTATTTTTCCCTTGCCATATTTTTTTCTTTGAAGAAGTCACTAAGCCCAATCCACACTAGCATCTGAGAGGATTAAGCTCCATCTCCTGGGAATAGGAATCTACGTATACTATTTGAAATTTTCCTGTAAGGAAGATTTGTGTTTTCTCACCCATGTATTTATGTAATCATTTTTATCAGTATGGGCTCATGTATGTTTATTTTAGACTTTGAGTTCTAATCCAATACTACGTTATTTATTCTCTTGCTCAAATTCTTCCCGTTTATGCCACTGACATGCTCTCACCCTTCTGTTTGGGCACTTTCTTGTTTGTGGCACTATAAGGCACTCTAGGTTCAACTTGCATTTTCCCTATTGCAGCCTTAGAGTCAACCATTTCTCCAAGGAGCTATTTTATTGGAGAGTGATATTTAGTAACCAAGATCCAGGAGCTGGGTGCGCTCACTGCTACTGAGATGTCACCATTTCTAGGCCCTCTCAGCAGAGAGAGCAGGGAAATGAATGTGTTATACTAACTGGGGTATACATACACATGATATGGTTTGGCTGTGTCCCCACCCAAATCTCATCTTGAATTGTAGCTCCCATAATTCCCATGTGTGGGAGGGACCTGGTGGGAGGTAATTGAATCATGAAGGGGGGGGGTCTTTTCCCATGCTGTTCTTGGGATATTGAATAAGTCTCACCAGATCTGATGGTTATATAAAGGGGAGTTCCCCTGCACGAGCTCTCCTTGCCTGCTACCATGTAAGACATGACTTTGCTCCTCACTTGCCTTCTGCCATGATTGTGAGGCCTCCCAAGCCATGTGGAACTGTGAGTCAATTAAACCTCTTTCCTTTATAAATTACCCAGTCTCGGATATGTCTTCATTAGCAGTGTGAGAAGAGACTAATACAACATATCTATAATTCTTTCTGTAGCTATCCATATATCTGTATCTATATTAAGCTCAGCATGAGTTCATACTGATATCTCTAATTCTAATCTAATTCCATCAGGTTCATTCCAGTCTTCTCTCTTGCTTAGCTCCTTTGAGACAGTGAGAAACATAGTTACCACCATTTACCATCCATTTACTTACATTGCCTGATTTTTGTAAGGTGAACCAATCTTGCACTCCTGGGATAAACCCTACCCGGTCATTACACACACATACATACACACAGAGTGCATATATATTTTATGTATTTTCCTGTTTTATGTATATGTAATATATATTTACATATTGTATATATATTGTTGGAATTTATAAAATTACCAACCACATTCCATCTAAATTGTTAAATTTATTGCCATAAAGCTATTCATAATGCTCCCTTATCTTTTTTTTTTTTTTTTTTTTTTTTGAGATAGAGTCTTGCTCTGTTGGGCAGGATGGTGTGTAGTGGCACCATCTCAGCTCATTGCAACCTCTACCTCCTGGGCTCAAGCGATTCTCATCCCTCAGCCTCCCAGGTAGCTGGGATTACAGGTTCGCGCCACAATGCCGGCTGATGTTTGTATTTTTAGTAAAGATGGGGTCTCACCATGTTGGCCAGGCTGGTCTTGAACTCCTTGCCTCAAGTGATCTGCCCACCTCGGCTTCCCAAAGTGCTGGGATTACAGGCGTGAGCCACAGCACCCAGCCTCCCCTATTTTTTTTTAATATCTGAAGAATCTGTAATGATGTCACCTCTTTCATTTATGATATTAGTAATGTGTGTCTTCTCTCTTTTCATCCTGATCAGCTGGCTAGAGGTTTAATAATTTTATTAATTTTCTCAAAAGAACCAGATTTGGGGTTAATGTTCGCTACTGTTTTCCTGTTTTCTGCTTCAGTGATTCCTGCTTTCATCTCTATTTTTTTTTTCTTCTGCTTGCTTTGGTTTTAATTTGCTCTTCTTTTTCTAGTTGCTTAAAATGAAATTGGTCAGGTACGGTGGCTCACACCTGAAATCCCAGTACTTTGGGAGGCCGAGGCAGGAGGATTGCTTGAACCCAGGAGTTTGAGACCAGTCTGGGCAACACAGTGAGACCCCATCTCTACTAAAAAAAATTAGTGGGGCACACCTGTAGTCCCAGCTACTTGGGAGGATAAGGTGGGGACAGCCTGAGCCCAGGAGGTTGAGGCTGTAGTGATCAAACCACTGCCCTTGAGCCTGGGCAACAGAGTAAGACCCTGTCTTAAAAAAAAAAAAGAAGCTGATGTCATTGATTTTAGACCTTCTCTCTTTTCTAATAGGTGTTTAATGCTATAAGTTTTTATGTAATGCTTTAATGGCAACCAACAAATTCTGATATGTTGTGTTTTCATTTTCATCCAATACAAAATACTTTGCCATTTCCTTTTTTATTTCCACTTTGACTAAGAATTGTGTTATTTTCCAATATTTGGAAACTTTCCAGAGATCTTTTATTGATTTCTAATTTCAGTCCATGGTGACCAGGAAACATACTTTGTATGACTTGAATCCTTTTAATTTATTGAAATTTACTTCACAGCCCAGAATTGTGTCTGTCATGGTAAATGTCCCATGTCTGCTTGCAAACATGAAAAAAAAAAAAAGTATTTGGTTGTTGGCTGGAATGTTCCAAAAATGTAATTAAATCAAACTGGCCAACAGTATTGTTTAAGTACTCTATATCCTTGCTTACTTTATCTACTTTGATCAATTACTGAAAAACGGATACTGAAATAACTGACAATGTTTGTAGATTTGTCTATTTGTCCTTTCAGTTATGTCAGCTTTTGTTACATGAATTTTGATGTTTTGTCATTAGGTGTATACATGCCTAGATATGTCTTCTTTTTAAATTGACCCTTTTATCAGTACGAAATTACTTTTTTTATCCCTGTTGATATTCTATAATCTTAAATCTACTTTATCTGATATTAATGTGGTCTAGTTTTCCTTTAATGTAGATTAGCAGGGCACATCTTCTTCCATCCTTTTACTTTTAAACAATGTGTATTTTTAATTTTAAGGTGTGTTTCTTGTAGCATACAGTTGGGCTTTGCTGTTTCATCTAATCTGATAGTCTATACATTTAATTGGGGTGTTTGGACCATTTACCTTTAGTGTGATTACTAATGTATTTAAGTCTATCATCTTGCTATTTGTCTCATCTGTTGTTTCCCTTTTCTCTTTTTCATCTTTTAAATTATTTTAATCAACTGATTTTTAAAACAATTTTAATATTCCGTTAATTTGGCTCTCTCACTAGATTTTAAATTATTTGAAGGCAAGGACCACATTCTATTTGATTTTGTATTCTACTTAACTATTATGGTGCTGAGCATACGCCTGACAATTCAATACATTTTTACTACATGAATTCACTCATTCCATACATTTTTATTGAGAACTACAGAGGATATAAGTTACCCCAGAAACCACAGCCTTCCTTTTAAGAGAACTCCGATTTTATTCAGTTATCTACTATTCCTCTCAGAGTCCAGATGACTCAGGTCAAGCCAACCCCATCTGTAGCAACAGTGATGGGCCTTTTTGGCCTAACAGTAATTCCATTCTTGGGTAAGCAATTGGTTCCAAAAAAGCCAATAAAAGTAGAAACAAAGTTCACTGGTGGCATCTATGAAAGTATTTCCTTATTCTTGAGAGAATGATGTGAAACTTCTTTCTCTCCCTCCCACTGAACCTGAGTGAAGAAGCAAGCAGCCTTAACAGCTACTTCGCATTCATCTTTAAGGACTAGTTTAGGATGAGGATGATTTTGATGGCAAGAGTGTAAAGATGGAAAGCATCTGAGCCCTTGACATAGTTACGTCCCTAAATCAAAAATCTCTGAAGCCTACGTCTAGATTTCTTTTTTATGTGAGCCAGTAAATGCGTTACTGCTTAAGTCAGTTTGACTTGTGTTTTCCGTTACAGGCAGCCAAGTACATACAAAGTTACACAAACACCAACCTATGCCAGGAGGTTCAAGACACTGGAGGTTACGTTAATGAACAGATAAGGTCCTTGCTCTCAAGCAGCTTACATTCCACAGGAGGAAGATAAACTCCACAAAAAAATAATTGTACCAAAGAATTTCAAATCGTGGTAAGTGCTATTAAAAAAAGATATTATTTGACTAAATACATTAATTTAGTTTATTCAAAAAAGACCTTAGAGGCATTTAAGCTGAGACTTAAATGAAGGAGCCAGCCATGGGAAGATGTGGGCCACAGAATTACAGGTAAAGGAAACAGCTAGTACAAGAGTCACAAAGGATAAGCAGATTAATGTATTTGAGAAATACAAAGTCCGCTGTGGCTTAAGCATAGAAAATGACCAAGAGAGTAGTAAAGTAGTGCTGAAATGAGATCCACAGAAGTAGACAGGGGCCAGCTAATGTAAGAATGTGAGCCACAGAAACAGGCTTAGAGTTTATTCATAATATAATGGAAAACCACTGGAGAGTTTTACATCATGATCTAATTTGAACACTAAGGAAGTTAAGTACAGTCTGTTTACAGTTTATTTTGTCTCAAACATCAAATACTTATGCAGCATCTAATATGTGGAAAACACTGCATAAAGTTTATAATATTGATATATTATTTCTCTCCCTCACTCCTCAAGCAAGAATTTCACATTATCTTGAAGGTAGATTTTTAGAAAAAAGAGAAAAATAAGAAGAAACTAGCAAAGAATGGGAGGCGCTATTAAGTTGTCCTTTCTATCCTAATTTCTCTAGATTATGTCTGAAACTTACAGTTTTTGTTTTGTTTTTTAAAGCATAACAATACTGAGAGGCAATCTGGTAAACTTAGAACTATAGTTCAGCCATTAGTCTCTGCCCAGGCAAGTGTTTCAGCCTTGTTCTAACACAAGTATTTGGATTTTTCCAAGAGCTGATGTCAGGGCTTTTCACAGAGACAGAACAGCATTTATAGGCTAGAGAAGGAAAAAGGGTTTCCCCAGCAGCTATGCTCAATGTGGCCTTTGTACTGCTCTACTGCCAAAGGCAGGAAGACCCTGCTAGATAGAGCTATTTAATTCCTGGAAAAAATTCTACCCTGGGAGGGTGGAGGATGGTGATTGGCCAGATTCCCCATTAAGGAAACAGCTTAATTTTCTATCAAATTAAACCCAAATTTAAATAAGCTCATCATCAGAACAAAGGTTTCTTAATTCTTATTAGAAAAAAATCATTCTGTGGAACTTGTATATAAGGAAGAGATGAACCAGCTAGAATAAACATACATTATAGAGGTAAGGAACAATACAGTAAATTGTGTCACATTTCCTGGGGTTAGCTTCCCTGAAAAATATTCATTTGGGAAGAATGGTTAGGTGAAAAACACTCAAAAGCCTCAAACTACATTTGGTAGTCAGAAATTGTGCTAGGTGATAGCTTCAAACACATCATCCATTATCTATAAGAACAATAATTAACAATTAAAATGGTTACAATAATAGCTAAAACTTGAGTAGCTTTACTTGCATACTTACAGTATCTGCTTTAAGTACTTTTTATGCATTAATTCATTTAATTTTAACAATAATTCTATAAGTAAAATGTTTAGCCTTGTTTTATTGAAGAGAAATGTGAGGTTCTGAGAAGTTAAGTAACATATACAAGTTATATAACTAGTAGAAGAGGGAGCTTAGATTCAAAACCTCACAGTCTAACTAGAACCCTTGCTTTCAACCCCTGGACTACCACCTTACAAGAGAAACCATTATCATCTTCCCTTTGTACAGTTTTTTATTAATAGTTAACCAAAAGCTTTCACAAGTGAGACTCAGAAAACTAGATCTAGTATAATGACAAGATACTTAGGTAGAAAGGTATTCATATCCCGTTACATAGTTTTAGGAAAAGATAAGCCAATAGAAAGAACTCCCAATCCTACACAATCTGTATCTCCTAATCCCAGAGCTCAGTGGATAATTCAGTTAATATCTATGTGCCATATGGGCAACTTGCCAGCTATATATTTAAAGAGAAACATGTCTCCACCTGAATGGCAACATTCCTGCAAACCACTCATTCCTTCAATAAATATGTGTTCAATTCCAGGTAAAGATGGGAGAGAGCAAAAGCAAATCTATTCCATTAGCATTCCTCAATATTAAAAGCAAAAATAGAAGGCAGGAGGAGCATGAAGGAAATGATTATGATCTCAAACCATTAACTAAAAAACATACTTGCCAAATCTGTTAAATTCTGGAGTGATACCAAGGAAGTCTGGTAGGCTTTGACCAGGAAACGGATTTCCCTAAACATAAAGATCACAGACCTGAAATGCAGACCCAACTATCCTTTGATTGGAAAGGCACTACCCAGGTGTGCGAATAAAACAAAGGAGTAGGGGACACTGTAGAGACCCGGAACAGCAGGAGGAGAAAAAAATAAAGAAAAAATAATATGACACATCCTTAGATTTAGGACACTCCTGGATATCGAAGGGTTATCTGCACTCCCATGTTTTTTGCAGCATTATTCACAATAGCCAAGATTTGGAAGCAACCTAAGTATCTATCAACAAACAAATGGATAAAGAAAATGTGGTACATATACACAATGGAGTACTATTTAGCCATAAAAAAGAATGAGTTCCTGTCATTTGCAACAAGATGGATGGAAATGGACGTCATTATGGTAAGTGAAATAAGCCAGCAACAGAAAGACAAACTTCACATGTTCTCACTCATTTGTGGAAGCTAAAAATTAAAACAACTGAACTCATGGAGACAGAAAGTAGAAGGATGATTATCAGAGGCTGGGAAGGGTAGTGGAGGGTGATTATAGTAAAAAATAGTTTAACTGTACATTAAAAATAACTAAAAGAGTACAACTGGATTGTTTGTAACACAAAAGATAAATGCTTGAGATGAAAGATACCCCATCCACCCTGATGTGATTATTACACATTGCATGCCTATATCAAAATATCTGATGTAATCCATAAATACATACACTTACTAGGTACCCACAAAAATTAAAAATAAAAGACTACCTGAAAATGTATCACAGACCTAAAAGTAAAACCCAAAACTATAAAACTAGAAGCAAAGAGGTGTGACCTTGGGTTAGGCAAATATTTCTTAGATATAGCAAAAGCACAATCTACGAAAGAAAAAATGATAAATTAGAATTCAAACTTTAAAACTTTTGCTCAAGGAAATGTGAATTATATCTCAATAAAAGTATTAAAGAGAGAAAGAGGATGCTAAAAAATGAAAATACAAGCCACAGGCTGGGAGAAAGTATTTCTAAATCATATACCTAAAAGGACTTATGGCCGGGCATGGTGGCTCATGCCTGTAATCCTAGCACCTTGGGAGGCTGAGGCAGGCAGATTACTTGAGGTCAGGAGTTCGAAACCAGCCTGGCTAACATGATGAAACTCCATCTCTACTAAAACTAAAACTAGAAATAAATTAGCCAGGCATGGTGGTGGCCACCTGTAATCCCAGCTACTTGGGAGGCTGAGGCAGGAGAATCGCTTGAACTCAGGAGGAGGAGGCTGTAGTGAGCCAAGATTGCACCATTGAACTCCAGCCTGGGAAACAAGAGCAAAACTCTGTCGCAAAATAAAATAAAATAAAAAAAAAATAAAAGCACTTATATCCCAAACATATAAGGAACTCTTACAACCCAATAATTAAAAGCTCAATTAAAAACAAGATTTGAACAGACAATCCACAAAAGAAGTATGGATGATAAAACAGGCACATGAAAATATGTTAAACATTTTTAGTCATCAGATGAAATGCAAATAAAAACTACAATATGATACCATCACACACACAGTAAAATGGCTAAAATTAAAAAGACTGACAAAACCAACTATTAATGAAGTTGTGCAGCAACTGGAATGTTGCTAATGGGAATGTAACACAATACAGTCACCTGGAAAAACAGTCTGGCAATTTCTTAAAGAGTTAAAATATATACCTACCATATAATCCAGCCATTCCACTCCTGGGTGTTTACCTAAGAGATGAAAGCTTATGTACACACAAAAACTTGTACATGAATGTCCAAAGCAAACTTATTCCTAATAGTCTAAAACTTGAAACAACCCAAATGCCCATCAACAGCTGAATGGATAAACTGTGGTATATCCACACAATGGGATATCATTCAGCAATAAAAAGAAATGAACTACTGATACACAGGAATACAGACAAATCTCAAAATAATTATGCAGAGTAAAAGAGACCACATAAGAAAAGCACAAACTATGTGAGTTCACTTACAAAAAGACATGCAAATTAATCTATAATGACAAGAAAGAAAGCAAGAAAATTCAAACTACTCTATAAGGACCAAAGACAAGTCAATGGGTACACCTGGGGATAGGTGAGGAGGGGTGGAGGGACGGAGAAATTATGAAAATGCACAAGGAAACCTTTGGGGTGAATATGTTTATTTTCTCAATTGTGGTGATAGTTTCCTAATCGTGTATATACATCAAAACCTATCAAATTATACTCTAACCATAGGCAGTTTATTATACACCAATTACATTTCAATAAAACTGTTAAAACTCTCAAGAAGCCTAATGTTTAAATGAAACAAAACTACCAGTAAACGTTATGTTATACCTTACGAAATATCTTTTAAGCAAAAGACTCAATGGTCTGAATATTTTCTACTCACTGTAAATTTACAGCATTTGAGACTATACAGTGACACATAAACAAAAAAGAAACTTTGCTGCTTTTTTTCTTTGCTTATATGGAATGCTTTAGTAAACTACTTTCAAATAGAACACTGGGTAAACAAACCTATGGTTAGCAAGTTCTATACTACCAATAATTTTGTATGGGGGAATTCCAGCAAACTTCAGATTACTTGACTACACTTGATTGTTTCGTAGGTGTTCTTCTTTTTAAGATTCTTACACTTAGTTCCTTAAAGGATCACTGTAATAGAAAGATTAATAATTTTGGCCCCCAGGGAATCTTTTGGTGTTAAGAATTATGAAGTTACTTATATATTTTGCCAATGTACTATACAAGTCTATTATTCCTATTCATTCATTCAAAAAATTAGTTTATAACTGCATACTATGTAGCCAGGCTCTAGTCTAGGTCCTCGTGACATATTTGGGGGAAGGGAAGAAGGAAGATGACAGACAGTAATAATCTTAATAAATAAATGTATATTGTATGTAATATGTTAGAAGATGATATGCACTCTATCACCCTCCCCCCCCACCACACACAATCCAACATGTACAGCACATTATGAAGGATGAGTAATGGAAACTAAATATAATAAAAACACTAAAGTAATGAGAATTGTTTCCATAGACCATATGTGAAAATCTCTTACACTGAATAGAATCATGAACCAAGGTTGCCTAGTCCAACCCTCACACTTTACAGACGATGTTAAATGATTTGCTCAATCACTCAGTTCTTGGCATAGATTAAAGATTAGGATCCCTATCTCCTTTTCACTCATGGCATCACTATTTGTGATGTCAAATAATCATGATAAAATGCTTTAATCTACTCATATACAAACAGTGGAAAGAGCTTTAGAGTCTGACTGACCCAGGCTTCATCACTTCATGGCTTTGTTACTTATGGTAAATCACTTAATCTCTCAAAATGTAAATTTTCTCATCTATAAAAGAGAATGACAATTTTTGTTTGCTTGTTTGGACTAATGTGCATAGGATAACAAGAATGACAATAATTTCGTGACTAGGTTGTTATGAGGATTAAATGTAGTAGCTTATGTAAAACACCTACATGTCAGTACATAAATATATAACACTGCAATACTTATATGCTTGCACCAAAAATGGTACATCATATGCATGAGTTTTTTATATCCTTTACTAGACTATAAACCTGATATACATCTAAAGAACCTAGCATAATGTAAATGCTCAGTAAGAATTTGTTAATTTGTTAATACTTCTGAGGAGTCAAACAGCTTTCAAAATGTGGCAAACAGTATGATAACTCATATCACCATGATGGAAATAATCAACTTAACTGAAAGCTCCATAGTACGCTTCAACATGTTTTCAGTCTGTCTTTCCTAAATAGAGAAGTCTGTAGCACTTAAATGCTTTTTAATGTCATAAATTAGGGTCCTAGCTCTTTCTGTCCACAAGAAAATAATTCTCACTATGAAAAATACTTTCAAGAGAAAACCAAAAATATCTTCAGCATTTTATATTACTTCTTTTCACATTCATCCCTTGGTTCCTGTATTTACAGCTATAATTGGAAAGAAAAAGAAAGCAGAATGCAATTCCAGTGCCATCACAGCAACTCGGCAGCTTCTTCAAATTTATAATCAACATTTCAGCTGACAAGAGCAAAAATACCACAAACTGAACAAAGGATAAAATAATTCAAGTTGATAAGATTGGTGCCATGGATACCACCTTTTCCAATGATTATATATTTCAATTTAGTTTCCAATGCAAAAACAGGAAGGTTACTCTGTAAAAACACTCCCTTCCCCCACTGTAATATTAATCCCCACCCCCTATATCCCATCCATGGTCTCTTGGGTATCAAAGGGAAACAACCATCCTGAAGCATGAGATAATTAAATCACAATTCACAGAATAATACGTCAAAGTCTCTAAGATTCAAGAGAGGTTATGCCAATTCAGTTCTAAAAAGGTAACATAAGAATGCTGCATCCTATTCTTTTGAATAAAGATATCCTTGCAATGCTGGATGTAAAAACCTTTGTTCTAAAGCTAAGCAATTAAGGCACGGGTTTTCAAAACTAGGAATTTTCTTCCTTAGGTCAAATTAGGTTTTTTAAAACATGATAAAAATCCTAAAAGCTGTTGTGAGAAATAATAATGAACAATGTAAAAATATCCTTTTCCTTTCTATTTTATTCCTGTTAACAGGTACATCCCTTTCACTGAAGCTATTTTTCTACCATTTTGCTCCATTTTATACACGACCCAGAAAACAAAGACTGCAGTAGATTACCTGGATCACCGGACAAATCAGCAGACAAGCAAAAGCTCAAAAGGCTCGTTTCCATGGAGTAGAAGAAAATGAAATCCTCACCAAAATACCACTCCCTTAGCAATCCTAAGCTTTTTCTTTATATATACATTCGACATCCTTGGAAAGGCATTTGTCAGATGATTTTACTGACCACAAGAGGGATGATAAGAAGAAACCCCACCTCTTCTCCCACCCCCAATCATCTACCATCATCATTCGAAGCCCAACACTGCGCTGCTAATGGAAAGACAGAGAACAGCATCCATATACATTTCCCTAGAATATCACTCAGGAAAATATATATAATATAAAGAAAGCAAGGATTTGGCTGATAATTCTCTAGCAGAACAGGCCAAATACCTCTCATAAAATTAAAAATACTTGCAAAAAAGATCCAATTATAAAGCCACAAAAAAACCCTAATTTTCTTCTTGAGTACAGCATGATTTTTAAATTGGGAATTTCCCAAATACAGTGCCAAAAAATGGAGTCCCTCAAATACCTTAAAATTCGGTTGTTGTTACTGCTCCTTTTCCTAAAGCCAGATAAACCAAATAAGTTAGGATTTACAAAAAAAAAAAAAAAAATCTCCTTTTGTTGCTAGTATTACCCCTTCAAAGAGAATCTGGGACAGGAGGTGGGAGTAGAGGAGAAACAGATTTAAACATGGGGGGAGGAAAAATATTTTCTGCCCCAATAAGCCTAATTAAATCTGTAAGCAAGACTGGGAGGATTGAAATTTCTTCATGCTACTCTGTCTGTTTGTGTTTGATTATTGTGAATCTTCCCAGGTCTCAAACTATGCCCTAGGCATTATGTCTGGCATTCTGTTAACTAGCAGCCTGGCCTCTTACAGTAGAATGAGGGAGGAACAAGAGACAAACTCATGCAATCTAATCCCTAGAAGCCATGTAATTTTGCGAAAATAATTTGCCTCAAACACTGCTCTAAAAAATGCATTGCTATACTAAGAAGACTCAGCCTCTACTTTCCTTTTCTGAAGCATCAACCCAACTTGACAATTTGCAGGCACACAATTTCTGGGATCAATATATAAGTAACGAATGAAAAACATGTTGTTTTACAAAACATATTCCTTAAAACATTTGAATACATCTAATTTTAAGTTAAATCCCAGTAATCACTCTATCCACATAAATTATAGCTCAAGGTTCTGTGAATTTTGAAGGAAATCACAGAACCTCAAAACTACAGTTAGTGATCTATGAAGAATCAGCTTTCAGAGAACATATACCTTGGCAAAGGCAGTCGCCTTGTAAGTAGTTACTAAAGAAGTAGTTACTGATTAAGAAAATAGTCTAGATTTGCTAAAAACAAATCAGACTAGGCTACTGACTGTGGCTATCATTAGACTTCCTCCACCTATACCGAGGTCTCAGTTTCTCTGATGCTTGGCACTTTCTGACCAGCCCAAGTATCCTAAGAAACACGAAGCTACCCATATGTCAAAGCCTGTGTTGGCTGATGAGGCAATTTCTCACACAGGACAGCTTAGAACTTGAAGCCAACTAATTTCATGTCTCAACATCTCTATCATCCTAGATCACCAAACAAAACTTTAGTCATCCATTAATCATGTGACATATCTAACAAAATCTTCCACTGTTCCCCTCTCTATCAAACTTTTTCACTGTGTACTCTAGGACAGGGGTCTCCAACTCCTGGGCCACAGACAATACTGGTCCATGATCTGTTAGGAACCAGGCCACACAGCAGGAGGTGAGCAAGTGAAGCTTCAGCTGTATTTACAGCTGCTCCCCATCACTCGCATTACCACCTGAGCCCCACTTCTGTCAGATCAGTGGCAGCATTAGATGCTCAGAGGAGCAGGAACCCTATAGCGAACTGCACATGAGAGGGATCTAGGTTGCACACTCCTTATGAAAATCTAATGCTTGATGATCTGTCATTGTTTCCCATCACCCACAGATGGGACCGTCAAGTTGCAAGAAAACAAACTCAGGGTTCCCACTGATTCTACATTATGGTGAGTATATAATTATTTCATTATACATTACAATGTAATAATAATGAAAATAAGGTAGACAATAAATGTAATGTGCTTGAATCACCCTGAAACCATCCCACTACTGCCCTCCCCCGAACACCCTCCCAGTCCCATTGAAAAACTGTCTACAACAAAACCGGTCCCTGGTGCCAAAAAAGTTGGGGACCACTGCTCTAGGACTCTTGCTACAAGAAACCAAACACCACTACACTCTTAACTTCTTCACAGAATGCACTCCAAACGCTGCCTTCACCAACACCTGGCTCTCCCCCAAAGACACTGTTTCTCTTTTTTTTTTGAGACGGAGTCTGGCTCTGTCGCCCAGGCTGGAGTGCAGTGGTGCGATCTCCGCTCACTGCAAGCTCCGCCTCCTGGGTTCGCGCCATTCCCCTGCCTCAGCCTCCCAAGCAGCTGGGACCACAGGCGCCCGCCACCACGCCTGGCTAATTTTTTGTATTTTTAGTAGAAATGGGGTTTCACCATGTTAGCCAGGATGGTCTCAATCTCCTGACCTCGTGATCTGCCCACCTCGGCCCCCAAAGTGCTGGGATTACAGGCGTGAACCGCCTCGCCCGGCCCCCTTACTGCCTTTCCTAATGGAAGCCACCCCTTATTCCAAACCCCAATGCTTTCAGAGCCCAGAAGAAATTTACAATTTTCTTAATTTTTCTGAATATCCAAATAACCAATGCACATATAAAAAGGTGCTCAACTTTAAGGAAATGTAAATTAAAACCACAATGAGAGAGAGAGAGAAATAGAATGAATGAATACATACAGTACTCATGAAGACATTAAGCACCTAGAAACTACATCCGCTGATCAGACTATAAATTGGTACAATCACTCCAGAAAATTACTTGGTACAATCAGCTAAAGCTGTACCAGCGAATTCCACAACTAGGCAGAAATGTATATGTATGTTCACAAAAATACATGTCTGTGAAGGTTCCTAAACAGCACTGTTAGTAACAGTCCCAAACTAGAGCTATCTAAATGTCCATCTGCAGTAGAATGGATTTTTAAAACTGTAGTTTATTCACACATTAGAATATTAATCAATAATGCAAATGAATTATGACCACTCAAAATATACAGATAAATGTCATAAACAATTCAAAAGAAAGATGCTAGATTAAAAAGGAGCACATACTGCACAACTCCATTTCTATAAAGAACAAAAGCAGTCGAAAGTTAAACACAGAGTTACCATACGACCTACAATCATACTCTTAGGTATTTACACAAGGGACTTGAAAACTTATATCCATGCAAAAACCTGGCCATGGACATTTACAGCAGCTTTACTCCTAATGCCAAAAACTGAAAGTAACTACAATGGCCTTTAATGGGGGAATGAAAAAACAAATTATGATTCATCCACACAATGGAATAGTACAACAATTTTTAAAACAAATGAACTATTAATTTACACAACATGGATGAATCTTAAATACATTTTACTACATGAAAGAAGCCCGATACAATCTTTGGATTTTTCATGTATTTTACTACATGGAAAAATCCAAAGACTGTATCATTCCATTTATACAACACTCTGGAAAATGCAAAAGTAGAGACACAGAAAATAAATTAGTAGTTGCTAGGGACTAGAGGAGAGGAGAGTGTTTGACTACAAACGGGATGCACAGGGGGACATTTAGGGTGCAGGATCTGCGCTGTACATTAGGGTGGTGAATACATGACCCGTTGCATTTGTCTGAACCCACAGAATGGCACAGTACAAAGAGTGAACTTCAACAAATGTTAACCAAACAACAACCACTAACATCAACCAAAACGTCAGAGGATCCCAAGATGAAATGTGGATTGCGACAAATGAAACTAACTGCATTACAAATGTATGACATAACTTCACTGAAGGGGCGGTGAAAAAGGAGCTTACCTAACAAACTTTGGAACACGGTGTTTTGACTTGAAATTGTAAGGCTAATGACAAAAGAAACTGTACATAAATACTGTACTCATGGGGTATGGGGTAATAATTCTAAATTTGCTTTTCATGTGTACATAGGTTGAAAAAATAAGTGGATGGATAATGGGGTGGCTGGAGCCAGGTTTCTTATGGTCAGACAAGGAAGTCACAGATTAAAAAGGAGGACTAGAGTGAACCTTGTGGTAATGGATTATAATCAGAGACATCAATATCAACTCATGTTTAACTTAACATATATGCCAACTGATACATATAGAAACAATTAGAGATGTATGTGTATACATGGGTTAGTATTCACACAGATATTACCTAGCTCTGTCCCCTGAGAGGGCCTAAAAGCAACGATACTCCAATAGCAATGAGCACACCTAGTAACTACATTTTGGTTCCTAAATAAAAGGAATGCTAGTTCCTTCAAATGGCTGATTCTACAGCTGATGCAAAGAAAATACAAGATGAGCCTGGAGCATCTTCTAGTACCACGTCAGGAGATGTTCAAAAAACAAAAGGATAGGGGCATATGAAAGGGACATAAACAGTAACCGGAAAACCTTCCCAATAGCCAAAGTTGGAACAATTTAAGCAAAAGAAAAGAAACCTAGCATTAGAACTCAAAGTATAAAATAAACATACATGAGTCCATACTGATATAAATGACTGAATAAACAGATAAATGTGGGGAAAGATCCAAATCTTCCTTACAGAAGAATTTCAAACCATGTATGTAGATATCTCCCCCTTCCTAAAGTGTGGGTTGGACTTAGTAATGTGTTCCCAAAAAACAGAGTATAGTGAAGAAACCTAGCAAACACTATCTTAACCAAGTGGTCATGGTTAACATCACCAGTGATGCCACGTGGACATCATGCACCCCTGATGAGAGGAAAAGAGGATTCTTTCCAAAAACGCATAACCCAGTCTAATACCGAGCAACAGCAGCAAACGCAGACTGGGGGGCATTCTACAAAGTCCTCGGGGATGGCAAGGTCGTGACAAACAAGGAAAAACTGAGAAACTGTCACAAACCAAGAGACTGGGGAAACATGAAAACTACAGGCAATGTGGTATCCTAAATTTGATCCTAGAACAGAAAGAGGCCATTAATGAAAAAGCTGGAAAAATCCAAATGAAGTATGAAGTTTAGTTAACAGTATGTACTAAGGTTGGTTTCTTAGTTTTCACAGATATACCACAATAATGTAAGATGTCAGCAATCAGGAAAACTAGGTGTAGGGTATATGGGAACTCTACGTGAATTTTCTGTGTTATTTATGCAACTTTTCTCTAAATAAAAAATTAATCCAAAAAAAGTTTAAGGATTAGTCTATGGTACTAGAAGTCAGAATAGTGGGTACTCTCAGGGGGCAGTGAATTTAATTGCTGGTTGAAAACATTTCCACAAAGAAAACTCACTTCACTGGTGAATTATCACAAGCATTTAAAGGAAGAGATAACAATTCTACATCTGACAAATGAAAGTGAAAACACATGACACTTCCCAAAAAATTTTCTGAGGCCAACACTGTCTCAGTATCAAAACAAGGCAATGACATTACAAGAAAACTAAACACAAATATCCCTTAGGAACAAAGGAACAAGAACAATCATCAAAATATTAGTAAACCAAATCTATCAATAAATAAAAAGAATAATACATAATACATAATAAAGAGACCATTAGGATAAACCAAATGGGGTTTATCCTAAGAATGCCAGGTAGGTTTAACACTCAAAAATCAATGTAATTCACTGTATCACCAGTCTAAGAAAGAAAAGCCTCAGATGAAAATACCTCCTGGCAAGTCAAAAAAAAGAAAGAAAACAGAAAAGCCATATGATCATCTAAACAGATACAGAAACAGCATATGACTAAATTCAATATCTGTTAATTATAAAATTTCTTACAAGCTAGGAATAGAAGGTAACTTCCCCAAACTGATAGAGTATGGAAAAAAAAAAAATCGTACTTAATGGTAAAATACTGAATGCTTTCCATAAGATTGAGAACAATGAAAAGATGTCTACATGTCTGCTTTCACCACTTCTTTTAACATTTCAGCCAAATGAGTAAGACAGTGAAAATAAATATATAAAAGGCTTACATCTTTTAAATGAAAGTAAAACTTTTTAATAACATGACATTATGGAAAACTCCAGAGATCTATATAAAAAAAGCACCAAAAAGCAAGTTTAGTAACAGTATGTAAGATGAACATAGAAAAATCAATTGTATTTCTATATATTATTAATAAAGAATTAAAAATTAATTTTAAATGCTATTTATAACCTCAAAACACATAAACTTAACAAACCATGTGCAAACCCTGTATGCTGAAAACTATGTAATGTTTATAGAGAAATTAAAGAAGACTACTAAATTAATGGAGAGAAAGATTATGCCAATGGATTGGGAGACCTAATTTAAGATGTCAATTCTCCACATTCTGATCCAGATTCAACACAACCACAAAATCTCAGCCTGTTTTCTGTAAATAGAAATTGACATGCTGACTCTAACATTCATATGGAAATGCAAAGATCTAGAAGAGCCAAAACAATTTTTAGGAAAACAACAAAATTGGAAGACTTATATTACCTTATTTAAAGACTTAAAGCTAAGGTAATAAATCAATCAATATGTTCAGGCATATTGATCAACAGAACATAATAAAGAAACCATAAATACAACTATGCACAGACAGTCTATTAAGTTTTTAACACAGATGCCAAAGCAGTTCAACGGGAAAAGGACAGTCTTTTCTGCAAATGGTGCTGGAAAACATGCCAAAACACGCACAAACTTTAATCCTTACCTCACACCATATACAAATGTTAACTTGATATGAATCATAGGCCTAAACATAAGAGCTAAACTATACAACTTCTAGAAAAAATTAAGAGGACATTTTCTGCAACCTTGGGTTAAGTCAAGATATTTACGATAGGGACCAAGAAGCATGAATACAAAATAAAAAGTTGATAGACTGAACTTCATCAAAATTAATAACTTATGCTCTTTGAAAGACATTGTTAAGGAAATAAAAGGACAAGCCACAAACAGAAAGAAAAACATTTTCTAAATGTAACTGACAAAGGACCCATACCTTACCTCTCAATAAGACAAAGACAAGCCAACTTCTTAAAAGACTTGAACAGACACTTCACAAAAGAGAACAAAAGGTCAATAAGCAAATGAAAAGTCCTCAATATCATTCATCATTAGAGAAATGCAAATAAAAAGTAGAGTGAGATGCCATTCACACCCACTACAATGACTAAAATTAAAAAGACTGATACTACCAAGTGTTGATGAGGATGTAGAACAAGTAAAACTCTTCGACATTTCTAGTGGGAATGTAAAATGACAGAGGCACTTTGGAAAACAATTTGGCAGTTTCTTATAAAGTTAATCAAGGCCAGGTGTGGTGGCTCATGCCTGTAATCCCAGCACTTTGGGAGGGTGAGGTGGGAGGATCCCTAACCAAGGCTGATCCAAGACCAGCCTGGACAACATAGTGAGACCCCATCTCTAAAAAAATAAATAAAAGAATTTTTTAAAAGTTAATATATATTTACCATATGACTCAGCAATTCTACTCTGAGATGTTTACCAAAGAGAAAGAAAAATATATGCCACACAAAAACTTACAGGAAAATGTTCAGATTTATTCAAAATAGCCAAAAACTGGAAACAATCCAAACCTCCACCAACAGGTCAATGGATAAAGAAACTGACTTATTCACACAATGTAATACTATTATGGTAAGAAAAAGGAACAAACTACCATTATATGAAACAATTTGGATGCATCTGAAAAGTATTAAGCCTAAAAAAAGAGAAGAAAGGCTGGGCATAGTGGCTCATGCCTGTAATCCCAGCACTTCGCAGGGGTCAGGGCACTTGAGCCCAGGAGTTTGAGGCCAGCCTGGGCAACACAGAAAGACCCCATCTCTACAAAATACTAAAAAATTAGCTAGGTGTGGTGCTGTGCACCTGTGTGGTCTCAGCTACTTGGGAGCATGAGGTGGGAGGATCACTTGAGCCCAGGATATTAAGCCTGAAGTGAACTGTGTTTGCGCCACTGTACTCCAGCCAGCCTGGGAAACAGAGACTGTCTTTAAAAAAAAAAAGAGACAGAGAAGACAGACACAGAAAGATTACATACTGTACATGATTTCATTTACATGAAGTAGAAAAGGCAAAACTATTGTGACAGAAAGCAGAGACAATTTTTTGGGGTGATGGAAATGTTATATATCTTAACTATGCTGGTTGTGGTGGTTAAAAAGTATACACACTTGTCAAAGCTCATCGAAGTACACACTTAAAATGAGTGAACTTAAGGAAGTCAGTATATCAAAGAGGCCTGCACTCCTATCTTTATTGATGCACTATTCACAATAGCCAAGATTTGGAAACAACCTAAGTGTCTATCAACAGACAAATGGATAAAGAAAATGCGGTACATATACACAATGGAGTATTATTCAGCTATATAAAACAATGAGATCCCGTCACTTGCCACAATATAAATAGAACTGAAGGTCATTATGTTAAGTGAAATAGGCCAGACACCGAAAGACAAACTTCACATGCTCTCATTCATTTGTGGGAGCTAAAAATTAAAACATCTGAACTCACGGAGATAGAAAGATGTTTACCAGAGGCTGGGAAGGGTAGTGGGGGGTTGGGGAAGTTGGGATTGTTAAAGGATACAAAAATATAGTTCGATAGAATAAGATCTAGTATTTGATATAACAGAGTGATTACAGTCAACCATAATTTATTGTACATTTAAAAATAACTAGAAGAGTATAATTGGAATGTTTGTAACATAAAGAAAGAATAAATGCTTGAGGTAATAGATACCCCATTTACCTTAGTGTGATTATCATGCATTGTATCCCTGTCTCAAAATATTGCATGTAATCCATAAATATAAATACTTATGCCCATAAAAATTAACAATAATATAATGGTGAATTTTATATGTAAATTATATCTCAGTCTATTTTTTAAAAGATAAAATGAAGGAAATAAGTCTCAGTGTCTAGAATTTAAATTGCAGATAAACTGACCAGGCTCTCTAACTTCCTACTTAAAATACGAACCTAAGTTGTTCCCTTAGATAAACAAAATCTTTAGAATTCGACAGGAAAGGAAAGCTTTATTTCAAAAATACAATTTGAAAATACAATCTGAACATTTAAAAAATCTAATTCTCAACTCTGAACACATTATTTGTAAAAAAAAAAATTTAACATTTCAATGAGCAGTATACCAATATGATGATTTATTTAATAACTAAAGCCCAAGCAATTACCAGAGCAATTAACCTAACTAGGATATGCCTACCAGAACATTCCAATACTTTACACTGGAGAAATCTGATAAACATTATTTTGGTGATCAAGGTCATCATCAATAGTCACATATCATGTTAGCGGTAAGTACCCTTGGCATGAGTTGATGAAGATGTCACTTTACCTCTGTGATCTTCCTTCCAACAACCCATACTCCAGTCAAATCGTAAGAAAAACATCAAGCAAATTCTAATATAGGGGCATCCTACAAGAAACCTGACCAGTACTCATTTGAACTGTCAAAACCATCAAGAACAAGAAAAATCTGAGAAACTGTCACAGCCAAGAGGAGGCTAAGGAACATGACAAACTAAATATAATGTGGTTTCTGAGGAAAGAAAAAGAACAATAGGTAAAAACTAAGGAAATCTGAATAAACTACAGACTTTAATTAATATTAATGTTAACACTGGTTCAGTAACAAATGTACCACACAAATGTAATATGTTAATAATAGGGGACTCTGAGCATGCCTATGGGGTATATGTTATTTTCTAGCTTCTCATTTTCGGCAAATCTAGCCCTGTTCTCAAAAACAAACTTTTTATTTAAAAAAAAAAAAAAAGGCCACCCCATCAGAACTTGGAACACTACAGGTAAAGGAAAGTTGCAAAGGGGAAAGGAACAAAGAAAATAATTGTACGGGTGCTTTTTTTAAGAATATCATTACAGTGTTGGTAGAAAATATTGTAAAGCTCTTTTTTTTAACCATTTAATGGAAAAAGAGAAAACATAAAAGGAAAGGTCAAAAAGATGATCTAACACGGATGTTAAAAATACTTCCCAATGCTTATACAGCTGTACTGGTGTTCTGACGTCAATCTCAAGACTCCCATGGATTATACCAACAATTCACTCTTTGGTGTTTGCTGTTTAAGTTTCAAAGTAAAACCAGTTGTTAATGAATGTTCACAGTTTCCATGATAAGAAGACTCACTTTGCCTAAAACCTGAGACATACAGTGGCTAACTGTGGCAGGAGGAAGGGCAGAAAAAGAGAGGGTCATTCTGGGCATGTTTATTTGAGTTTAAATTAAGTCTTCTCTCTTAGCTCTTTGGACCATTCATCTACCCATTCTTTATTTTCACTGAGAAACTAAAGTGAAAATACCAATCTCGTTCATTTTGTTGACAAATCTGAAGATTTTGTGGGTAAAAGCAAATTACTAGTATACCCTTCTGAGAGTTGATATCCAAAAATTTATGAAATTTCAAAGTACAGAATACCTGTATACTGTATGGTAGATTTAATTTAATAGAGCTATGTTAGTAATTTGAATCATTAATATGTATGACTCAATGTAATGAATTAGTCATAAAAGCATAATCTTTGCTG
Source organism: Homo sapiens (assembly GCF_000001405.40). NCBI lineage: Eukaryota > Metazoa > Chordata > Mammalia > Primates > Hominidae > Homo > Homo sapiens. The sequence goes on along the minus strand of NC_000011.10, from coordinate 120,374,780 downwards.
TAACCATCATATACGTTTTTCACAATTTAAAAAGAAAAGTTTTTTAAAAATATTTATTTTTTTTCTATGTTTGCAAGTTCATGAGAACTGAGATCATTAAACTAAAATTCACGAGGTCAATTCTGCATACTGGAAGTTAACTTGTACTATGCTGTATTAGAGTAAAATCACTTTTATCACAACACATATTTAAAATCCGTAAGGCCATCTACCCCAGAGGAGATTGATTCTTAGCCTTGTAAACCTTTAAGGCCAAGAAGAAAAATCAGCTGGAGAGCTCAGTAGCTCAATGAAGCTGTTTTCATCAAATGTCGTAATGTTCACACACATATTTAGCCACAAACAGTAACCCAACTGTATTGCCAGAAGTACCCCCCTACTTTTTATAGGTGCTTAAATAAAAATGAATGAACGTTTCTTCTGTATCCCTGGATAAAATTTCCCCAGCAATGTCAAAACTGCTGAACTGTGAGATATCTTTAAAAAATTCTAACTAGGCAATTCCTTTTTATGAAAAAAAGCATATCTAAAAGTCATAACATCTCTCCTACACTAAACAATGGTTATACTCTGAAATGATCATAGGGAAAGGAAACAGGAGGAACCATGCTTGGTTAACCAGCCACTAGATGGAAAGACATTTAGCTATGGGTGTCCATAAAAATACATTTTTTGGCCGGGTGCGGTGGCTCACGCCTGTAATCCCAGCACTTTGGCAGGCCAAGGCGGGCGGATCACCTGAGGTCGGGAGTTCGAGCCCAACCTGACTAACACGGAGAAACCTTGTCTCTACTAAAAATACAAAATTAGCCGGGCGTGGTGGTGCATGCCTGTAATCCCAGCTACTCAGGAAGCTGAGGCAGGGGAATCACTTGAAACCTGGAGGCAGAGGTTGTGGTGAGCCGAGATCGCGCCATTGCACTCCAGCCCAGGCAACAAGAGCGAAACTCCGTCTCAAAAACAAAAACAAAAAATCCATTTTTCATATTTTAATTATTTTCTCAAAGTAGTTTCTTAAATTGCCACCATTATCAAGATAATAGTTGCTCCCTGAAGAGAATATGGGGGAAAAAAACATAGAAGGGGGAAAAAAACATAGAAAGGTGAAAAAAACCCAAAGTCCTACCATCCATCATTATTCTACTAGTTAAATAAATCATTATACAATTATATAATAGAATATCGTACCAATAATAGAAATACATTTCCAAGTTAGAAATACATTTCCTAACTAGATGTTAATTCATTCACCAAATATGTATTGAGCATCTATTATGTGCAGGCACTGTTCTAGGTGTTGGGAACACAGCAGTGGATAAAACAAACATCCCTCATTTCACTCTTTTGTGTTTTGCTGCCATAATATTATATAGAACATTGTAGAGAACAGAATGTTGTATAGCCACAGAACATAGGTACTCACATGGAAATAAAACATATTTTAAAAAGTATATTGTTAAATGAAAATGTCAAGCTACAAAACAGCACCTATGGGGTGATTTCATTTGTGTAAAGGAAGTTAATGGTGGCTACCTCAGGTAAATCATATTAAACAACTGGGAGAGGGGAGGGGCCTTGTCACTTTATATCTTATATGGTTGAAAAGGATTAATCTAAACTGTATTTTATTACTAAAGCTGGTAACAGGTCAGTGAAGGTTCATTAAGCTATTCTAATTTTTATCTATGTCAGAAATTTTATATAATGGTTATTTTAAAGCATTGTTATACTTAGAAAAAATTACTTCTAAGAAAAAATCTTGTTTCAGTTTAGATTATACTGGTAATACGGAATAGCTTTTTTCAACATTTATTATTAATAGCTTATTTTGTGCATTTATTTTTAATTCTAGGGGTAGGTTCCTCAGTTAGAGTGACCTTAAGCAGAAAATTATCAATAAGTTACAGTTTGATAATTTTTAAAAACTTCACATCTGAAGTCCTATGAAGTAGACATGATAAGAGATATTGGGGATAAAGAGACAAAAGCTAAGGTAGAGAAGCTATATAACTTTTCCAAGGTTGTTCAGCTAACAAATGGTAGAGCCTGGATCTGAACTCAGGCCTATCTTATCATAAATCCTGTCTGCTTTTTACAAAAAGTTGAAAAATTATAGGGAAAAAAAGCCCCATAAAAACTGAGCACCTGCCTTACCATATAAAAAATAAGCTTCAGTCTTCCATAAATACATCTTTCAAATGCAGAAAGTTAACCTAGGATTCCTTTGGTTACTTGCCTAGATGTATTTGAGAGCAGAACTGCATTATACAAAGCAAACTAGTTAATAACACACTGGTAGAAAGGCTTGTCAGAAAGAACTTTGTACTGGGCCAGTATATGACAGGGTATAGTGAAGCACAAATAACTACAATCCAGAGGCATTACATAATTTCAAGCCAATGTTAAAGATGGTATATCTATATTAGAACATATAAATATTTTGGTTCCTGAATTAAAAAAAAAAGATCAGAGGAGATCAGAGAGTAAACAGTTCTAATCAAACTCAGACTGCAGTGCTTAATAGTGTTAAGTAAAATAGAGATTGCTTTGGATTCATTTGTAACTAGAAGGCATTTTTACTGTACTAGTGGTTACCTTATAGTTACTATTACTTTATCTAATGTTCCCTTGGAAGTTTCAACATATTACCAAAAATTTTAGTATTCAAAAGTTCATATGTGTTAACACAAAAATGTTGAAAGCATCACTGCTCTAGGTTATAAACCAGCTCAGTGCCTGACAAATTAGATCATAAGCTATCTAAATAACCTTGGTTTAGTTTTTCCAAAGAAATCAGTTTTGGTGAGTGCTGCTTTCTGTTTTCCCCTCAGATTTTTAGTAACGGTCATTCAAAAAACCATTTGAAAAAGTGCTCTTTCACTTATGAAACTGTTGTAGCAGATATTGTTCCCAATATTGTCTTGAAACCTTGGTGGACAGTATTTTTTTAATTTAATGGGAGTAAAATTAGGTTTGTCTCAAAGGAGGAAATACATCCAACAATAGAACCAAATCATATTTACCTTATTCCCACAGAATCCTGAAAGCAGAGAGGCTTAATTACAATGGCTGTATTAGCCCTCATAATTATCATATTTGCACTGATCTCACTGTAATAACTTGATTTTCTATTTTTAACATCTTTAACTGAGGTGAGTGTATGTTTACGTGCCCTTTAAACCATTTCACATCCTTTTTTAGGAAGTGGGGTATAAGGGTTATAATCTTTAAGAGTCAAAATAATAAGTTTATGTATTAAGGTATTCTTCTTTAAAGACAGTTTTTTGTTTTTTGAGACGGAGGTTCGCTCTTGTTACCAGGCTGGAGTGCAGTGGCACGATCTCAGCTCACAGCAACCTCCACCTCCCGGGCTCAAGCAATTCTCCTGCCTCAGCCTCCCGAGTAGCTGGGATTACAGGCATGCGCCAGCACACCCAGCTAATTCTGTATTTTTAGGAGAGACAGGGTTTCTCCATGTTGGTCAGGCTGGTCTCAAACTCCCAACCTCAGGTGATCCGCCCGCCTCGGCCTCCCATATTGCTGGGATTACAGGCATGAGCCACCGCACCCAGCCCTAAAGATACAGTTTTAATAAATGTCTATACTTTTAGTTGGGGGAAATTGGCATTTTTTTCCCCTAGAAAGAACTCTTTTTAGCACTGAATTTTTAATTAGGAAAAAACCTCATGCACATATCTCACTTGATTCTGTGAGGTAGACAGTATAAAAGTAAATATTCTCCTTTTACAGATTAAGAGAATTAGGCTCAGAAAAGTTGACTTAATTATCATATAATTCTTGAAGGACGAAGCGGGGACTCATTTCCAGCAATTTTGACTCTAAGTTCCATATACTTTTCTCTATAACACACTACCTTAAATAGAACTGTCAGCCAAAACAATATAAAATTAAAAGGTGATAAGGGAGGGAAGGAGAGAGAAAAAAAAAATGAAAGGAGGTTGGAATGGGGGATGGGAAGGAAGAAACAGGAAGGAAAAGAATAAGTGAGGGAGGAGGAGAGGGAAAGAAAGAGACTGACCAACCATTCTAAAAGCAGAGAAAATCATAAAGTACCTAGAAATAAGCTTAGCCAAAAAAGTTTTAAGACTTTTGGATACAATTATAAATTACTATTGAAGACCATAAGGGAATATCTGGAATTTCTAAGGAAAAACCACGTTCATGTATAGGAAGACAATATCATAAATATGCCTATTTTCTCCAAACTAAACTAAATATTCAATGCAATTACAATGTTAAAAAAAAATAAAACTTTTAAGGGAACCTGACAAGCTGATCCCAAAATTCATATGGAAAAAGAAAAAGCTAAGAATAGCGATGAAAATTTTGAAGAAGAAAAACAAGGTAAGGAGATTTACTTTGCTTATGAAGCTAAAGTAATCTGAACAGTTTGGTGTCGGTACAGAAATAGTCAAACCAAGGGAAAAGATTAGAAAGCTCAGAAACAAACCTACAAATAATGGAAACATTATGTATGACAAGGATAGTGCTACCCATCAGTAGGGAAAAGACAGACTGCACAGTGAATGGGGCTAGACGACTGATTCTCCACATGAAAGAATAAAACTCAATCCCTACCTCATATCATATTCATAATATTTTATTAATATTCATTATTAATAGTAACAGTTATAATTAGTAATTTTTATTGATATTTTGTTAATAAACACATTGCTGAATATAGAACATGAATTCAAATGTTAGGAAGTTTAAAAATCTGCAAAAATTTCCATAATGTTTGAAGATACATAACATATAGCCAAAGTATAAAAACATGCATAGGAGCAACAAACACCAAGTTTACTATGATGTTTACTTCTGGAAAGGGGCAGAAGAGAACAGGATCGGGGGAAAATACCCAGGGGAGCCTCGACTTCATCTCTAATTTTTATTTGCTTGCCTCGTCCCCCAAAAAGATAACACTAAGTAGCAGGTACATGGATGTATATCATTTTCTTTTTACTTTATTGTGAAATATTCCAAGTATAAGACGAAAAAAGAAAATTTTAAAATCAGATGTTGCAGCTACATTGAGACTTCTGTGTAGTAACACTAAGAGCGCAAGCTTCTCAGGTGTTTTCCTTCTTTTAAATTTAGAATTAATTAGCTTAAAGAATAAAAATTCTTGTATACCCCAAAATAAACTACTTTTGTTGAAACTGCATTACTCCGATTAGTATCTATAAAATGATAAACATAATGATTAAATGGCTTATACCACCAGTTCACTGACTTTAACTCTTTAAAACTTACCAATAAGCACCAGTTCTGAAATAGCTCTCCTTTATCTCTGAAATGTATTATAAGTTTTCAATTAAAAACAAAAGATCTGGCCGAGTGGGATGGCTCATGCCTGTAATCCCAGCACTTTGGGAGGCCAAGGCAGGCAGATTACTTGAGGTCAGGAGTTCAAGACCAGCCTGGCCAACATGGTGAAACCCCGTCTCTACTAAACATATAAAAATTAGCCAGTTGTGCGGGTGTGCGCCTGTAGTCCCAGCTACTCGGGAGGCTGAGGTGGGAGAATTACTTGAACCCTGGAGGCAGAGGCTACAGTGAGCTGAGATCATGCCACTGCACTCCAGACTGGGGGACAGAGTAAGACCCTGTCACAGAAAAAAAAAAAAAAAAAAAGAAGAAAAGAAGATTTGAGAATATAGTACTTTAGTCAGCAGTCATGATAAAAGACGATGTTGTTATCATTGGAGACAGCCAGACACTAAGGACAAAACCAATTCTGTTTCAGCACCTAAAGAATGACCACCTATATTATAAATGCTGGCAAACAAAAATAATTTACAGGCTAGATGACATTTACTTATGAAATCTTTCTAGGGAACAATAGACACTGGGGCCTATTTGAGGGTGGAGGGTGAAAGGAGGGAGGGGGCAGAAAAAATAACTTTTGGGTACTAGGCTTAGTAACTGGGTGACAAAATAATCTGTACAACAAACCCCCATGACAAGAGTTTACTGATATAACAAACCTGCACATGTACCCCGAACCTAAAAGTTAAAAAATTAAAATTAAAATTAAAAAAATAAAATCTTTCTAAAAGGGAAACATACATAGAAAAAATGAGTTTTGGTATTGGTCAGACTGAGATTAAAACCTGGCACAAGCACTCAATGGATTGTGTGACCATAAGCAAATTTATGGAAAGTCACTGAACCTTAATTTCCTCACAAATAATTGTTAGGTATCTGCTTTATAGGAATGCTGTCAGGATTAAGTGAGGTTAAGTACACAGCCTGATACTCAGAACATACCAGGTAATAAACAAATGCCGATTCCCTTTAAATAAAAAGGCTACTCAGGTCAGGCATGGTGGCTCACGTCTGTAATCCCAGCACTTTGGGAGGCCAAGGTGGGAGGATCTCTTGAGGCCTGGAGTTTGAGACCAGCCTCGGCAACATAGGGAGACCCCCATCTCTATAAACGAATTAAAAAATTAGCCAGACATTGTAGCATGTGCCTGTAGTCCCAGCTACTAAGGATTTTAGTCAGTAGTCATGATATAAGATGATGTTGTTATCATGGAGATAGCTAGACAGTATGGACAATGAGGCGGGAGGATTGCTTGAGCCCAGGAGGTCCAGGCTGCAGTGAGCCAAGATCATGCCGCTGTGGCCCAGCCAAAGCAATAAGAGTGAGACCCTGTCTCAAAAAAAGAGGCCACTCAAATATAAGAATATTATCTTAAATTCCATATTAGTTTTCTTCTCTATCCCATAATGAAATCTTTCGGTCTTATTTTATCTTTTATTTATTTATTTTTGAGACGAGGTCTTGCTCTGTCACCCAGGCTGGGGTGCAGTGGCACGATCACAGCTCACTGCAGCTTCAACCTCCTCAACCTCCCAGGCTCAAGCAATCCTCCCAACTCAGCCTCTCAAACAGCTGGAACTACAGGTGTGTGCCACCACTCTCAGCCAATTTTGAAATTACTTTGTAGAGACAGGGTCTCACTACGTTGCCAGGGCTAGTCTCAAACACCTGACCTTAAGCAATCCTCCTGCCTCAGCCTCCCAAAGTGTTGGGATTACAGGCATGAACCACTGCACTCAGCTATTTTATCATTTAAACAGTATTCTAGGCTGGGCGTGGTGGCTCACGCCTGTAATCCCAGCACTTTGGGAGGCCAAGGTGGGCAGATCATGAGGTCAGGAGTTTGAGACCAGCCTGACCAACATGGTGAAACCCCATCTCTACTAAAAATACAAAAATTAGCCGGACATGGTGGCATGCGCCTGTAATCCCAGCTACTCAGAAGGCTAAGGCAGGAGAATCGCTTGAACCCAGGAGGCGGAGGTTGCAGTGAGCCAAGATCACACCACTGTACTCCAGCCTGGGCGACAGAGCGAGACTCCACCTCAAAAAAAAAAAAAAAAAAAAAAAAAAAAAAGGAAAAAGTATCCTAACAGATTTTTTTTATTATTAAAAGCATCTAAACAAGAGAAATTATTTTGTGCTGTCCTATAATCCTTAAAAATTCCGTTAACAAATTTCTCCCAAAACTATAAGAAAAATTTCAAAACTATTCACAAACCACAATTCTGAGATGTAAACAACAGAATCACAGATCTGCTCTTTCCTTCCCATGCTATGTGATCCCTACTTGAGTAAGCAAGCACCAAAAGAATCAGATGCAATAAGACTGTTGGACAGCAACTAAGCTTCTTAAAACTACTCAACCCTTCTTTGCCAGTGTAGCAGTGACTTATTAAATTTCTTTTTTTTTTTTAGATGGAGTCTCACTCTGTCACCCAGGCTGGAGTGCAGTGACACAATCTCGGCTCACTGCAACCTCCGCCTCTCAGGTTCAAGCAATTCTCCTGCCTCAGCCTCCCAAGTAGCTGGGATTGCAGGCGTGTGCCACCACGCCCAGCTAATTTTTTATATTTTTGGTAGAGATGGGGTTTCGCCATGTTAGCCAGGCTGGTCTTGAACTCCAGACCTCAAATGATCCGCCCACCTCGGCCTCTCAAAGTGCTGAGATTACAGGCGTGAGCCACCTCATCCAGCCTCTAATTATTTCTATCCACTGATGTTGGATGTTGTCATGTGATCTTGGAGTGGAGAAGATGGAAAAGTTCAAATTAAGAAATCTGAGTCAAGACGCTGGGGACAGACCATGGTCATGTTAATTTACCTGTTGCTCACAGCCAGAAAAAGAAAGAAATCAGCCAATACTTTTGTGGAAGAAAAAGGAACTCCATATTTGAATTGCAACAACAGATCACCCACTGTATTATTTTATTGCCCACAGCATGTCATGAAAAGATCAAAAAAATAACTTAAGGGCAGGGTTGGTGGCTCACGCCTGTAACCCCAGCACTTTGGGAGCCCAAGGTGGGAGGACTGCTTGGGGCCAGAAGTTGGAGACCAGCCTGGGCAACATAGTGAGACCCTGTCTCTACTAAATAATAATAAAGTAACTCTCCCAAAGCAGATAGTACATCTAAATTTAAATCAAATTTGGGTCCTCAAGGTTTTATTTTTTTGAGACAGGGTCTCACTCTGTCACCAAGCTGGAGTGCAATAGCACAATCATGGCTTACTGCAGCCTGATACTCCTGGGCTCAAGCAATCCTTCCACCTCAGCCTCCCAAACAGCTGGCCCCACAGGCATATGCCACCACATCCAGTAATTTTTTACTTACTGTAGAGACAGGGTCTTGTTATGTTGCCCAGGCTGGTGTCAAACTCCTGAACTCAGGCAATTCTCCCACCTTGGCCTTCCAAAGTGTTAAGATTACAGGTATGAGCCACCATGCCCAGCCTCTTTTCTGTTTTTAATGGAACCTTTTCTTCAAAGTCTTATAATGGAGAATTAGCTGGTAGGGTCATTTTCCTGTCTATTTTTTTGTTGGTGTTGGAAGTGTTAACAGGGATACATGCAATTTCTATAATTTGACCTAAAAATTATCCTTCCCTACTTGGGAGGTGCCCTTTTTCAACCAAGCTTATTGCTTCAGAAGTGGTGCAAATAAACTGGTTGGGGAGTCAGCTAATACTTATCAAGACAACCAGGTCTATCAACTGGCAATCCATAGGGTGACAGATGTCAGAAACATGTCTTCACAGACATATCATCTTTCTTCTTGTTAACCCTAACAAATTAGAAGTAGGATCTTTGGCAACATATAGAATTTAAAGAATTGAAGTATAAAAGGAATCTGAAGTTGTTAATGACCTCACTAAATTTAAACATTCCCCAAATAAGAATATTTTTTAAGAGCCAAACTTTCATCTCAAATGTATTACATTTAAACACCCAGAAACTTGGGAGTCATCCTGGATCCCTCTTTTTCCTTTATTCCTATGTCTTACTGATCACGATATTCCTCTCCAATCCTATCACCACTGCCCTAGTTCAGGAGCTTCTCATATCTCCCAGCAGTCTTTCATTTGCATTCCTAGTCTCAAGAATTATTCCTTCCAATCATCTATCAGCTTACCAGCACAGTTACCTTTCCATTAAAATAAAGATCAAATAAATAAATAAAAACTAAACAGAGGTTTCACTTAAAAACAAAAGTGTCTCTCATGACAAAGGCAATATATATATATACACATAGTTAAAAGCCTAGAAAACAACATATGAGTGTGAAGAATAAAACAAAATTCATCTATAATCTCACAACCCAGAAACACTTAAAAAGTAGTACATGCCAGGTTCAGTGGCTCGTGCCTATAATCCCACCATTTCGGGAGGCCAATGTGGGAGAATCACTTGAGTCCAGAAGTTCGAGACCAGCCTGGGCAACATAGTGAGAGCTTGTCTCTACACAAAATTAAAAAATTAGCTGAGCATGGTGGTGTGTGCCTGTAGTATCAGCTACTTGAGAGGCTGAGGCTACAGTGAGCTGTGATTGTGCCCACTGCACTCAAGCCTAGGCGACAAAGTGGGACTTGGCTCAAAAAAAAAAAAAAAAAAAATTGGTACATGTCCTAGAAGTCTTTTTAAAAGCATCACATGAATGTTTTTTAAAAATGTAACTGGCATTATATTTGAAGTTTTATCCCATACTTTTCACAGATCATGAACAATTTCCTCACTAAGGTTTACTTGAAAATGTCTTTAATGCTTACATATATTTTATCAAATGACATAAAGTAATTTATTAACAGCAGTCCCCTGGGAGTTCCTTGTCATCCCAGTTTCTAGGTCTACCTCTTCAGAGGCACCAGACTTACATTGGTTCCTCTTTGCCCCTACTAAAATAATGGTGTGGGTGATCTCTTTGTATAAAATGACAGCTAAAACTGTATATCCTTAATGTCTTGAGATATATACCAAAATTGGCATTACTAATTCAAAAAGTTTAAACATTTCTTAGGCTTTTGAACTATATTGTCAAATTATTTTCTGTAAGTTTAAACCAATTTACATGCCCACCTGCACAGTATAAGAAATTCTGCTTTACCACAACCCTCTTGTAGCAGTAGATCGTTTAAATTGCAATTAAAAAGAAAGATGAAGCTCCCAGCACAGCATGGGATGGGCTAAGGGATTTTTCTAAATTTTTTTTTGTTTGGTGCCCAAGATTTGGCCTTATACTACAGCACCATAACCCTTATTTAGATTTCAAATATTTACAGACTGACGATCTTCTTCCAGGTATTGGGAACAAAAAAGTGAGTAAGAGTCAGGCACAGTGGCTCGAGCCTGTAGTTCCAGCTAGTTGGGAGGCTGAAATGGGAGGATCACTTAAGCCCAGGACTTCAAGGCTGCAGTACATGGTGATTGTGTCTGGACAATGTAGTGAGACCCTGTCTCCAAACAGCCCCCCAAACAAGTGAATATCACAGGCAAAGCTCAATAAAGCTGGAAAACTAAAGTTCCATGATATTCCTCCATCCAAAGCACTGTCCTAAGTTGCATGATATTTCTCCATCCAAAGCACTGTCCTCAGAAGCTATCAAATCCCCTCTCTACCAACCATCTTCTGAATCTGGCCTAGGGACTCTCCTTGAGGAGAGGGAGCCTCCACTTGATCAACATGAAGTCCATAATAAGGGAAAGTGGTAAGACATGAAGCTGGAGAAGGTAGACAAAGGCCAAGAAGTGAGTTCATATTAAGGAACTTGACATTATCTTGCTGGTTAGCAATTGTTTTCCATACTTAAAATACTATCTTCATGATTTGCCACAGTCACATAAGCACCAAATTATTAGTCACCTAATGTTTTTCTTTAAAGGTAACATTCCTTTCCAAAGGAAACTTTATCTCACTATTATAAATAGAAAACCAGTATTAACTTGCTACAAATAGAAGGCAACACTAGTGGGGGAAATGTAAACTATTAAATTTAAAAATATTAAAAATGAAATACAAATAAGACATTTCTGGAAACAGGAATAATAAATTAATCAGCACACTTGTAACTTGGTTATTGTAGCAGCCTCAAAAAGAAGGCATTTCATGTTTCCTTTTCTTTAAACCTCCTTTATCCACGCAGTGCCAACTGTCTTATCCAATCCACTGGTACCAGTGGTTGGTCATTTAATGGAAAAGAATAGTTAAAGCAGGAAATAATTAAAAACCATTCATACAAACCTTAAACTTTATTTCAACTTATGTAAATGTACATTCATTTGCCAATTTTAAAATGTAGGATCAAAGCCTTTTCCTTTTTTCTTTTTTTATTTTTTGAGACGGAGTCTCGCTCTGTTGCCAAGGCTGGAGTGCAGTGGTGCGATCTCAGCTCACTGCAAGCTCTGCCTCCCGAGTTCACGCCATTCTCCTGCCTCAGCCTCCCAAGTAGCTGGGACTACAGGCGCCTGCCACCACGCCCGGCTAATTTTTTTTATTTTTAGTAGAGATGGGGTTTCACTGTGTTAGTCAGGATGGTCTCGATCTCCTGACCTCATGATCCGCCCGCCTCGGCCTCCCAAACTGCTGGGATTACAGGCATGAGCCACTGCGCCTGGCTGTTTCTTTAAGTAGGGGTCTGTTGATTGGAGTGTCCCATCAGCTTTCTGGTATAAACTGTCCTAAAATATATCAGCTATGATTTATTTCCTGTTTCCTTAGAGTGGAGCAAGAAACGAAAGACATTCATAATAATCTAGAAGATACTTTCCAAATAATAATTGTTTTGTATACACGTCTAATTTGACAGAATTTTTTTTCAGTGACAAGTCTCTACTCTTATTTCCAAAGCACACACAACTCACTGTTTATAGAAATAACTTTCTTTTTGGTGCTCAGATTTCATCAGTTTTCAGTTTTCATAATATTTAACTAAATCATCTAATTCCAATTCAAGTACAACGGGTTGAGATTATACAATTCAACTGGACGAAGTAGAAGCATTCAGACACACTACAAAATAGCCATGAGACACAAGCATTTAACTCACTGGGTAAAAGTCATGTTCTGCAGAGGAAATGTAGTGAGTCCATTAAATTGAGGTTAGCTAAGTAATTTCAACTTAGTATTGAAACTATTGCTTAGTATCCAAAGTATTGCTTCTCCTCCTTCTTCTTCCTATATTGATTACTTCTTCCAAGATTTGATAATGTTTAGCTTCCTCAACATTACAGGACTTTAGAATTTCTAAATGACCATCCATCTTTACCATGTTTCCTCTAATAGCTCATTAAATGTATTCAGCCAATTTGAGACACTCCAAAGCTTTTATTTTATCATCAAGCATGATATTCTTTCTTGGTACTTTGGTGGCAGCATCTCTAGCACTATCATTCACATGCCTTTTGTTAGTCATTACAGTTCAAAACCATTTATTTAAAACCTTATAAAAGTAACTTCAAAATTGGGGCTACATATAGAGTTTGGCAAAAAGAGTGGAAAACTCTTCATGCATCCTTTTGAGCTGCAGGAAAAATTTCAAATATTTCTGGAAGAAATCTTCAGTTTGTGAGATCATGTGCATGCCTGAGACAGGCTCTGCAAATAAGCATATCTTGACAAATATATCTACTTATGTGAACAACCTAAATTTATCCTGACAAGTTTACGTATTCCACGTACAAAACAAAGTGAACAAGATAAATGTGAAACTAGAACTATGAGATATGTAGGTGAGCTGGATACTTTTTTCCTCTCTGAAAGGACCAGTTAAGGATTCCTCTGAAAAACTCACTGGAAATATTTCGAAAATTGTAAAAGATGCTTGAAATTTTTGAAAATTTTTGCGAGAATTTTCCCAAACTGGATGGCAGCAAAGAGTAGACAAAAAAAATCCCTTCTCCATTTCCAGATGTCCAATAAATAACTTGACACACTCAGAAGAATAGATTCTATAGATGAGCAGACCCCAACCTTTTTGGCACCAGGGACGGATTTAGTGGAAGACAATTTTTCCACAGATGGGGATTTGAGTGTACGTACGGTTTCAGTATGAAACTGTTCCACCTCAGATCATCGGGCATTAGATTCTCTTAAGGAGTGTGCAGCCTAGATCCCTCACATGTGCAGTTCACAACAGGGTTCGCACTCCTATGAGAATCTAATGCGTCCCCAGCAATCTGACAGGAGGTGGAGCTCAGGCAGTAATGCTCTTTCGCCCTGGCAGCTCACCTCCTGCTGTGCAGCCCTGGCCCAGGGGTTGGGGACCCCTGCTATAAACTACTTTAGATGGCTTCTTGGAACAAAAGGGCTTAATTTTTATTAGTGCTTGAATTAACAATAAAGTTGGACAAAGTTGACCATTAACTGTATTATGATCTTTCCAAGTACGCAGACTTGAGAGTTGTGATTCTTGGTGCTTATTAACATCAAAATTTAAAAATGGAATTGTCTTAATGACCTTAAAATCTCATCTTAGGTAGAAACCAAACACTATTCAAGCAAAGGCCCTTTTATTGCTAACTGACCAAAAATAGTATTCTCACTGAGGAACTTATTTCCAAGTGGGCATTTTTCTATATCAAAGGATGCATTGCTACATTCCACTTTTAATTTTTTTAACGTAATAATCATTCATATTTTTTCTATTCTCTTTTATATGTAGCAAACAATACTGGTTTTCTATTTATAACAATACAATGAAGTTCCCTCTGGAAATGGTTTCTAAGTTTAAAAAGTAATATTACTGGCCAGGCATGGTGGCTCACGCCTGAATTCCCAGCACTTTGGGAAGCCGAGGTAGGCGGATCGCTTGAGCCTAGGAGTTCAAGACCAGCCTGGGGCAACATGGTGAAACCTCATCTCTACAAAAAATACAAAAATTATCCAATGTGGTGGTATGCACTTATGGTCCCAGCTACTTGGGAGGCTGAGGTGGGAGGATCACTAGAGCCTGGGAGGTCAAGGCTGCAGCGAGCCATGACCGCATCACTGCACTCCAGCCTGAGTGACAGAGTGAGACCTTGTCTCAAAATAAATAAATAAAATAATAAAGAGTAATATTAAAGAAAAATGTTTAGTAACTTACAGTTTAGGGGTTATAAGCCTATGGCAAATCACTAAAGTAGTATCCAAATTTAAGTATGGGAAACAGTCAGCAGGATAAAGGCAAGTTCCTTAACATGCATGTATTCAAGACTACTCTAATTGGCCTTCCAGCCTCTTTTCTCACCACTTTCCCTCATCACAAAACTTCATATCCTAGCAGTGTTCCACATCTAACATAGCCTGAAATGTCCACTTTAGTATCCATATCTCTACCACCACACCCCTAAAATACCCAACTCACCTCCTTACCCTTTAAAGAGTCTCTACCTTAAAATATTACCTTCCTCCAAGAAACCTTCCCAAACTTGTCTCCTCAGATAGTATTACGTGTTATTAGAGACTTGGTCTTATTTATCTACCAATCTTTCTCTGGTTCCCCACACAGGTATTCAAGAAATATTTTTTGAAAGAATGACTCTGTTAAGTTTTACTCTTATTTAACTACTGAACAATGTTAATTACATTCTACTTTCAACTTTCATCCCTTCAAGTTTCCTTTATAATGTACTCCCCTGCCTGTTCTACTACTACTCCCCTGTAGCTGTTCCTCCAGCCTTTGAAAGTACTTCTGTCCTCCCCAAACATGTGACCCAAGATACTATATTAACTGTCTTTCTGGTTCAATCTCATCCTTGTTGATCTACACCTATTCAAGTTTCTTCAACTACCATCACAAATATAATAGCACTAGCTAAGAACTCATTCCTATACATTTAGTTGTCCACTAGATATTTGTACCCAGATATTCCGTAAGTATTTGTGGTGGGAAGCCTCCAAAATGACCACCAATAGGCTGGGCACTTTGGCTTATGCCTGTAATCCCAGCACTTTGGGAGGCCAAGGTGGGCAGATCACTTGTGCCGAGGAATTTGAGGCCAGCCTAGGCAACATGGCAAAACCCTATCTCTACCAAAAATAAATAAATAAATAAAAATAAAATACAATTAGCTGAGCATGGTGGCATGCCTGTAGTCCCAGCTACTTGGGAGGCTGAGATGAGAGACTGCTTTAGGCTGGGAGATTCAGGCTGCAGTGAGCCATGATCACACCACTGCACCCCAGCCTGAGCAACACAGTGAGATCCTATCTCAAAAAAACAAAATGGGCCCCATTGACTCTTGGTATTCATGCCCTTGTATAGTTTCTTCCCACAGTGAATAGTGCTGACCTGTGTAACCAACAGATTATAGAAATGATGTAGTGTGACTTTTGAGGTCAGCTCACAAAAGTTATAATGGCTTCTACCTCCCTCTCTGGCTAAAATCACTCACTCAGGGCAAAGCCAGCTGCCTCACACATCCCCACAGAGAAGTCCACCTACCAACAGAGGAGCTAGGGCTTCCTACCAACAATCAGCACTCACTTGACCAGCATGAGTAAGTCACCTTGGAAATGGACCCACCAGGTGCAGTTGAGCCTTCAGATTCCTGAAGCCCTTGCTTCTAGTTGCAGACACCTGGACTGCAACCTCATGAGAAACCTTGAAGCAGAACCACCCAGCAAAGTTGCTCACCGATTTCTGATCTTAGTAAACTATGCGTTGATAAATGTTTGGCAGCACTGTCCAAAAGAGCTTTTTGCAATAATTTAAAACGTTCTATGATCAACCAACAGTACTGTAGCCACTGGCTTCATGTGGCTAGTGAATATTTGAAATGTGGCTAGTGTCACTGAGGAACTGAATTTTCAATTTTATTTAATTTCAATTAATTTAAATGTAAATAGCCACATTTGTCTTGTGGTTACCATAGTGGATAGTGCAAGTTTATTGTTTTGGGATAATCTATCATACAACAGATAGTGAATACTTAAACTAAAGATTTAGTAACTTAAACTAAATCTATCCCTTACTATGTCTGTTCTCTTCTCCATCTTCCATCTTATCAGTCAGCCAAACAAAAATAACAAAACAAAACCCTGCCTTCTCCCTTTTACATTCCCTATCTTGCTAAGTATTACCAACCCCTACCCAAGGACACAACCCAGAAAGCCCCACACTTTGACCACACACCTTTCACCCTGCTGGTATTCTTAGTATCTTCTTAATAACTTTGTCTCTTCGCTTTTAAGTATATGTTACAACTTCAGTTTAGGAATTTATTAGTATCATTTTTCATATGGATTACTGAAAAATGTCTCACTATTGGTTTCTCTGCCCCTGAAACTGTTGCTCAAGACTAATCCTTTCTTCACGCTACCACCGAAAGAATCTTTTATAACATAACGCTTACTGCCTCTCTGACTGAAGGCCTTCAGTGGCTCCCTACAATCCAGAGGTTAAAATCCAAACTCCTTAGAATGACTTAAAAGGCCTTCCATAATCTGGTACCACCTATCACTCCAACTTTACCAACTGCTGTGCCCATCCATCATCAACCTCCATGCTCTAGCCATGCTGAACTATATGCAGTTCCTGAAAATGTGAGCTATTTCACCTCTATGTCCTTATTAATATTCCTTATTTTGGTGGCACGGTGGCTTACGCCTGTAATCCCAGCACTTTGGGAGGCTGAGGTGGGCGGATCACTTGAGGTCAGGAGTTCAAGGACAGCCTGGCCAACACAGCAAAACCTTGTCTCTACTAAAAATACAGAAATTAGCCAGCTGCGGTGGCACGTGCTTGTAATTCCAGTATTTTGGGAGGCCGAGGCACAAGAATCCCTTGAACCCAGGAGGTGGAGGTTGCAATGAGGCAAGATCATGCCACTGCAATCCAGCCTGGGTGATGGAGTGAGACTCTGTCTCAAAAAAACCTGATTGTTTCTTTTACCTGAATTGTTCCTCTATCCCTTACCTGTCCAGTAACTACATCCCACATTCCAGGATTCAGCAAATATATTCATCTCCTCTATGAAGCTGTCTGTGATCTGTCCAAAAAGTAATGATTTTTCTCCTTTCAGTCTCCACTGTGCCCTGTGCACTTAGTTCTCTATCTTCCTCTATTAGACTCGAAGTTCCTAAAAGGCAGAAACAGTATCTGATTCAACTCTGACCATATCTGGCAGTATAGGATAGTGTTTAAGAGTGCATGCAGGCTGGGGCCAGGCATGGTGGCTCACACCTGTAATCCCAGTACTTTGGGAGGTTGAGGCAGGCGGATCACTTGAGGTCAGGAATTCAAAACCAGCCACGGCCAACATGGTGAAACCCCGTCTCTACTAAAAATACAAAAATTAGAAGGGCACGGTGGCACATGCCTGCAGTCCCAGCTACTCAGGAGGCTGAGGTTGCAGTGAGCTGAGATCACGCCACTGCACTCCAGCCTGGGCAACAGAGGGTGACTGTCTCAAAAAAAACAAAACAAAACAAAAAAAAAAACAGTGCAGGTTGGGAAGTCAGACAGATTCATACTAAAATCCAAGTTTTACCACTCACTAGGCATGCTACTTAAACTTTCTCTTTCTTCACCTGTGAATACCTCACAGAGTAATTGTGAGAATTAAGTAAAATAATGGGTAGGAAACATTACAGTACCTAGCACATAATTTTTAGTCAATACATGTATTTTGCATGGAGAGATTAATGGTTGGGTTACTACCTCCTAGATAGGTATATAAAGGGTGGGAAAGGTCCAAATAGAAGGTATCATCTTTGGAGTAACTTTTTAGCAAAATACAGAAAAACCAAGTAATCCAGGAAGCCTACTGGGTATCTACTACATGGTCAGAAAATTGCAGGGAATGACAAAAGGGCTCAACCAGAAATAAGTAAAAGGTTGAGGGAGAGCAGAGGACCTAGATGGGGTAACAAAGGAAAGATTAAAAGCTTAGTGATGACAATAAAGACAAAGTGTACATGCAAAAAGATAAGGGGAGGCTGGGCGCAGTGGCTCAGGCCTGTAATCCTAGCTCTTTTGGGAGGCTGAGGCAGGCAGATCACTTGAGGCCAAGAGTTCAAGACTAGCTGGGCAAACATGGTGAAACCCCATCTCTACTTAAAAAAAAATTAGCCAGGTGTGGTGGCGCACACCTGTAATCCTAGCCACCTGGGTGGCTCAGCCACAAGAATCGCTTGAACCCAGGAGGCAGAGATTGCAGTGAGCCAAGATCATGCCACGGCACTCCAGCCTGGGAGACAGAGCAAGACTCGGTCTCAAAAACATAAAAAATTTTAAAAAAGACATGGAGTGAAGGAGAAGTAGAAGGTAAGAGACACAAAAACACAAAAATTTTAAAGTAGAATCCTATCAAATATTGACAAGATTTAAGACGCAGTCATACTGATAGATTGCTCCTAGCCTGAATCACATGAAATTGCAAATGTTGGATTGTTTTTGACTAATAAAATGGATTAGGCCATTTTTCCATAATAAGCTGGATCTTTTTTAAAATAATAAACTCAAAGTCTGAAGGTTGCCTTTTAATATCATTTTACATTCTACCTTTGGCCTTGAATGCCTGAATGTTGTAGGGCTCATGAGTCAAAAAAATACACTCCTATTAAAGTGTCCTGGATATTCCCTGTAACACAACTTAGAAATTACTCCTGTAATTTATCTTAAAATAGATTAAATAACCTTCTTTGGCTGAATATTTTCATTTGGAGTAACATAAAATTGGGTACAGTAGCAAATGTAATGAATCAAGAGTCAAAAAGATCTGGGTTTTTTTATTTTTTATTTTTAAAGAGACAGAGTCTCACTCTGTAGCCCATGCTGAAGTAGACTGACACAATCATAGCTCACTGCAGCCTGGAGCTCCTGGGCTCAAGCAATCCTCCCACCTCAGCCTCCTAAGTAACTAGGACTACAGGTACTGTGCCCCGCTAAAAGACTTGAATTTAAAACCTGGTTCCAAAAAAATTTATAGCTGGGAAATACTGATCTAGTCAATCAATGTCTTTGAATCTAAGTTTTTTTCTCATCTGTAAAATGGGAATAACATTTGCCTTGTACAATTATTATATCTATTAAATATGATGTATATAAAGTACCTAGAATGAGGCTTTACATGTAGAAGCTGGTGTTCATGGTTACAAAATAAGGAAACAGTTGTAAAAGTATAGTAAATGCAAATGTAAACGACTAGTATACAAATAAACATATAAAAGCAACAATAATTTATTGGGTGTGACAAGACTGAAATGCTGCTTGTGTAATAACCTTCTCGTTTAAAAAAATAAATATGGGAAAACAAGCATGGGCAAATGTTTGTCAACTGTGAACCGGTTGCTTTCCCCCTCATTATTTTTGCCAATCTGACTTTTTAACTTCATCAATGCTCAAAGATGACAGAACATCCTCCAGATTAGTCATATCGATCACAGTAAATTTTTCAAGCTGGATAAGCAAAGTTCTCCTTAGTGCTAACAGTGTGAGGAAGCAATGCTAGCTAAAATGAGATATGGTAAATATTTATGCAAAACTAACAGACCTTTACCCCACGGGGAGGCTGCAAGCATGGGAAAAAGCAGCTTCCCAGAACTCAGCATAGCGGATGTCTGTAGATCTCCCTAAGGGCTATAAAGTCTCCACATCTATACGACTCCTTCGAAGAGCACTGCCTTTTGCATGTTAGCCTCTTTGTAAATCCCAAACCTAGTAAAATTCTCAATACAATTCTCTAATCTTTCTCTACCTAGAAACAATACTTTACTCAATAAAAGATTTAGTTGGTGGGCTTCTTTTTTTAAACCAATGATCTGCCTACCTCTCTTCTAGATTTTCTTCTAGATTTTCTGGGGTTACTAAAACAAAGAAAGAAAACAATTTACAACCAAAAAGGGTTAAAAAACAACACACCTAAATATCTCTTAAGCAATTTTTCTCTCCATTTAATAAGATAAAAAGTGACTAAACTGATTCATGTCACAGAATTTCAGAGACAAAAAATCATTTACAAAGAAGAAATGAGATTAAAAGTAACAATGTTTTTCACTTTGGCTCATATGGGGTGTGTGGGACCCCCATGGTCTCTCTCCTTCCTAGTTAGTGTCAAGCTGGAATGTGAGAAGATGGCCAGTGAGAAGACTGAAATGCAGCAACATAACATCATGGTGGGGAGAGTTATGATGTCAGGGGAATGGGAAAGAGGACTTGTTAGTCCTGACTCACCCAACCACTCTGGGGTAGGACTGAGCCCTCTTTGAGCCTTATCTTTCCTATCTGTAATTGGGCCGACTGGGATTACAGGTTCTCTCTCAGAAGCCTCTCCCAGCTCTTGAGAATAGTGAAACAGGAATCTTCCCTCTTCTCACAGGCATCTCTGTGGGGCCAGGGTCTCTAGGCATCTCCTATCTTCTCCTCCCACTGCACCCCTAGTCTCTGAGGAGATCAGAGGCAGCCCCTCCAGGTATGGTCCCGCTTCCTCCTCTGGGCTCCTCCTCTGGGACCCCATGGGGTTCTGGGGCTCTGTATCCTGCTGTGATTCCCCCAGCATCACCCAGCACAGGGTTGGGCATCCACCTCCACCCCAGACATTCCCAATGGGCTTTTCCTTTGCAGTATGAGATATCCTATAGGCTCAAAATTGAAATGCATAAACAGGTAACTGTGTTGCAGATAACAGTGTTCAGAAGGGCGGGTGGAGATCTGGAAGTCAGGGGAGGAACCCAGTGTGGGCAGTCTGGGACAAAGCTTACCCTGAGCATATGGGTCTTGCCTTGAAATCTCTGCAGAGGTCTCAGAGGGCTGATGTGGGAAAAAGGAGACAGATTTCAGATTCTCACATTTTGGAGACATCATTTAGTAGCTGGAGCCATCCAGAAGCAAGGCAGGCAGTGGGTAGGGGCCAGGTATCCCTATCGAGGAGGGCTCATAGCAAAGACTAGACAGCGAGATCAGGGAGGCTGTGGAGGTGACTTGTATTCCAGGAAGGGACTGGATGGATAGTCTTGAGGGTCCCTTTTAGACCACAATCTCAAGTTTTGAGATGGACCGCAAGAGTCTGTTGCTGTTTTGAAGGTTTTCAGACCTAGGACTGGCCAGAAGTTTCTGAGATTGTTCTCATGTCCCTGAACTTGATCCCACGGTTCAGGCTGACTGCACCATTCCAAGATGGACCTCAAGATTCTGCGACTGTGATAATTGATCCAATGGTATAATACCGGGCACAAGGTCCTGGGACTTCCCAAGATTCTGAGTTTCGCATGAAGGTTCTGAGACAGACCTCAAGTTCTAAGATTGATGACCCTGTATGCTGAGATGTGTCCCAAGGTTCTGAGGCTGTCCCCAAGCTTTTGAGTGTGATCTGAAGGTTCTGAGATAGACCAAAACTTCTGAAATTGACTCCAGTGGTTCAACCTGAAATCATGAGATTAATTGATGGTTCCTAAAGGGATGAGGAGGTCCTGAGATTCTGAGCTTGCTGGACTCTTAGATTCTGTCCACCAGAATATTAGAACCAATAGGTAGAGCCTTGGGTCAGGGATTCCAGGTGAGTGGGAAGAAGAAGGGGAATGGGCTGGGAGTACAGGGCGCCTGGGGTGCTGACCCTGGCATGCTTTCCCAGATGTGTGTGGGCTATGTTGGTTCTGATATAGGCAGGAAGAGGCTTATCTGCCCAGAGCACTGTGTGGTCCCACAAGTACACGTAACAGATCCCCTTATGGGGAGAATGACAATAGGTAGGGCCCAGGCCCTGGGAAACTGGTTCCACCCTCCTGAGCATGGGAGACACAAACCCCAGCCAGGCAAACAAAGCACGCCTGTAACTCAGGCAGAGGCAAAGCACAGGGCCATTGCCACACACCCCTTTCCCCACCCACACGGCGAAAAGAAAAAAAACACAAGTGTTTTAAGGCTCAGAAGATGACTCTATAGCTATAAAAGATAAAACCTTTTTATCTTTAAATGGCAGAAAATATAAACTAAATGATAAAGATAACACTATAACAACGCAAATAAAAATATTATCTCCACTGCCACTTAAACACACGCAGATTCTTGATAAGAAAAAACTGCAACCCAACTTACTTACATCATTTATGCTTCCAAAGGCCTGATTATCTACTATTAATATATTACATATATGAGATAGGCCTTAAACTTCTTAAAAGGACTTTAAAATAATTATGATGGAAAATGATCTATAAGCAACACAGATGAGGCATCAAAAAAGTTCAATGTTTACAGATGTGTATATATTTAAAGCAACTAATAACAAACCTAAACACAATGTTTAGGTTCACTCTTTAGAGCAAATGAGACAAAATCCCTCATGTCAGAAATCTGGAAAAGAAAATAGGGAAAACAGGTGATTAAGAGTACAAAGGATAAGATGTAGTTATTAAATTTTAATGTGAAGGCAACTCTTTAATGGTATTGTTGAAGACAAAATCTATTTTCTGGGTTTCATCCAATTGATTGATCTAGATGAGCCAATAACCACAAACGACTGTGACCAGTAGTTTCAAAAAAGCGAGCATCGGAGTAATAATCCCAAGTCTTCTGTTTAGAAACTATGTCAGCTTGGGTATTAGTGAACCTCTCAGAGGCTCATTTTTCCCAGTTTTAAAACAGGGACAACAGTATTTAGCTTAGTTGAAAGGTTAAAAAAGACAATGCACAGGAAGTACCTAAAACAGTGAGCAGTACTTAATATGTACTCAATAAATGTAACATCCGGCCGGGCGCAGTGGCTCATGCCTGGAATCCCAGTATTTTGGGAGGCCGAGGCGGGCAGATCATCTGAGGTCAGGAGTTCGAGACCAGCCTGGCCAACATGGTGAAACCCCGTCTCTACTAAAAATACAAAAATTAGACGGGCGTGGTGGCGGGTGCCTATAATCCCAGCTAATCAGGAGGCTGAGGCAGGAGAATTTCTTGAACCAGGGAGGTGGAGGTTCAAGTGAGCCAAGACCATGCCACTGCACTCCAGCCTCCAGCCTGGGCAACAGAGCGAGACTTTGTCTCAAAAAAAAAAAAAAAAAAAAAAAAAATATATATATATATATATATATATATATATATATATATATATATATATTCCTTTCCTACATCCCAAGTATCTTGATAGGCCTAAATTTCACCTTTTTTTTTTTTTTTTTTTTTTTGAGACGGAGTCTTGCTCTGTTGCCCAGGCTGCAGTAGGGTGATCTCGGCTCACTGCAAGCTCCGCCTCCCGGGTTCATGCCATTCTCCTCAGTCTCCCGAGTAGCTGGGACTACAGGCGCCTGCTACCACACCCAGGTAATTTTTTTTGTATTTTTAGTAGAGACGGGGTTTCACCGTGTTAGCCAGAATGGTCTCGATTTCCTGACCTTGTGATCCGCCCGCCTCAGCCTCCCAAAGTGCTGGGATTATAGGCGTGAGTCACCGCACCCGGCCAATTTCACCCATTTTTAAAAATGCTCTTTGTCACCTACATCACATCTTGTCATCTTTCAAAGTCTAAAATATTAGAGCAACAAGTAATCATGATTTAAACACTGTCTTACTAATCAAACTACTGCAGTTTCCAGAATCCTTCTCTGACCAAAAGATCATCATATTTATCACATTTTCACTGGATGCACAAAGTATATATAGGCTTAATCAGTTGCTATTTCCAAGAGACTGATAATGAGTAAGAGGTTCTCCTTCAAGTAGTGACTAAAACAATGCCCAATCCATAAAATGTTACTTCCTCTGTTCAAAAGCAATGAACATCTAAAACTTCTTAGATTCCAACTTACACCAATGTCTTTTCCATTTTGGTCTAAATAGTTCACTGAAATATAACTAAACTGAAAAATAAAATAAAAAGGAAAACATAAAAAGACAGTATGTGATAGAAAGTAACCACATTTTTAAAATTTGGAAATAAGATCAATTTAATCATTATTATTTCATTCTACAACTTCCCCCAAATACACATACTTCTCACTTTTTTTTTTTTTTTGAGACGGAGTCTTGCTCTGTCACCCAGGCTGGAGTGCAGTGGCGTGATCTCAGCTCACTGCAAGCACTGCCTCCCAGGTTCAAGCCATTCTCCTGCCTCAGCCTCCCCAGCAGCTGGGACTACAGGTGCCCACCACCATACTCGGCTAATTTTTCGTATTTTTAGTAGAAATGGGGTTTCACCGTGTTAGCCAGGATGGTCTCGATCTCCTGACCTCATGATCCGCCCACCTCGGCCTCCCAAAGTGCTGGGATTACAAGCGTGAGCCACCGCGCCTGCCACATACTTCTCACTTTAATCTTCAGCACAGATGAATAAATATCACTCTATCATGTAAATTTCTTCATTTTAAGATATAATTCAGCAGGTAGCAAGAGCTCAAAATAACTGCCAAGACAATGACCTACACAGAACAGGCATTCAATATTTACTGAATAAATAAACAAACTGATGTTAATAAATACAGAACTGGACAAATTCTGAGTGATCGAAGGCAGATTTAAAAGTATACTGCCAATCCAAACTAACCCATTTTGTGAAGAGATGTTCCACGGTCTGAATTGAAATAACTCTTAAATCTATTCCTCACTCGCAAACGCATTTAATTCTAACAATAGCCTGAAATATAAAAGATAAGGAATATTATCACAGCAAGGGAAAAAAACTATCTTAGCCACAGCTGCTAAAAATACATATGGATTCAAAAAGATCTTACAAGCACAGATGAAAGTTCTAGCAAAACCTAGCTAATTCCTGAAGTTTAAACAATAACAGCTACTATAACTTACTGAGCTCTCTCTTACGATGTGCTAGGTACTCACACACACTCTCATTTAATCGTCACGACAATTCTGCAAAGTAGGTATTCTTCCCATTTTTACAGATGAAAAAATTAAACTGCTGATCAGAGAGGTAAATTTGCCCAAGGTCTCCCAGCTAGTAACAGAACAAATGCAACACACCAAAACCCAGGCTCTTTTCTCTATATCATGCTCCTTCAGTTCCCTTCCACTGCTCCTCTCTTACAAGGGCTAAAATATATAAATAAATACATACACACACATACACACACACATAATTAAGGGCTGAGATATCTTTTCCTTTAAAAGCTACTTTTTATCTCTGACAAAAAATGATAGCTTCAAAAAAAAAGTCGGCCAGGGAGTCAAAATTAATATAATTACTATTACATATCCATATAATATTTGACTTACTTTCTATTTTTGGAAACAGAATTGTACCTGGTTCCTTTTAAGCTATAATTGTATGGTGAGAAGCTTCTCCTTTTTTACTGTTCACATCCAGGCAACACACCCAATTTAACTTTATACACTGTCTCAAGAATTCTAATCATGCAGGGCTTCCTGGTAAATACAGTAACTACTATAGAGACCTCAAACATTCCCCCAAATTGTGCAACTAACAATTGCAACTAAAATACAACCAAGGTACAAGTATATTATCCTAACAAAGGTACACATTGGGTATCCCTTACCCAAAATGCTTGGGGCCAGAAGTGTTTCATTTTGAATTTTTTTGTGTTTTGGAACATTTACATATACATAGTAAGATATCTTGGGAATGGGACCCAAGTCTAAACACAGAATTCATTAATGTTTCACGTACACTCTATATGCACAGCCTGAAGGTAATTTTTTATTATTATTTTTTTTGAGACGGTGTTTTGCTCTTGTTTTCCAGGCTGGAGTGCAGTGGCATGATCTTGGCTCGCTTGAACCTCCACCTCCCTGGTTCAAGCGATTCTCCTGCCTCAGCCTCCCGAGTAGCTGGAATTACAGGCATGTGCCACCATGCCCAGCTAATTTTGTATTTTTAGTAGAGATGGGGTTTCTCCATGTTGTTCAGGCTGGTCTCAAACTCCCAACCTCAGGTGATCCGCCTGCCTCGACTTCCCAAAGTGCTGGGATTACAGGCTTGAGCCACCATGCCTGGCCCCCGCCTAACGGTAATTTTATACACTACTGTAAATAATTTTGTGCATGAAACAAAGTTTGTATTATGTACTTACGTGTAGAATTTTCCACCTGTGGCACATGGCACCCAAAAAGTTTCAGATTTTGAAGCATTTCTGATTTTGGATTTTTGGATTAGAGCTACTCGACCCATACTGACAAACTATTACCTCTGAAACTAATGTTCTCAATTGTGATACAACAACAGAAAAACAGTATGAATCATGGCAAGTCAAACTTATTCTTCTTGGGCAAATTTTTATTTATTTATATTTTAAATAGACTATATTGTCACAAGTAACCAAAACCAGAATCAACTCCACTAATTCTGTAAAACTGGTTTTTCCTTCCCAAGAAAAACTCAAAATTAAGTAATTTTATTTACAAGCCAATGATAGCTACTTTTCTACTGTAGTTCCTACATGGACTCTGAAATGAGACTAGCAATATAATGTAATTAGAAAAAACTAAAGCTAACTGGATATCTATAAAGACTACTTTAATATAAGTGTCTCTGTACACAATGAAAGAAGCTAGTTAAGGAAACAAAATTAATTTGATAGTGGTACTATACTAAAATATTTCCATCATGTTATATACAATAATTATTTATTTCCTAATCTGCACAAATCCTCTTCTGCCACCTCATTGTCACCTGAAAATCTACAAACTGAAGAGATTATATCTGTTTATTTTGTGTCCCACTGTTTATTACCTAACAATCCCCCCAAAAAAAGAATGTCCTGTGAAACGGTAATCCTAGATCCATAACAGAATGTCTCATATTCCCTACAACCATGGAAATGACAAACTTACTGGTTATACTGAATGCTCATAAAATCTACGACATCTTGAATCAAAATGGAGGCTTTCAGGCCTTCAAGACAAACTAACCTGAGCAGCTGAAATTGGCATTAATGATTTCTAAACTAAAATTAGATAGATGAATTTCTTTACTTTTATATCATCTTAGAGATCATCTTAAAGATATGATAGATCCTTTCTCCACAGAGCAAATGGCATGGGTGAACACAGGATTTTTATAAATGATTCTGATGTTCTTCTCCAAAGAAAATAACATCACTGAGAGCTCCCAGAAGACTTGGAGCCATTAAGAGCTGGGATTCCTTTCAACTGGCATCATTCCAACAGAGGCTCAGTGAGAAATGAAACCTCTGCAAATCAAATCTGTTGCAATGTTATTTTTTCCAGAGGTTAATTACCTGCTTCTGCTACACACACACACACACACACACACACACACACACACAGACAGAGAGAGAGAGAGAGAGAGAAACAGAGAGAGACAGAGAGAAAGAAAGAAAGAAAAAGAAAGAGAAAGAAAGAAAGAAAGAAAGGAAGGAAGGAAGGAAGGAAGGAAGGAAGGAAGGAAGGAAGGAAGGAAGGAAAGAAAGAAAGAAAGGGAGAGGCTGGAAAAGTAGATGGCATTCTGTTGTAAGCCTCCTCCAGAAATACTCAAAATGAAATCAAAACAAGTTCAGGCTGTCAAATTCTAGATACGCTCTATGAACGTGCTCTGCTGCTTGACACCTGTCAGTCTATATAGTACTATTACCTCACCCTATCAGACAGTAATAATTTACTATGAGAAGTCACACGTTCAGACTTTATCTCTTAAAAATACTTAGTGAAATACTTGTAAGTGAAATTATGATATCCAAAAACTGCTTCAAAATAATCTAGTGAGAAGGGGGGAAAGAAAACAGATAAACCAAGATTGTCCGTACATTAACTGCTGGAGTAATAAAGGGAACAAGGGAGGTTCATCATACCATTCTCTGTACTTCTGTTTATGTTTGAATTTCCCACTAAAAAAAAAGAAACTTTCATAGACTCCAAATAACCCATTTAACAAGCATTTACTGAACTTGTTGATGTAGACTATATTATTTATTGTTCCAAATTATTTAACCTCCACTTTCCTTAAGAGGATTATACAGCCTTATCTGTTATCATGCAACTTGCAATGCCACCTGTGGAAGGACTATACATCCTTACCCCACTGACAGTGAGCTCTGACCATATGACTTGCTTTGGCCACTGACATGTGAGCTGATGTGACATACAACATGACTGAGTGAAAGCTTTAAGAGCCATTGTATGTCTGCATCTGTTTTCTTGCTCTCTCCCTCATCCACAATAATGGCACAGCCCAGACAGGGGATGCTCCTTGAGCCAGGGTTCCAAAATAAGAAACGTGAAGCAATGCTGCAGTCAATCCACAGCTGACAAGGTGTAGCATAAGCAAGAAGAAAAGCAGTGTTGTAAGCCACTGAAATTTGATAGTGTTGCTACAGCAGCATAACCTAGCAAAAGAAGACAGATACACTTATTATGGAGTAGGTGCAAAAAATAAAATTATAGGCTGGTATATATTTTTAAATGTTTCAGAAGATAAACCAAAAAAATTAACTATTGTTACCTATGAGGAGAAGGTATGAAAACTAACAGGTGTGTAGGAATACTTTTTTTTATACCATTTTATATGATTTGAATTTTCTGTGTGTGTATGCGTGTGTGCGTTTAACCTGAGCAGCAACATCTGGGTAGTTGGATCATTTGGGCCATTTATTTTTCTTCCTTCTGCTTTTCAGTATTAAAAAATAAAAATATAATAAGGCTACCGATAATTACTTAAAAATGAATAAGAACTATTCTTATACCCTTGAAGAACTCACGTATTAGCTAACAATTTAGCTTTAAATAAAGCCTTCCCCCATTCATTGTTAATTTTTTTAACGTCCAAGGCTAAATACTGTATATATATATATATTTAGGAGTATGACATACGCCATTTCGTTTTTTTTTTTTTTTTTTTTGAGACGGAGTCTCGCTCTGTGCCCAGGCTGGAGTGCAGTGGCGCGATCTCGGCTCACTGCAAGCTCCACCTCCTGGGTTCATGCCATTCTCCTGCCTCAGCCTCCCCAGCAGCTGGGACTACAGGCACCCGCCACCACACTCGGCTAATTTTTTCTATTTTTAGCAGAGACGGGGTTTCACCGTGTTAGCCAGAATGGTCTTGATCTCCTGACCTCCTGAACCGCCCACCTCGGTCTCCCAAAGTGCTGGGATTACAGGCGTGAGCCACTACGCCCGGCCTGTTATATGCATTTCTATCAGTTTGCTCACTTTCAGGTTTCAGCAAAGCAATATAGTGTTTTGTATATGGATGGTACAGTTACTAATCTCAAAGGAAATTCTCACAATTTCATTATTTTAGTATGCCAGTTAAATTGGCAAAGAGGTTTGCTCTAGTTACAGTTGTTCAAGGGAGAGAATACAGTCATGGGTTCTTAGTTTCTGTTTCTGGATGGGCCAGTAAAGCCCCTTCCTCATCCCTCTTTCCGTTTTATCACTAGAGACAGAAACTAAAAACCATGGCTTCAGGCTGCTGAAAGCCTAAAACAAAACAAAACAGAAGAACAACAGCAAAATAAGGCAGGTTGGACAAGCTTGCTAGGTGTTAAGTTTGGTAAATATGCCTTAACCAGTACTAGAGCAAGGAATCTATTAAGGAAACTCTTCTAGGGTAAAATCATAAAGGAGCATTGAAAGAAAGGAAAAAAAGGGGAAAAATTCTAATCATGACTCTTGTGGTGATAAAACAACACTTGAATGGTTACAGAAATCAAGTTTAATAGAGTAACACTTTACTACATGAACAAGTTTTAACTTCAAGAGAGCAATATCTGAACATAGCAGTAACCTGCAAATGACTAAGAACATGTCTGTACTTTTCATCCTAAGATCTCAAAGCACTTCACAAACATTCATTTAACTCTCATATCACCTGAGAAGTAGTGATATAATAATACATCATTATAACCATCTATCCTGCCAATACAAAATATTTAAATACCTCTTCAGCAGCACTTGCCCTAAGAAGGTCTTGCTAAACAGCCAATAAAACAGGAAATAGGCTGACAGTGCATATGCCACCAACAATCTCTGAAAAGATCAGACCTTCACCCACAAGAACCACTTCCTCTCAGTAAACCACAGAGACTGTACTGGGCAAACCACAACATATCGGCTTGTGTCTGGAACATAGGCAGATAACCCATCTAAAATCTATGGAAGGGTATGTCTAAGCACCTTCACAGGATTTCTTGTGTTAGCAAGTGTATTTGGGGTATCTGTTACTCTTCTGGATAACATATAGCCACTTTCTGCATTACAAGATCAATTTCAGGTATCATTCCTTCAGAGGCTGATGAAGTCTCCAGTTTTTTTTTTTTTTTTTTTTTTTTTTTTTGAGACGGAGTCTTGCTCTGTCATCCAGGTAGGAGTGCAGTGGTGCAATCTTGGCTAACTGCAACCTCCGCCTCCCGGGTTCAAGTGATTCTCCTGTCTTAGCCTCCCGAGTAGCTGGGATTACAGGCATGTGCCACCTGGTCCGGCTCATTTTTGTATTTTTAATAGAGACAGGGTTTCACCATGCTGACCAGGCTAGTCTTGAACTCTTGACCTCAAGTGATCCGCCCACCTCAGCCTTCCAAAGTGCTGGGATTTACAGGCATGAGCCACCGCGCCTGGCCAGTTTTTCTACAACAAAATAATCTACATTTTTTTGAATCCATAAAAGATCTACAAAGTCCTCTTTGATCTTTTGAGTATATGAATGTAAAATCAACATTTATATGTAATATTTGACAAAAACTGTAGTATCAGAGTGTACCTTTAAATGACTCTAATGTGTTATATAACACCAAAAGAAAAAGCAGTGTGACAAGCAGCTAATTGAAAGCATTAACTAAAACCAGGCTCTCTTATATAGTTCCAATTTCTGCATGAATTGTTACTTGCAGTCCAAGACAGGAAACCTACTTTTCATTGGCCAGTAGATTTGCTTGTCTCTAGACACTGAGAAGCCACCCAGGCCTGTCATGTGACTGTGATCTCAAAAACCAGGACTCAGCATTTGAATTAGTAAAAGATCCTGTTTCGGTATGAATCTAAACTGCATTGGTGCATGCTAATTCAAGAGGTAAAGTTAGTGTATTTTTTCTTTTACTAAAAGTCGACACTATATACTCATGCAATTTAGGCACAGCCTCTGACCAGGCACTAGCTTCATAGGCTTCTATTGGAGTTAGAAGCTGTCTTATAGCGGTCTTCCCTATATGACTATCTTGATGATTCCAGATATTCTAAGTTGAAAAAGTAAAATGCTCTAAATTTGGCATGTTTGCAAATTTTAGTATTACCAAAATACAAAATATTAATATTAGCAAAATACAAAACAAGGACATCTATCTCAATAATTTGAAACTAAAATAGTACTAAAGAAAATATGCTAATAAAGTATTCAAAAGGTCTACAGTCTTACAGATTTTATAATAATCTAAATATGCACTTTTTCTGTTACACTGTCTTGTCATTAACAATTCTTGTAAATACAACAGCAAGAAAGTAAAATATTTCAATTTTCACAATATCCATTTTACTGAAAAAAAAAATACTGCTAAGCATTGTTATTTCACTAACATGTGGAAATAAGAGGAGACAAAACAATAAGGTAAAAATAAACCAAACATCGAGGAATGTTTTGACCTACAATTTAAGATAACGAACTGAAAAACCACTGGAAAAAATAAGAAACAACTTCCTGATGTATTTCATCATATTGCAACAAGATGATTTTCCATCAAAGGTGGCTAACATTATTTCTATACCCTACCCTTTTGTCATAGAATTGATAACATTTGTTACATTGAGGGTACTCATATTTGAAAGAATCGCTTTGTAAAAAAGCCTTTTAGAACATGAGTAATTGCTTAATTAGTTGATTTGGTAATCATGCTGTTTGTATAAATTTGTTTCATTTGACTGTGACATATCTCATATCCATCCTAAAGACTATCTAAAATAAAAGTGAATCAAAATGACCTTGAGAATCTCTTTACCCATATTTTTGCAGTAGGAGAGCAACTGAGAAAAAGCTAATGAAATATTAAGATAAGCTGATTTTTAGACAATGGATCAACAGAAAGCATACAGCTTGGCTAAGCAAAGAGTAAGGGAAGGGGACCGGAAAGGATAATGAATAACCGTCTGAAACATTTAGAATCATACAAACATAAAATGGGAGGAGAGCATTATTTAGCCTGGTACAGCAAGTACATACAAGTAACAGGACAACTTAAAAGAAAAGTTAGACGTAAAGATCAGGAAAAACTTCCTGACAGCAAGATCTATCAGACTGTGCTTCAGTCTCCTGAGGAAGTGACAAAAGCTTTATCCTCAAGAGATATTTAAAATTAGAATGGGTAAGGTACTAGAAACTATGCTGTAAGAGAAAAATCCAACTGACTTCATCAAGCTGGAGAGTTACTAAAGGAAAATAGCACAGAAAAATACAGTACAAAGAAAGACAATAATTTAAAATGAAAAAAAACAATGGGGGACTTGAGAGCCAGAAAATCTAGGTTAAAATCTTGGGTCTGCCCTTTCTAGTTTTATAATCTTGACTTAAAATCTTGACTTAAACTGTATGAATTAGCTTAAAGTGTAAATGACAGAAGCATGATCTGCCCTGTACTGAACTGAAAATATTGTAAATGTTAAAGAATTATACTACCACAGGATATCATTACCTACATGATGGTATTTTACTCAAAAGAAGGCAAAAATATAATTTTGTTGATTTAAAAATTTTAACTCACATGGCACTATTTTGAAAACCTGTAATTATTATAAGGGAAAGGAGCATGTCTTCAAATAAAGCTCAGGAACATCATCAAAACCAAGTTTTAACAGAAAAGACCAAAAGAAGTTAAGCTACTATTCTTGAAAATGTGTCATGGTCAATTTCTAGGAAACAAGCAAGTATATAAGAAACATTTCTAATAATGTCAGACAACCATGATGCAAAAGAGTCCCTTCAATTACCTCTGGGAACCAGTATGTTATCTTGCTGTTTCTGTGACCCGTATCAGTTTGGGAAGCAATTCATACCCACCACTGGATGACATTTAGAAGAGGCAACCACATATGTACAATGAAATATTTTCCAACTGTTTTCCCTGGAATCGCAATGCTCCACAGAAACATATGTAAAATTCACCATTTATGGATTCCATGAATGTTTGCCTCAAATTTCATTTTTTAAACTGAAAACTCAAACTTAGTTAAAAAACAACAACAGCAACAACAAAAAAAACCACTGGGCTCGGTGGCTCAAGCCTGTAATCCCGGCACTTTGGGAGGCCGAGACGGGTGGATCACCTAAGGTCAGGAGTTCAAGACCAGCCTGGCCAATATGGTGAAACCCCGTCTCTACTAAAAATACAAAAATTAGCCAGGCGTGGTGGTGGGTGCCTGTAATCCCAGCTACTCAGGAGGCTGAGGCAGGAGAACCGCTTGAACCTGGGAGGCGGAGGTTGCAGTGAGGGGATCACGCCACTGCACTCCACCGTGGGTGACAGAGCAAGACTCAAAAAAGAAAAAAACCTACATGTTAACTCGATGGTATATACATGTTAACAACCGGAAACCACCAATGTGTTAAGTGGTATTCCAAGGTTAACATATTTTTGTAATGATTTCAAATAAAGCTTCTCTTGTCACCTTACTGAATATGAACATCATATAAATGTACCATTAATCAGGAAGACTACAACACTGTACTTTCAAAAAAAGTTACTTTAGATTCTGCATGTTGACTCATGTAAAACTGTACAAGTGAATGTACTATTGCATACCTTTATGACTCAAGATTTTATACTGAACTAAAAAGGCAAAGATAAAACTGAATACAAAACTAACACTGTGATCTTTGGCCCCCATTTCAATTTTGTATTTATGGACTGGCTGACTTTACAAGAAAAGGTTACAAATAATTTCACCTTGCCGAGAGATGACTCATGCAACGTTGAAAATAACATATAAACATGAGTAGCTCTTTTTTTTTTAATCAAAACCATTATACAGCAATTTTGACAGAAAAAGTATCACTAATGAAAAGTATCATTAATTACTGGGTACAGGCATATAAAGTCACAGGTTTCCACACTCACTTTAAAAATCTGCTTAAGTTAAACAGCTCAAAGCTGAATTCAGTGCTTTAAAAAAATTGTATCAAAAACCTGTCTTTATCTATAAATCAAAAACTACAAAATTCATAAGCCCTAGCCAAAACAAAAGTCCATTTATTTCAAGGAAGAACCCTATAACTTTCCTACCTGTACTGTCCCTGAAAATTCAATGTTATAGACACTGGCCTGAAATCATTTACTGAGTCTACTAAAAGGGCATTCTCTCCTGTCTACCTCTCAGAAGAAATTCCAATTGCTATAGGACCCCTAAATTCTCAGGGATACAAGAAAGACATGTAGGAGGATTGGAAACGATTAGGATGTATTTTAAGACTGAATGCAGCAATCAATGCAGACTAAAAAGCAGCAATCAGACATTTCTACACTTGTCAAGTGCTCATTCTAAACGATGAAAACTACAGACTCCAGGGCTCATAAATTGCTTACCATTTTTTTTAAAGCTGTTTGGATATACTACATAGAAGTAATAGCTACCATGAACATAGTTTGAGTTTAAAGTCTTTTAAAAAGTTTGAGTTTTAGGTTTTAAGGGGTGCGGACTGGGGAGTAAAAGATGAAGGGAAAGAGAAGAGAGCAAGTTAATGTGTTGATTTAACTGCAAAATAATAACAGGATGTAACAGAGTTCTGAGTATCCAAAGTGACCAATCAGAGCCTAAACATAGCTGAATTCCATCCCAGCCCCAGCACGTCCCTAACACAAGAATAAAACCCTTATCTTGTTCAGCCATGTGTCGCCTGCCACAAACTGCAAAACAGAACAACGCCCAAAACCAGCTAGTCTGATTTCAACTGAGGACAGACAGACTCTGTAGTCAGAAGCACCACAATGAAAGAACTCTAACTCACACAGCTGGCCTGGTGGTTCTGCACACTCTACGAAACAAAGCCATACCACATACAGCACTTCAAACTTGAAAGGATCTCTATCTAAAAAGCTACACTGGTGCTGTTAATTTTCCAACAGTTCTAGAGTCAGCAAAATATACCTACAGTAAGAGTTAGACACTACGAAA
The DNA here is from genome assembly GCF_000001405.40 of Homo sapiens. Lineage (NCBI taxonomy): Eukaryota > Metazoa > Chordata > Mammalia > Primates > Hominidae > Homo > Homo sapiens. Next base: position 120,339,448 of record NC_000011.10, on the reverse strand, counting down.
AAAGGATGAGGTAGGGCTGACAGAAAGCTAGAAACTATTATATACTCGTAACTTTGTTAAGACACCTTGGCAGAGAAATAATACTAAACCAGTACCTCCAGATTTCACCCCAACATATATTCATATTAGGAACAACTACTCTCTTAACAGCAAATGGATGCTTTATATTTACAAAATATATTTAAATGTGGTCAAATAAGAATAATTCTTAATAAAAAAAGACCCTAGTAAAAAAAAATCCTACGAAACAGGTCTCAGCAGTGCTTATTAATTGGCTTTCCAAGGTCTTTTCTTTAAAAAAAAAAAATGTAAAATTAGGCAGCAGCACCTGAACCAGTTCAAAAAACATTAATGCCCAAACCAATTTGCAGATTAATCTTACAATATTCATTTTGTAATCTCTTGTGCCTGCACAGTGCCTGGCCAAAAAAAAAAAAAAAAAAGAAAAAGAAAAGAAACAGGCTTTCAGTAATTTCATATTTATTGAATGTTTATATGCCATCTACGTTATAAAGAGGATACAAATTCCAAGATTCTATTTCCAAGATAACGAGAAGACAAGGAAAATCCCTGAGAAGCAATGCTGAAGAAAAACCATTACTTGAGGGCTTTTCACTCACTTGTGTGTGGAATGAGTCCGTTCTGTTTCCATAAATTAAACACCTCAGCATCGCAATGAAAACCAACATTACATTAGTTCCTAGCAAGACTTTTGTTTACAGGCTCAACAGAAAGAGCGAGAATTGAATGAAGCAGGAAAACAATTATCCCCACACCCGTAAAAGTGATTTCTCAGAAGCAAAACACCCTGAAAGGAAAAAAATGGGGATAACCAGAAGAAAGTAAGATAAGCATTGTCAATACTTATCTTAAGTGTATTCTTGGAAAAGTTAAAAATTATTTCATTGAAAATGAAAACCCACTTTGAAAAATACACAAAGAGTAAATATAAATACTTTAAATATTTAACAGACTCTTTTAAGTGAACATTCATGTGATGCTGGAAAGCATCAACAGGAAGAGGAAGTTCTGTTTCTGGAGTAGCTGTTATGGTATGATAATGGAATTTGGCCCTTTTAAAATCAACAAATGAGTCTTACAATTGGGTAAAACTCTTATTAGGAAATTAAGACTACTTTGTGCAGAAGCACTATTGTTGCACTTTTCATCAAAGAGCTTTGGCCCTCTAATTCAGTTACTTGATCTATTTTTTCACGGTGTAATAATTCGAAGACTGACTTAAAAATAAAGCAAGCTGACAAATTTGGGACTAGCATGCAGTGTCATAATTAAATTGAGAATGAAATGTGGTCAAGGAATCAATATGCTTTTTATCCCTTACCCTATAAACAAGAGTAACTTAGGATAAGCAAACTGCACTTCAACCACACATGGTCTAGCTCAATTCGCCACCCACCACCATGCAACACTGGTAGGTGCTATAAAGGACAGACACAGAACTCAACAAATTCAGCTGCGCGCTTACACTATGCTTACGGCTTATATCTCTTAAACGCCAAGTGTTTCTGGAAGACGAAATATTTAAATACAAGAATTAAAAGCAAACCCCATGATTTACCCTCATTTCTTCAGCTCCTGGACATTGCTTCCAGCAAGAACCTGTGATTTACTGGTAATGTCAACATTCTGGAAAGTTATTAGATAATAATTAAACACCGTGCAGGTCAACATCTGAAAGAGATCAAGTTCCCAGATCACCATGCAGTAGGCTCAACATTAAGTTCACAGGTAGAAATTCCTAAAATGTAATTGTCTTGAGAATCTACTGCAGGACACGGCTAAAGCTGATAAATAATACACCAATACCGAGCCGACTTCAGGCACCGACCTTCACCTAAAATGACCTTCTCCTCTGATTTCCAGACGAGTACACAATCCTAATGCACACTACAGGCGGAAAACCACAATCATGGTTTTGCCTCCCCCTTCTCTGAGAATCGGAAGGGAAGTTTCTCTCCGGAAAAATTACATTTCCAAAAGCCAATCAACTGGATAACTCGGCAGCAACCCCAGGCTAACTGCACAGCTCCGAAACAACCCTCTTTCCTCTGCCTGTCAACTTCGCTGGCCAAAGGCAATCTGCAATCACCGACTCCCCTGCTAGGTCGGGCCCGATTCCGGGAGGCCGAACGAAGGAGGAATTCATACCAACCTGTCGGTGATAGTAGACTGTGTGCCACTCATTGGGGCCCTTGGCGAGAGGTCCTCCTTTTATCCAACTTGCATTTTACAGTAACACCTCCTCCCCACCCCCAGTGCTCTGGGATCAGGCCCAACTCCGTCAGGGACACAAAAGTCCAACTCAAAACTCCATTCAGTCATCTAGACCATCCGACTGTAAGGGGTCAACGGATGCGGCTTGGAGCAAAACAAGTTATCTCCCAAAACGAACTGAGAAAGCCAGGGAGCGAGTCAGTCCAGAGTGAGTCGAGCTAGAGAGAAATCCTCCAGAAGGCACAAGGATAAACTTCCTCAGAGAGGGAAATCCGCGCGCAGTGGGAAGGGGACCCGGGACTCCCGCCGGGGCTGGGGCGGGATCAGCTCACGGACGGGTGTCGGCTCCTCCTCCGGAGTCTCGGGGCCTCGAACTCCCCGCCGCGGCAAGGGCCGGGGCCCTCCCTCCCGGCTCTCTATCTGGGGCTGCCGGCTGCTCGTGGCCGCAGCGTTGGCCGCGTCTCCGGCCGTCCCGCGCCGGGCTCGCGCGATTCCATGTCCCGGGCCCGGGGCTCCTTCTGTGCTCGCCGCCCTCACCAGGCTCCCGGTGCTGGGACGAGCCGCTGGCGCCGGCGGAGAGGTCCCGCGGCCCGAGGTGACAGGGACCCGGGTCTCTCAGCGCCGCGGACTGCTCCCCATCCCTTTGAGGCCCGGACTCTTCCGCAATCGCCAGAGGCGGCGGCTCCTCCCCGACGCTCCCCGCGAGGGGCGGGAGATGCCCGTCCGGCCCGGCCTGGAAGCCCTGGTCCGGGAGGCGGAGGCGGCGGCGTCTCCCGGCGCAGGGCCGGCTCGCCGGGTTCTGGAGGCCCTCGCGGGCGCGCGCGCAGACAGCGGAGGAGGCCGGCGGCCGTGGGGGCCGCGCAACCGCGGGCGCGCGCGCGGGTTCCGGTTCCGGTTCTGGTTTCCCGGCCCTGGCCGCGTCCGGCGCGAGCTCGCGCTTCCCGTCCCCCGCCGACTTTATGGCCCCCTCCCCTCTGACTTCGGGAAGCCGCCTCACCCGGGATCCCTCCGCCGCTCAGGGCCGCGCTCTCGCCCTTGAACGGACGCCTCCGCCGGAGCCCGGTTTGGGAGAGCGGCAAAGTAGTCCTACGGGGCAGAGGGAGGTGGGACCCGTGCAGCCCCGGGAGGCCCACCCACCTCCCGCGGCGCCTGGGCCCCTGAGTGCCGAGACATGCCCCTTCGAGTCCAGTTTGTACTAAGTCGACTTTCACCAGAGACCGCCCGAGAGCGCCCCCCAGATCCCGAGGACATCGTGCCGGGAGGCTCTTTGAAAATTACCAGCCCCCCTTGTCCTGGAAACTTTTATTACTTAAGGGAATGTATTATCTCTCCTGTCTTCTGGCTGCACGCGTTCTGCCGGTTCCCGGCCGGCGCCCCTCGCTGCCTCCGCAGGCCCCGCTCACCTGGGCACCTGCCGGCTCCGGGGGGAGAGCGCTGCATGAGCCGGAGGCGCAGGGCTGCGGGAGAGCAGCTGGGGACTGCAGCCAGGGTTTCTCGGTATAAATATTACTTTTAGGCTGTTTCTGCCTTGGCAAAATGAAATGTGTTATTTGCCAAATTGATAAAGCATGGTGCTTTCCATGGCGACTTAACAAGCGTGTTGTGGAAAGAACTGGGAGAAGAAAATGAAGTATATTTATCCAGTAAATAGCATTACGGTTCTCTCTGAAGGATTCCCAAACGGTTTTTCGGTTTTTTCCCCTACTGGGTAGAGAGCTTTAGATACCCATCTAGTTTTATGATTGAATAATTCAGTATTTTGGCAATTTAGGTACCACATGTAATACAGTTCTTCAGTTCTGCCTGCAAACATCCAAAGTGGCTATTCCCTTTATCCAACTATTTTCAGACTTTTGAGCTTAAACCTATGTTGGTGACAAGGGATTTCAGCCATTTTGTGGAATCCAAGTAGCAAATCAAATCTAATAAACAGTGGATGTGGAGAGAGGAAACAATTACCTCTTAACAATGCTGTTGCAAAAAGTCATTCCGCAACAGTTCATGAAAGGATCATTATCCCCGAATAGAGGCATGAGCTCACGCTGACGTTAGTTAGAACGGGGGGGAAAAAAAGGAAAAGATAAACAGAGACCAGAGACGACTCTTTATTGCTCGATTTTTTAGGTTCAAGGCACAGCCAACTAATTTTGTAATGTTTATTTTTGGAAAGAATAGAAGCAGATTAGCCAAGGCACTTCCCTAATGATGAGACCAGGACACATTGCCACCTGCTGGTGTATTCTAGCATGACAATTCTACCCTGAAGACTCTTAAATTGAGTGTTTACATGCAACCGGAAGGAATCCCATTCATATATATATATATATATATATATATATATATATATATACACACACACACACATATACACATATACACACATATATACATATATACACATATATATACATATATATACACATATATATACACACATATATACATATATATACTGACCAAAATGCAAACCTTATCCCCAAACTTAATAAATCTTTCTTAAAAGTACTAAATATCTTATTTTCCCCTATCCTAATAATGTTACAGTGTAAGTATAAAATTAATTGAACCCAATGACTCATCAAATCATGCATTTTGGAGTTCCTCTCTTCCCTTAATACTTGAGGGAAGCCTCAATACTTAAGCTTCAGGAATAAAACAAACTGGGAAAGTTTCCTAATTCACCTTCTCTTCCTTGCATACAAAACCTCTTGGCAAGCTGCTTTCAAGATCTTTCCAAACTTAAACAGACCCACGGTTCTAGCTGTGAGCAAAGAAGGCATTTTGCTGTGGGAAAGCTTCAGAAGATGGTAAGCAAAAGATTGAATTAAGCCAGTGGTTATTCATTCCAGAACTAATTTTTTTAAATGATGAAAATCTCTATAGTCACCTACAAAGCATTAATGATTTAAAAAAAAAAAAAACTGAAAGCCTCTTTAAAGCTGCCGATAGCTCAACTGTTCTAAAGGCTGTAACTATAGGATGCCTTCAGAAAGTCAAGCCAGTCTGGGTAGAACACACTCCTCAGGGTCCGTAGTACTTTACTTAGAAAAATGACATTGATGACCCAATCCACTGGGAAAACCTTTGAGGAGGTTTTCCAATGGGGATGATTCTAAACCACATTCTCATCCTCTTGTCCATTCTTTCAACATGCTTACTAAGTATCTACTATGCATCCCAGACTGTTTTAGGCATTGGTAGTACAGTCCTCAAGACAGGGCCTCCAGCTGTCTTCAGATGATGTCTCTGATGTCAACTCACTTGACATCAACATTTTCAAGACAAGTGTCCAAACAGGTGGCAGAACAAGAAACACATTAAGGTTCTTCCTCTCTCTTTTGGCAAACTGTTTTGTGTATGTCAACTGTTACCCCCCAAAATAAAAAAAAATAGGGGGAATGATGGATAATGAACAGCAGATTAGAGATATTCACTAGTAAGTATGAATACAGGTCAACATTTCTACAGGTCAAAAGGCTTTTTTTAACTTCTTGGCAAAACCACCACATAAATATAAAGACAGACTCTGGGTTTATAAAAAGTTGTTTTACTTTTATAAAATTTAGTACAAATCTTATGGAAATATAAATCGTTCTTGAACAGTGTTCGTTATCATTACACAGTAATCCAGTGCAAATGAGTACTTCATTTTGTCCAAGTATACCACACATTAATTAGCCCTTCATTTACCTGTGGTTTCAGAACTTAGCATTGTCTTAACTGCTGAGTCATCTTCAGTTCACATTGTTCTCTCAGAAGTTTTTTCATAGTTATTAGTAACAACATCAAGAAAAGCTGAAATGAGGGATTCCCTTCCCCTTACCAATTATTCAGATTTCTCACCATTCAAAAAAACCTACATACAGTTCCATGAAAGTGTCCCCAAAACAACAAGATCTGCAGTCCCTTCACTTCTGAGGAGTAAGAGAGAAAAAGAATTGGTACCAGATTAAGCCTGTTCATTTGTCTGGTATGGAACAGGTTGCACTGTGCCAAAATTCAAGAGCCAGCTTTTTTTCTTTTTTTTAAGCTCATGTGCCAGGCCACTCTTTTCTACAAGCTTTTGCTAAAATCAGCATTCCCCAGCATCCTACTTTGACCGCAATTTTGTTGGAAAGAAGCTTACCAGCATTTTAGGGGCGCTCATCATAGAAAAAAAAAAAGTGGAGATTAAGAAAAAAAACAGGAAGTGGAGATGCTGTCAGATTATCTCAATGCCCAGCAAAACTCTTTAACCAAATGACATTCATTTTTAAAGACCCACTGTTAACATGCATTTAAAGTTACTGTTTCCCTAACAGTGATGACTTTATACCATTCCAACCACTCCCTCATACCTGGTTTCTGTGGCCAAGACCATTTTTCATTTTCAAGACCGCTCATGGCTGGGCACGGTGGCTCACACCTGTAATCCCAGCACTTTGGGAGGCCGAGGCGGGTGGGTCATGAAGTCAGGAGTTCAAGACCAGCCTGGCCAACATGGTGAAACCCCGTCTCTACTAAAAATACAAAAAGTAGCCAGGCATGGTGGCACACGCCTGTAGTCCCAGCTACTCGGGAGGCTGAGGCAGGAGAATCACTTGAACACAGAAGGCGGAGGTTGCAGTGAGTTGAGATCACACCACTGCACTCCAGCCTGGGCGACAGAGCAAGACTCTGTCTCAAACAACAACAACAACAACAACAACAACAAAAGACACCATTCATTACGTTAGATTACCAGTGGCCATGGAATGGACTGATGCTTCCTACTGACCAGCCTTGACTCCAGTAGCACCATATGCTTGCTCACCCACTGAGCTAATCAAACACCATTGACTTCAATAACATGGTAAAAATAAATAATCAATAAATACATAAATACTTCATATTTCCATAAAAGCCCTACATTAAAGACCTCCATTAATAAAATGCCACATAATGTATTTATGAAATATACTACAGGGTATTTCATTCATTCACAATAGGTTTAAACTCAGGCAAAGAAGAAACAAGTAACCTATCCAAAGTGAGTGAGTAGCTCTCCAAAGTGGCAAGTGAGTAGCAAAATTAGTTAAAAGAACCCAGGAATTCTGGATTCTTAACCCCTTGTTCTAAGCTTATATTCTTGCTTCTCTTGGAGACTGTCACACTAAGAATTATTATTTTTTTCCTTCCAAGACTGGCCTTGTTTTATTAGTTTGTTCATAGAGTGGTACCTTTTTAGTAAAAATAAGAAAAGTAGGAGGAGTACTAAAAGGGAAAGTATCTAAAATGAAAAAAAAAAATTAACCTCATCCCCCTGAGGCCAGTACACACTTTAAAGTCTTTGGCTCTAGTTTGCAATATGTACAGCAGAGCTGAAATCTAAACTGCCATCTCAAGCACAGTGGAATCCACATGATAAATCCCTATGGAATTTAGTCATAGCCTCAAATGCCTAGGAGATTAATGCACAAAAGCCCTGAGAACTGGCATAGTTTTCCTGGTAGGGCAGAACCCATATAACAGGACTCAGTAAATCTACCCACACTTCATTCATCTCAGATCCAAAGCCCTAACTCTATAGGTTTTGTGCAGAAAAGAGTTAACATAGCAGGCCTAAACTGCTATCCTTGGAGAGGCCTGATTACAGGGTTGGCCACTGGCCGGCATTTGGGAACTTAGATTTTGGAGGGGCTCCCACAATTAACTGATAAGACTGGCTTACTGTGTCTGAACTGCTTGTGCAAACAATATGGCTTATGCTGAACACCTGCTTTCCTTTTGAGAGTCTTGAATTTTGCTATCTGCCAGGGAAAGCCTGCCTAGATGACCTGTCCTCAGTAAAAACTTTGGGCACTGAGTCTGTAGTGACCTTGTCCAGTAGACAACTCATTCACATGTCGTAACAAATCACTGCTAGGGGAATTAAGTGCATCCTGTGTGATTCCATTGGGAGAGGACTCTGGAAACTTGTGCTTGCTTTACCCTAGACTTTGTCTCAGGTGCCTTTTCCTTTTACCGATTTTTCTTTGTATCTTTTCACTATAATAAATCAAAACTATAAGTAAGACTATATGCTGAGTCCACTGAGTCTTCCCAGAGAATTACAGAACCTGGCAGTGGTCTTGGGCACCTCTGGCACAGTTGGTATAGGAGGTTCAGTAAGTAGCCCTCCCCCTCACTGCCAGTTTCACTCTCACCCTCCTATGCCCCTCTGTTTAAGCGACCCAATTCCCCGATCTAATGTTCAGAATGTCAAAGGCGTGTCTCTTCCTGTAAGCCCCTCACTTTATAGTAAATGGGGTAAACTTAGATAAATTGCTATATGGAAAGCAGAAATAAGTGTTTATTGAAAGAGTTACTTCTCAAAGGAACAAGAAATAGCACTAATCTTTTTCGAGTTCCTTTCTAAACTGCCTGAACATCAAACCTCCCAGGGACAGGAGGACCCAGGGTCACCACAAATGAAAACAAATGCCAGTTGTACTCACTTCACAGTTCTCACTTATTCCCAACTACCATGGAGTATTCTCACTTTCTACAACTGTGCTACTGTAGAAGTTAGTGTTTTAATACTGGTATATGCTCGGCTTGAAGACTGACCAAATTGATCAATACATTTAGCCCTTTATTGAAACCTAAGTTTGTTATAAGTGTAATTATGTAACAGTCATATTTCCAACCTGGTTCCCATGGCTGACTTAACCCAATCCATAATCTGGAGCAAGCCTTGGCTAGTGTATTTTGAGATGTCCGTTGTGTTTCAGCTGCCGTTCCTCACTCCGCCTGCTTCTCCAAGCATGGTACTTCTTGATGCTCTTCCTCCATGCAAAGCGCCAGATGCTAAACATGAAACACCAAGACACAGCATACATCGCTACTCCCCCAGCCTTCACAAACCACTTAGGCGTGGGGGAGACCATTTCACAGAAAAGGAGGCAAGCTCCCACACCAATCCTCACTCCTGTGAACAGAGCCACAAAGAGGAAGTCCACTACATCTCCAGTGAAACTGTGATAGTGCCCTGTTTCCCGGAGAAACCAGCGCATCTGTAGCAAGGGGTTGGTAAGCTCACTTCCAAAGAGGACTGCATTGACCTCTGTGCCAGACTCCCCAAGCACAAGGGCCATGATAATGCCCAAGATACTCAATGTGTGATGAGCCAGCATCAAGGCACCCTCAGACTGAAAGTAGACGCACCAGCCCAAGTCGAAGATGAAGTAGCCCAAGGTGAGACACAGGACATGAACTTGGAGAGGTGTATTGGGTGAGCCTGAAACAAACCAAGACAGAAGCAAATTGAGTGACTGGGAATTGTGTTACCTTGCACAGGGATCCTATGTTGTTGTCTTTCAAACCTTACTAGACACTAAAGAAACAAAAACAATAGCAGGCACATGCTTTTTAATGAGGACCAAAGAAAGACTAAAATATAAAATCTAGGTCTTTATCAAACTAAACGATGTTCAGACCCCAGGAAATGCTGTTCTGATGAATCAGACTTCAATGAGTTTGCATCCTTCAATGAACACAGGCAATAATCTCAGTATCCTCTCCGCGGAACAGCATAAAATCCAATTATTTTGTTCCTTCAATTAAAATCCTAAACTTTATTTTTTTTTTTTACTCTGCTAAAGGTTTATTTCCAGACTCTTGAATCATTGTTTCCTGAATGTCAGATTTTTTTCTCAGCTTAATGGGTTACGTTATTGAACACTCAGTGGTCTTAACCCATCCTGAAAGTAGATTCTGGAGAGGGCCCCAAAAGTTAGTGTGTGCTCATGTCCAGGAACATAGGTTTTAAGGACCTGACATATTTGAAACCATTTAGAATCTTCACATAAAACACAAAGCGTAACAGTTGGTTTCATTAGTTTGACAGTTTGGGGGGAAACTCAGAAATTCAGTAAGAAAAGCTAAAGAAATATTTTAAAAATTATATTCCAGGGGAGTTAAGGGCTGCATTGTGTCCTCCCTCCCCAAATTCACGTTAAAGCCCTTAACTGGTAGTACCTCAGAATGTGAGTGTATTTGAAAATAAGGTCTTTAAAGAGGTAATCAAGTTAAAATGGGGTAATTAGAGTAATCCAATATGACTGTTATACTTAAAAGGGATTAGGACACAGATATGCATACATACACACACACACACACACACACACACACACAATATGACTGTTATCCTTAGAAGGGATAAGGACACAGATACGCATACATATACAAACACATACACACACACACACACTATGACTGTTATCCTTAGAAGGGATTAGGACACAGATATGCATACATAAACATACACAAACACACACACACACACACACACACACACTATGACTGTTATCCTTAGAAGGGATTAGGACACAGATATGCATACATATACATACACACACACACACACACACACTATGACTGTTATCCTTAGAAGGGATTAGGACACAGATATGCATACATATACAAACATACACGCGCACACACACACACACAATATGACTGTTATCCTTAGAAGGGATTAGGACACAGGTATGCATACATAAACATACACACACACACACACACACACACACACACTATGACTGTTATCCTTAGAAGGGATTAGGACACAGATATGCATACATATACAAACACACACACATACACACACACACACACAGAGGGGAGACCATGGAAGGACACAGTGGGAGAGCGGCCATGTGCAAGCCAAGGACAGAGGCCTCAGAAGAAACCAAACCTGCTAACAACTTGAACTCCGACTTCTAGCCTCTAGAATTTTAAGAAAATGAACATCTGGTTAAGCCACCCACTCTGTGGTACTGTGTTATGGCAGCCCCAACCAATTAATACAAGGGGGTAAAATTTTTGCATACTTGGCCGGGTGCGGTGGCTCACACCTGTAATCCCAGCACTTTGGGAGGCCAAGGCGGGTGGATCACGAGGTCAGGAGATCGAGACCATCCTGACTAACACAGTGAAACCCCATCTCTACTAAAAATACAAAAAAAATTAGCTGGGCATGGTGGCGGGCACCTGTAGTCCCAGCTACTCGGGAGGCTGAGGCAGGAGAATGGCGTGATCCTGGGAGGCGGAGCTTGCTGAGATTGAGCCACTGCACCCCAGCCTGGGCAACAGAGCAAGACTCCATCTCAAAAAAAAAAAAATTGCATACTTCTGAAAGTAACACTTGTACATCTAGTAACAAAAAGGATAAGGAACATCTCATCCTCTTAACATAGACATGGAAAGATGCTGTCTTTTGAATAGACAGTCAAGTAAAAGTTGCAAGTTGCCAAAAATATGTATGATACAGTTCTATTTTTGTCTTTTCGGGGGTGGTAGTGGAAGATGTTGATACTGGCTTTATAGTTTTTGTATTTCCAATTAAATTGTAACAAGCAATTTAAAATCTGTTTTAAAAGTAGAGAGTTATGAAAAGCAGAAACAACAGGTGACATAAACAATATCAGAGTTAACAATGAAGAAGAATAAGGATTCCAATACAAAATTATAATGGGAATTAGTCTTCAGTATTGTACAAATTCTGTTTAAAAGTCCCATACTTCTAAGACTACCCCCAAATCATAAATCCCTAAGGGAAAATCCCCTACCTACCTGGGTGGGTAAAAGGCCATGGGCCATCAATGAAGCCAATATAAGCGGAGAGGCCTATAGAGAGGACTCCATGGGTGAAGGTGACCAGGCGGCAGCTCCACTCATAGCTTCGGTGCTTATTCAGGTGGCAGAAAGAAATATAGAGCGAGAGCCAGCCACACAGGCTGCACAGCACCTGCAGACACAGAGCTAATGCCATCCTGTGATGAAAAGACCAAAACCAGAAAAACAAAGGATGCACCCTAAGAAAACAGCACTGGGTCATTTTGTGTATATATCCTCATTTCTATTATAGAATAGTTCAAAAATATTGCCTTATCTTATTTTCCTTATCTACACGGCCAAGAATCTTCTATTTAAGTATGGCTGTATTTATCATTCCAAGTTCCTCAGAGATAACATGTTAGCAACTGGTCAATGTTGTAAACTGGAAACCAGGAACTGCACTCCGAGCTGGTAGGCTGACATCACATTTTATGATGAGTAAATGTCAATAATAACCCTCTAGCGATGACTGACCTTGGGCAATAATACACAGAAAATAAAGCACATGTATTAAATAATGTCTTCACAGTTCAAAAACCCCAATGAAACGCACTCATGAAAAAACAGAACACTGCCACGTTGGTTTCTGCTAGAGGTCACATGACACATGGCAGTTTAATGTGGTTTTAAGCTGATACTAAATTCAGCTGAGGTTTGGATTTGGGTCACAGGTTCATCAGTCAAAAACAAAACTTGGGATAAACTTAAATACAGAACTAAACAAAGAGTCCAGACATCTTGGAGGTTGGGGGGAAATCCTGGCTTTATTCAGTTCTGAAATCCGACCCAAAGATTTGCCAAGAGTGAAGCAGAAGGATTCTAAGGTTCAAGAGGAGGGGAGTTTTTGTTGAGATCTAAAAATATCCTTAAGGCAATTATTCAGTTAAAAATGAAATGAAGCCAGAAAGCTGTACCTTGGAACTTTTACTGGTGACAAATACGTTAGGACAAGAACAACTATAACTGAGTCAATTTAGTCACACAGGACTAAAATCTAAATGAGCAAGATGTTGTTATTAGTTAGTATTCATTAGCTCCTCCATTGAAACGTACAAATAAAAAGTCAAAAACATATCAGATATCTACTTCATCTCAGCAGACATTTTCTGCATGGCTATGCTTATTGCTTAACCTTATTCTGACCAGTGAAATAGTTATCTGTGGACGTCAATACACAAGCCACTTCCCAAGAATGCTATCCAGAGAGGGCTTCATGAAGGTCAAGTTCTGTACAGCTTTCATCTGAAATCAGATTTCCATTCAAGAAAACCGTAGGTGTCCATAATAGACCTGGGTTCCAATTCTGTCTCTGTCCCTAGAGAGACTAGCCATAAGAGTGTGGGCAAATCACTTTAACCTCTAGAACCACAGTTAAAAAAAAAAAGAAGAAATTAAAGAAAAGAAAAGAAGGAAGAGGAAGGGGAGGAAGGGAAAGGAAAGAAAGAGACTAGGACTGAAGAACTCTACAGTCCGGTCCAGTTCTGACATGGAGTTCTGAGATAAACTTTGTAAAACATCAAGGCCAATTCTCAGAGTAAGGGCCAGAAATACAAAGTATCCCAGGTGAAGAGAACTGCCCTCCCTTATCTCCTTCTAAAGGCCAGGGTCACTGGCCAGTAATGCGGATCAGCTCATTTGGATATGCCTATTAGTATTTTTAGAGTCTTCTTCTCTGAATCCTAATTCCTTGGCAGAACAGAGAAAACAGTAGCCCATTTACAAACACTTAAATAAAAGAACAGACATTCGTAAATGGCAGACACAACTCTGTGACCTTGGGAACTCCCTGTGTGGGTTTCGGCTTTTTGCTCTTGGTTTTTGCCAAAGAACGGAAGGGCATTTGGAAGGCCATCGCGGCTCAGAGGTCCAAGGCTCCTCTCCTGGTTTCTCCCGTTCCAGGGCCAGACTGGCGAGGAGGAGCCTTGGAGCAGGCGTGGCTGGCGGCGAGCGCGGGCCCCGGGGCCTCGCAGGGACGGCGATCGCATCTCCGCGCGGCGGTGCCTGCGACGCTCGGCCACGCCCGGACCAAGAGCCGGAGCCAGGCACCGTTATCCCCGCATCCCGCTGGCGCCGCAGCCTGGCGCAGGAAGGCCTCGGGCGTCCGAGGCAGGAGGAGGCCCGCTCCCCTTCGGAGGCGAGCCCGGGCCCTCTGCCGCCTCCTTCCCCACCAATGGGCCGCGCGGGCCCCGTGCCCACCCCGGCCGGGCAGTTCGCGCCGAGCGGTTACCTGGCGGAGCGCACCGGGAAGCCTCGGGCGCCCGGGCGCCCGCAGCTCCCGGCCCGGATCGCGGCAACAGGAAGCGGAGGAGCCAGAGGCGGAGGACGAGGCTGTGACGGCGGCGGAGGAGGAGCCGGGGGTCTGGGGGCACCTGCTGGCTGGGAGGATGGAGCGCAGAGCCGGAGCCGGGCCACCGACGCTCCGAAAGGGCGCGGGAGGGTCCTCCTTCTCTGGCGGGGGGGTCAAGAGGGATCTAGCGGTGACGTGAGACCTGGAGGCCGCTGCTCTTGTTTAGCTGTTGTTGTTTGTTTAAATCATTATCCACTTCTCCCCTCCCCTCAATGGGACAGCTCATCCAATCAATTTATCGAGTACCTACTAAGTACTTGCACCCTTACTAGGCATTGTGGGGGATGTAAGACATCGTTCTTGCCCTCGTGCTTGAATTTAAGTCGTGAAACAGGAATTGATGAGCAGGAAAGTGCTCAGGCCTGAGAATTAGAAGTTACAGTATTCCAGTCAGCCCTGTAACCAACTTGACAGTAAAGCATAAGGCTTGAAAGTGAACCTTGCTTGGTACCTCTTTGGGCAAGTTACTTTTCTGTTGCCTCCCTTTCCTCGATCCTGAGGATGGGGATAGTAATAACACCTATCTCATATGGTTATTTTGAGAATTTTAAAATATTACATGTGTAAAGTGCTTTGAACAATGACTGGCACATGGAAGTCACTACATAAATACCAACTGTTTTATTTCACTTTGGGTAAATCCTTTTCTTCTCTGGTTCTATTTTAATACCAAGCAGAGTAAGTTTGAGCGATAAGAATGGAGGCTCGAATGGGGTAAAGACGGTGTCTGTCTTGATTGATCAGGACAGGCAATCCCGGGTGCTGAGGAACCTAGACATTCTCAAAGGAGAAGACCGTTAGCAGAGGTGTGAGTGTTTAGGCCGTGCCTGGGGAATAGTAAATATTCTAGTTTTGGTCATTTATCTTACCAACTCTTCAAAGGTAAGGATGGCACTGGTTTCATCTTTGTTTCCCTAGTACCTAGCATGAGGCAGGTACAATAAATGTTTGTATGTTGAATTAATGTGAAATGAGCCTGGGAAACTATCTTGGAAGCATATCACAGTTCCTAAAGTGTGTTGATCAACTATGCCACTTGGGAAGTGTTTTCAAATACCCTGTGCAGGCTGTACCTTGAATATTATGATTTATTAGGTCTGGTATGGGGTCCAGGGATCTGTATTTTTTAAAACCTGCCCAGGAGTCATTCAGACGATCACATTTGATAACCATTGCTGTTAGAGTCCTTAAATGCCTCTGATGCCAGCCTAAGATGCCAGGCTGAGAGAGCTTATTATGTGGAAGCTCATGATGTTATTGAACAAGGGAATCATATTATCATGCTCTCCAAGCCCTTGCTACTCAAAGTGTGGTCTATGGACCAGCAAAATCTGCATCACCTTGGAGTTCATTAGAGACTCAGAATCTCAGAACCTACCCCTGGACCTACCAAACTAGAATGTGCATTTTAACAAGTTCCCCAGTGATTCGTATACACATTTGGGTCGTAGTTCTTAATCTTGATAGCATGGTAGTATCACTTGGGAGCTATTTAAAATCCTAATACCCAGGGCACACTCCGAAAAAAGTAAATCAGAATCTCTGTGTAGATATCAATCAATTTAAAAGCTCCCTGGGTGATTCCAATGTGCAACCAAAGTTGAGAACCCCAGCTCTAGCAATACTCAATTAAAATCAGTGTAAGATGAATTGCAGAAGGCCTGTTACACATGTGTTAGGATAGACCGGATAACAGGTAATGATAGTCTGGAGAAGTAAAACATGGAAGGCTCCACTTCACTGAATGGAGAGTATGCAGAGCTCACCCTTTCCCCCATTTGTTTTGTTGCAGTATTTTTTTTCTAGTATCTGAATCTGGACTTTCTTCTTGCTGCCATCATTTCCCACAAAAGTAGGGTACTAAAGCCTTCAGGAGCCTAAAGGCTGAGGGGGTAAGGTAAAAGGGAAGGAGCCAGTTCTTCCTAAAATATTGGGCCTTTATCCTAGGGTGACTGGGATTCTAGGTTCAAGCTTCATGACCTAGGATTAAATTTTGTTGATGTATGTATCTTTGGCCACAATCCCTGTTCCACCAAATCAGATCCTTGTCACCGGTAGCATCCCCCAGAAATTCTGGGCTGTTAAGGAGAGCAGGGGACAGGAAGCTCTCCACCAATTTAATAGCAATGAGAATAATAATCACAATAATAACAAATAACACCTATACTGCCCTTATTAATGTACCAGGCATTGTTCCAAGCACTACATATATATATATATACACACACACACACACATATATATACACATATACATATATATGTATACACACACACACATATATATGCATACACATACACACACATATATATATACACACACTCAATCCTCACAAACAATTCTATGGGATGGGACCTATTGTTATCTCCATTTTACAGGTGAGAAACTGAGTCATGGAGCAGTCAAGGCTTTCCCAAGATGACACGGTTAGTAGGAGGCAGAGTAGGGTACAAACCCAGGCAATATGACTCTGGAGATCACGCCTGTATGGCAGATGCACCTGACAGCGGTAACTTAAGTATAACCTGAGAATGACCCTGTGTGGCAGACACACCTGAATGTGTGTCTAGTGTTCCAAGCGTGGCCAACCCAGAGATTATTCCTTATGTATGAGGAACATCTGAGCCCCTGGCCCAGCCCTTGGAACATGGGCCATACAGGGGGCTGAGGCCCTTTGTTTTGGGGTAAATGAAGGTTGCCAGGTGGAGGTTGTTAGCGGGAGGGTGTTAGATGAGAGTGCCATGTAAACTGCGTGCTTTCTGCAGGCAGTGGTGGTTCTCCTGTCCAGCCTGTTGCCACCGGATCCCTCTTATGTAAGTTCCCCTCAACAAACCCTATGTCGCATTTGTTGGCTCTTGGTCTCTGGCCTCTTGAATCTGGTGCTATCCCTCCTGAAGTCAATAGGGGTCTGGCATGACAATGCCCTTAACCACTGTGATATGCTGCCTCCACTTACCTAAAAATTCCTGCAGGTTTGCACTGTATTCTGCTGTATTCACAACTCCTATCTCAGTGAAGGGCATTAAAAATTTAGAGGGAAAAAAAGGGAATTTTATATTTAAAAAACATAACTGCCTGTTATGTGCTAGTCACAATGTTAGCCACAGGGATACAGAAAAAAAAAAAAAAAGCCTCAACTGCAAGGAGTTCCCCCCACAGAAGGAAGAGGCAGAAGAGTCAGCAGGTGAGCTATGGTGGGGCCACACAGAGCACAAGAGGAACCCTGGCAACCTGGGAGCTCCGGCCAGGGTTCCTGCTTTGAGTCCTAGGGTTAATAAACTCAGTCTCTGAGTCAGACCAAAAGTTCTTACTTTGTCTTAGGAGGGCAGAGCTGGGCCCACCCGTTTTGAGTCAACTAAACATCAGAGTATGAAATACAGTTCGGTTGGGCGCGGTGGCTCACGCCTGTAATCCCAGCACTTTCGGAGGCCAAGGCAGGCGGATCACGCGGTCAGGAGATCGAGACCATCCTGGCTAACATGGTGAAATCCCGTCTCTACTGAAAAATAGAAAAAATTAGCTGGGCGTGGTGGCGGGCGCCTGTAGTCCCAGCTACTCAGGAGGCTGAGGCAGGAGAATGGCGTGAATCTGGGGGGCGGAGATTGCAGTGAGCCGAGATCGTGCCACTGCACTCCAGCCTGGGTGACAGAGTGAGACACCATGTCAAAAAAAAAAAAAATACAATTTGAAATGTAGCAACAACAATCTTTTTTTTTTCCTCCCTTGGCAATGACTGGTGGTTGCCCTCAGATTCTCTTGTCCCTAGTTAGATGCTGAGGCGGCGAATCAAGCTTCAGTTAAACTTCCCTGGAATTACAGATTTTACAGAATCATGCAGACATGAAAGGTGACCTTGCTCACTTTCAGGCTTGATTCTGTTCAGCAATGTCCAAGTTAGTTGGCAAGGAAAGCTACTGGAGTCTGAACAGGCTACAATTCTGTTTATTTCTTTCATAAAAAATCACGGGCAAATGGATGAAAATCCAAGTTTTGGACAATGCAGAGGATCAGCTTTCAGCACTCACCTGAGTAGGATGTCAAGGTAGCCAGGACTTCTGTAGAAAAGGGTCAGCTCTAGCATCCATGGGCATACAGGGAGGAATGCATGCATGCATGTGTATGTGTGCAGAGATATGCACAGATGGGCTCATGGGTGGTGGAGCAGTCCCCTTAGTTACTTAAAGTACTGCGGAAGGCTCCTCTTGCTGTCTCTTTGCTACATACCTGGCCCCTTTTAACTAGATATTTTCTTGAGAAAGTAAACATTACCATTAGGCCTTCTCCCACTTCATGACGTGAAATAGGAATTTTTAAAGCCCCATTCAAACATCAGGGAGCGGTTAACTCTTCATTATTAATATTTAGGTTTCCTGTGTGGATATTATTATTTGCAAGAAGTGTTTAATCCTAATTTTAGTTTTTCCCCATCAGCCATTACATTTTTGAAGGGCCTCTCTTTCCCACAGGTCAGCGTTTATCTCAGTAATGGTAACTATTTATTACTTATTTTATTTTTTGAGACGGAGTCTCGCTCTGTCGCCCAGGCCGGAGTGCAGTGGCACAATCTTGGCTCACTGCAGGCTCCAACGGTAACTATTTAAATTTGTATTAATCTAAGAAAAAACACAAGAATAGGTTTGCTGCCTTTCAACCTCCTAACCAAAAGTCACAATGCATTCTGAAGCCATATATATATATATATATATATATATATATATATATATATACATGAGACAAATATGTATATTTGAGACAGGGTCTCACTCTGTTGTTCAGGCTGGAGTGCAGCGGCATGATCATTGCTCACTGCAGCCTTGACTTCCTGGGCTTAATAGATCCTCCCATCTCAGGCTCTTCAGTAGCTGGGACTACAGGCATACACCACCAAGCCCAGCTAATATGTGATTATTAAATTACCCTCTGCCTTAACTATTTATTGCTTTATGTTGTGAGTAATGAACAACTGCCGTTCAGGGTATCTGAGACATGAGACATTAGCCTCAGTCCCCACCTCTTAAGTTTCAAATGACTTCACCTTAAACATTCACCATCCTCCCACTTACAATATCTCTGGCCTACTCTGCCCTCAAGGTAGTTATGTTACAGAGAGTAACAACTCTGAATTCTTCAGGGCCCTGTAATAACATATGTCATCTTTAGCATCAGTTTGGGGAGTAATACACTTAATGTCCCAATTTGAAACATTTTCTGTCATCCCATTTCATTATATGCACTCACATGCCCCCCACAACAACAAAAAGGCACAGAACAAGAATCTAAACCTCTTCTTATCAACAGTGGGATACTTTTCATAATCACTATACACATTTATTTAGGAACAGTGAGATTCCTTTGAATCTCAACAGTTTCCTAGACATGTAGTCTTTTTTTTTTTAAGTTACCATTTCTGGAATGGCTTCATGTTACATCTCTACAAACTGGCCCACAAAAAAGCAGACTCTAGAGATAATGTTCCCAAAGAAGTCAACAAAGATTCCCAGCCCAGGCCAGGCGCGGTGGCTCACACCTGTAATCCCAGCACTTCGGGACGCTGAGGTGGGTGGATCAGGAGGTCAGGAGTTCAAGACCAGCCTGACCAACATGGTGAAACCCCATCTCTACTAAAAATACAAAAATTAGCTGGGCTAATTTTTGGTGGTGGGCGCCTGTAATCCCGCTACTTGAGAGGCTGAGGCAGGAGAATCGCTTGAACCCAAGTGGCAGAGCATGCAGTGAGCCAAGATCATGCCACTGCACTCCAGCCTGGGCTGGAGCAAGACTGTCTCAAAAAAAAAAAAAAAAAAGAAAAAGAAAAAAAAATCCCAGCCCATGTGGGAACTCTGGAAGGTAGCACAGTATTTCACACTTTGGTATTTCCCCCCCTTTTTTTTAAAGAAGATAAAATATTACAGAGACATTTTCAAAAATCACACCTGAGTTAAACATTTTGCTGGAAAATTCCACATTAAGGAGTTAAGAACATAATGCAAAAAATGGGAAAGGGCTATATACAGGTACTTTGCCACCATCATTGTTGTGTGTTTGCTCTTGTGTTCTTCCTTTTCTGCTGCCAGGAGAAAGGAGAGGGGACAGGATAAAGAGAAACACAGGGAGGAAGGGAAAGAACAAGCACTCCTGAGCCCTAGGCAGACGTGGACAGACAGAAGGGCACCAGCAGGCGTTGCAACATGCCCAGGGCACCCACCAAGGGCAGCTCTTTTACACCTTCTGCAAAAAGGAGGGGACCTGGAGGGCGCAATAATGAATGGATTTGATTGTAGAAAAGGGGGCGAGGTTAAAAAGAAAATGGGGTGAGATGAAGATTCCATCAGAAAACTTAGCTGTACAGAGAAAACATCAAGGCTTTGGTGGAGATATCAGATTCAAATCTTTTCACAGATTTTGGGATCAGTTCAGGGGTTGTGGCCAAGTTCAGAGTCAAAACTATTATCTCCCCTTCTGGTGTTTGGCACCCCAGCCAAATGGCTGTCCCCAGAAGCCCACGGATGAGTTGGAGAATAACAGCAAGAAGTCTTTTCTCTGAAAGACTATTGCCACAGTGAAGCTGGCTAAAATATTTGGAACTAGAAGGCAAGGGCATAGGCAAGGAAGGTGAAAATGGTAAGCTCCTAGGAGGGGCTGTGTATTTCAAGAGCATTAGGAGTCTGCACTTGGTTCAATCACAGTTTGGATCTCCGGAGGCCCTTGCTCTTGAAGAAGACAAGAGTCTGGGTTCATTGATAGTGGAGATTTTCTTCCACTCTTCTGAAGGCAATCTGTCTGTATATAGAAGGCATGATTCCCTTCCTTCCAGGGGGAATACAGGGCCAGCTGGAGTAGGAGAAACTTTTTGGTCTCAGTGGAGGTAGGTGGAATGATTCCATCGGTACCAAGATCTGGAAGGAAGAAAGAAGTCAATCCTAAAGCTAATAATGTGATGGCGTAAGATGGGAATGGGGAGTGACTGCTAGCAGGTACAGGGGCTTTTGCAGGTAGGAGTAATAAAAACATCCTGGAATTAGATAACGCTGATGGTTGCACAACCTTGTGAATATACTAAAAACCACTGAACTGCACACTTTAAAACGGTGAATTTTATGGTATATGAATTATACCTCGAAACAATTTTTTAAAGCTGGTAATGTATATTATATGGTCCTCTTTCTCTCTCTCAGTAGGGGTAGGTGAGGAGCGCCAACGTTTCGGGCTATGCAACAATTGGCCAATAAGAACTGGCTGCCTTGCTGAACCGCCTGGATTTGGACAGCTGGGTTCATCTTTTCTGACGAACTCAGGTCTGTAACCTACACATCTCTGTGTTGTTCTGAATCAGGGCAGAATCTCTCTTTCACAAGGCATCAGCTCTGAGAATACTTTTTAGAGTAGATTCTTTGCTTCATGAACTGAAGCCCAGGAGGCTGCCTGCCCCACTGCATCCCAGCTGGGAGTGGGAGACAGGAATTGGCACCACTTCCCCCTTTCCCTGTGTCAGCCATGTTTGAAGCCCAGGGTTTTCTTTGTGCCTAAGCTCTGGGCTCACATCAGAACCTCCTGAGAACTGGGTTCCCATGAAGCCCAGCAAAGGACCTGGCTCTTTCTGACATGAGTGTTTGGAAATTTCCACCCTCAAAGTAAGGATGGAAATTTTGACTTTGTTGACATCAGCTCCTTGCCAGGATGGCTCACTGACTGAAGCTTCTTTTTAAAATCTCCACTCCCTAGGGATAAAGTCCAGTCTGGCTGTCACTCTGTCCTCTCTGTGCCACCCCATTCCTCTTTTCCAACCCTTTCTATGACAAGCTTTCTTTCCCAAGGCATAGGCTCAGCTTCTCACATGTCCCTTGGCCCTGCTGGGATGTCTCTGCACCGTCCCCTTCACCTTACCCTGAAGAGTTAAAACTGGAGGCGGAGTTCACTGCTGCTTTGGAGTTATTTTGAGATGCAGTGGGGCTGCTGGCGTGGAGTCCTGAGCCAGGAGATGAAGGCCTGCTGTTGTTCCCAGGGGAACAGGATGACGTTACTGAGGATAAGGAGAGGCAAAAACAAGGGGGAAATAATGCTGCTGGATCCCGGGACATCGGGACATAGCCCCTCAGACACAAATTTCCTGGTGTATCCCCAAAGGGACCTCACCCTCTCCCTAGCCACACCCACCTGACTACCTCCTGCCTCATTAGCATCAACTTCTGCCCACACCCAGAGGGGCTGTCGTCACAAATGCTCTCTGCAGCCCAGGCCCTGGAGAGTGGTGTGGCTGGTTCTGCAAGTCTAAGACTTGCCAAATCCAAGGACAGATGCCAAAATCATCCTACTCTAGGACACACCCTAGGCTGGGCACATGCAGCCCCAGACCAAGAGGCGGTAGGAGAAAAAGAACAAGAAGGAAGAGAGGAGGAAAGAAAGGCAAGTGCATAGGGGAGAAAGAGAACTTGAGGGCACGATGAAAGATTGCCAGCTGCTCTAGTTCTCCAGTCTCCACAAAGAAAAGGTGCTTGGTTTTCTAGAAACTAGAGTAATGAACTGAACTGGGCATGGTGGCTCATGCCTGTAGCCCAACACTTTTGGGAGGCTGAGGCAGGAGGGCCGATTAAGCCCAGGAATTCAAGATCAACCTGGGCAACATGGCGAAACCCAGTCTCTGCAAAAAATACAAAAATTAGCCAGGTGTGATGACATGCACCTGTAGTCTCAGCTACTCAGGAGGCTGAGGTGGGAGGATCACTTGAGCCTGGGAGGTCGAGGCTGCAGTTAGCCATGATTGTGTCACCACATTGCCTGGGCAACAGAGCAAGACGCTGTCTCAAAAAACAAAACAAAACAAAAACAAAAAGAACAATGAACTGGGAGTGAGGGGACCTGAGCCCTGTCTTGGTCCCCAGCCATCAACTCAGCAGCTCTGTGGCCTGTGCTGATTTGTTTCACTTTCCTGAAACTTATTTTCATCCTCTGTGAAATGGCAGATTTGTATTTGGATTAACTCTTGTGTTTGTGTTTCCCAAACTGTGTTCTATGGATAGGGTGACATATATTTTACCATCCAAACTAAGACCCTAAGACACTTTGAAAAGTGGAAGGGGCTGAGTGCGGTGGCTCACGCCTGTAATCCCAGCACTTTGGGAGGCCGAGGCGGGCAGATCACTTGAGGTCAGGAGTTCAAGACCAGCCTGACCAACATGGAGAAACCCTGTCTCTACTAAAAATACAAAAAATCAGCCGAGCGTGGTGGCACACGCCTGTAATCCCAGTTACTCGGGAGGCTGTGGCAGAAGAATTGCTTGAACCTGGGAGGCAGAGGGTGTGGTGAGCTGAGATCGTGCCATTGCACTGCAGCCTGGGCAACAAGGGTGAAACTCTGTCTCAAAAAAAAAAAAAAAAAAAAAAAAGTGGAAGGAAGTGCTATTGATAATTATGTCAGGACATGAAGCAGACACTGGGACTGTCCTGGCCACCCTTGGGCATGCGATCATCCTGTCTAGTGCGTTGAAATAATTAGGTGCTTTTTGAGGACTAGAGTATTACTTTGGGAAGCCTTGCCTCCCCTGGGCCTTCCACACAGTTCATTTTGGAATTTTATGCACCTAAGTGCTTAGAAGTGCTGCAGTTAAAGCAAAACAAAACAAAACAATTCGCTTGTTTAAACTGGGCTTCCTCAGCATTTTCCAGACTTATTTGATCACAGAACCCTTTTTTCCCAACACAGATTTTAATATCCTTTGAAATGCATTTAGGGAAGCCTGACTTAGGTAGATACCTTTCAGTTCTAATATCCCATTTTTTAAAAGAATTCTGGTGTTCTTCAGAAATCTCATTTTAAAGCTCACCTGTTCCAGGCATGGTACTGTGGACAGGAGGGACAGAGAGGGGGCCCAGAGACCCTGAGGGAGATACCTGAAAAACAACAGAAGCTTGTAAATGTCCATTTCTGCTCCCTTCTCCAACTTCAGATCACTCTCCAAAGACAGTAGGCCCCAGACTCTACAGAGACCAGGGCTTGGCTTCCTTGGTGATTTCCTAGCCTACATGCCATCCTCCTTTCTATGGGAAGGCCTCTGGACCACATACTGGCATCCAGAACCAGGTCCAGTCTGCCCCGGAAGTTCCCTGGTGTCAACACCAGGGCCCTCCAGCCCCTGACAATGTGTATTGCCTGATAAGGTTTCTTTGACACTGCCAAGCCGAAGGCTGCCTTGCCTGAGAGCCCTGGAGGTGAGCAAGACAAGCCTCTTGGGCCCTGCTGTGGCAGATACTGCTGGTTGCCTGTCATTTTCTGGTCTCCATTGCTTTTTCCCTAAAAGAACCCTGCTTTTGCTGAGGACAGCAGGGTTGCTCAGCCTAGCAGCCTCTCGCAGGCTTTCCCACTGTGATGGATGAATGGAGCATGGACTCTCCAGAGGTGACTGGAGGCACTGAACTTTGGTCTCTGAAGCTTTTTATTTTGCCCTGGAGACCTCATAGCATCATCAGCTCTGAGATTAGAAAGGGACCTGGGATAACTTTGTTTACCCTCCCATGCAATTCAGGAACCTCCCCCTCACTGTTACTATCCTAGAACAATGTAGAACAAGATGTAATAGAAAGAATAGACTTTGGAGCCCAACAGGTCTGGGAGTAAGACAGCTCCACCACTATCTGTGTGACTTTGGGCAAGTTATCTAACCCTACTGAGATTTGGTTTTCTCATCTGTAAAATAGCAGCAATACTTCCATTATATATTTTAATTAAGTCATAATGAGATAATGTCTGTAAAGCTTCCAACCCAACAGCTGGCAAAGAGTGTCAGCTTGTTAAATGCTAGTTCTCTCCCTTTCTGGAAGAAGCAGCTGTCAACTGCTGTATATTTCTAGATGTTATTCGACTCTTCTTTTGAGCTAAAATCTGTGTATTTTCACTGCCCCTTATTCTTCTCATGCTAACAGGGGAAGCTCTGACCAGGTGTTCGCAAAGGCTATTGAAAGGTAGTTCTGCTCTCCCCAGTTTGGAAGATCCCACCCTAACAGGATGCAGCATGTACTTATTTCGTCATTAATCAGAAATGGTTTTCCTGTTTTCATTTACTTTTCCTTATACAATGAGCCTCCTCAGTAGGCTGGGGGCCTGTGAAGGGTGGAGACGGGCACAGGTTGGGAGGGGTGGCAGAGTGGTAAGAGATGTTATCAATAATCTCCCTACCTCTTCTCCTCCCTCCCTGCTGTCACACCCAAGACATGTGTTGTTGTTGTTGTTGTTGTTGGTTTGAGATGGAGTCTCGCTCTGTCACCCAGGCTGGAGTGCAATGGCACGATCACGGTTCACTGCAACCTCTGCCTCCTGGGTTCAAGCGATTCTTTTGTCTCAATCTCCCGAGTAGCTGGGATTACAGGCACCTGCCACCATGCCCAGCTAATTTTTGTATTTTTAGTAGAGACAGGGTTTTGCCACGTCGGCCAGGCTGGTCTCGAACTCCTAACCTCAGGTGATCCACCCATCTTGGCCTCCCAAATTGCTGGGATTACAGGCGTGAGCCACCATGCCTGGCTTTGTTGTTGTTTTTAAATAAGTGATAATGTATTTGGTCAGTGCGGCCAGCTTGTTTCCTTCTGGAGACAGGCTAGGCATATGCGAACAGACATATACGTGGTTCCCCTTTTTTATTTTCTAGATATATTGTAGCATTCTGCCCACACTGATCTGCACCATTTTGCCTTTCTACCTGCTAATCATTTTATTCCAGAAGCAGAAGAAACTATGTCCTAGTCCCAAGGGACTGTCTCAATGAGACCCAAAGATAGGATCAGAAAATTTTCTCCCTCCTTTTCCTTCATGACATCACAAGTGTTAGTGTAACTATTTATTTCATGTCCTTCACAGCCATTAGGCTGTAGACTTCATGAGGGCAGGGTAACGCCTGTGTGGTTCACTGGTGCACCCCCAGTGCTTTCTACGGTGCCTGGAACGTTGCAGGTGCTCAGTAAATATGTGTCGAATGAAAGCTGATGGGGAATGGGGCCCCTGCATGGCTCCTCTAGGCCCCCTCCATTTCTCACCATGTTGATGTCCTGGGTTGGCACTGAACCAAAGGGAGAATCTACTACTTCCCATCTGCTCTAAACAAAGCCCAATCTTTAAAGATTCCAAAGTTCCTATGACATGACCCAAGTTTCTTAACAAGGCCTATGATTCCCAACATAATCCAGCCCCTGCCTACCATTCCAGCCTCCTCATTCACACCCTCACTCCCTGGTTTGCAGCCCGTTCTGGCCTTCTGTGCTTCTTTCCTCCTACCCCACCCCACCATCAACCTTGGAACCTTTGTACATGCTATTTCCTCTACCTAGAATATTCTTCCCTGCCCTCACACCTCTCTGCACCCCCCAACTCAAACACTTTCCCTGTTAATAGCAATGGTGACATTCATTCTTCTGGTGTCAGTTTAAACATCATTCCTCAGAGAAGCTCCTGATACCCTGGACTAGGTTAGGCACCTCAAATATCGTACCTCTTCTCTGAAGCCTTCATCACAAATAGCATTTGTTTAGTATCTGTTTTCCTGCTACACTGTAAGCAGGGGTCACGTGTGCGGTTCACCACTGGAGCCCCAGTACCAAACATATAGCAGGTGCTCAGTGAATGCTTAAGGAAGAAATAATGAATGAATATCATGTTGCCTCCAACTTAACATGTTCAATGATCCCTTAGAGAGTTTAGGGTACTTCAGCATCCATGGCCCATTATGATCCCACACTCATCAGCCCCTCTAATTTTAATCCTGAACCCTTTGCTCCAGCCAGACTGAAATGCTTGTGATTTCCCAAATGCATCATGTGGTTTTATAATTCCATGCCTTTGGGCTGGGTGCGGTGGCTCATGCCTGTAATCCTAGCACTTTGGGAAGCCAAGGTGGGCAGATCACCTGAAGTCAGGAGTTCAAGACCAGCCTGGCCAACATGGTGAAACCCCGTCTCTACTAAACATACAAAATTAGCCAGGTGTGATGGTGGGTGCCTGTAATCCCAGCTACTCAGGAGGCTGAGGCAGGAGAATTACTTGAACCCAGGAGGTGGAGGTTGCAGTGAGCCTAGATCGCACCATTGCACTCCAGCCTGGGCAAAAAGAGCAAAACTCTGTCTCAAAAAAAATAAAAATAAATAAAAAATTTAAAAAATTCCATGCCTTCTCACAGGCTGTTCCTTCTGCCTTGTACACTACTCTTGCTAATTACTAATCTGTTCTCCAAACAAATTAGATATTCACCCTCCTGGGACCCATTCTGATT
Source organism: Homo sapiens (assembly GCF_000001405.40). Lineage (NCBI taxonomy): Eukaryota > Metazoa > Chordata > Mammalia > Primates > Hominidae > Homo > Homo sapiens. The sequence goes on along the minus strand of NC_000011.10, from coordinate 120,311,995 downwards.
TGGGTGTCTTTCCTCTTGGTTCCCATGGCACTCCTATGGGGCTCATTCCTGCCCAACACTCCGCACATCTACGTGGTTGTAGTTTCTTGTCTTTTCTGGTCCCTCCTTCTCAGTTTCTTTCCTGATACTCTTCCTTTGCCCATCTTGCAAAAGCTGGTGGCATGGCCTTTGCTCTTTGCTTCCTCTACATAAACTCCATAGGCGAGTTCCTCCTCACCCAGGATTTCACCCACCACCTGCACACTTGTGACTCCCTAGTCCATGTCTCCATCCCAGCCTTCCAGTCTCACCTCCAGACCCATAATCTCAAGTGCCCAAGGACATTCCCACATGGGTATCCTGCAGGCCTCACTGTACATCATGATGACATAAGAACTGAAATCATCACTTCTTCCCACTCCCAAGCCATCTCCTCCTGCTTTTCTTGTTCTGTAAATGGCAATACCATCTACCCAGTTAGCCCAGCCTGAATGCCAAGAGTCATCGCAGAGGATTCCCTTTTCTTCATCTCTCTCCCTGCCCCCATCCAGCTTTCCATTCATTAACCAAGACCTTCTAAGGATTTCTTGAATCCCTCCCACCCTGTCATTCCTACCTCATGGGGTTGCTTTGCCCTCAGTCTTTCTCTGCTGGATACCTGCAGTCCCATCCTAACTGGTCTCCCTGCAACCCATCTTGGGCCTTTCAAGCCATCCTTTGTCCTGCAGTCAGAGTGATCATTCAAAAAAGAGAAAATTATCATGCCAATATCCTATGAAAATCCTTCAGTGATTCCCCCAAACCTTCAGTTCCTTAGCATTGTGTACAATCCCTGCACAGTCTGGCCCCTGCTGGTCTGTCCAGCCTCATCTTTCAACACTCCTCCTCATGGAACCACTTGCAGTTCTGTGAGCATGCCACACTCTCCCTGCCCCATTCCACAGCCCTTGTACTTTCCCCTGGGAGAGCTCCACCCACATTTATTTGCCTCTCATTCCTCTTCGTCCTTTAGACTCAGCTCAGGTATTAATTATCTCCTCGGGGAAGCCTGTCCTAATCACCAGCTCCCAAGGCTGGTTAGCTGCTGCTCCTAAGTTCTCCTGGAGAAATGATCATGCTGTTTTCCATTCGTTTATTTACCTGCTCCTCTGCTAGGCAGTGAGGTCCTCTGGGACAGGGAACAAACAATATTTATCTTTGTATCCCCAGCACTTGGCACAATATATAGAAGGTAGTCGGTAGCTGGTTGGTGAAAGAATCAACAATGGTGTAGTTTTTGGGAAACAGCTGTGTCCCACCCTGAGAAGGCTGCATTTCACCCATCTTACAGTGCTGAAAGACTGAAGGGCAACATCATTCTCCCCAACTCCCTTAACCTTCAACCATCACCATCCCCAGAGAAGAACCTTCCCACACCCACCCTCCAGATACCATTTCTCCCTGCATGGAGAAGGTATTTCCTGCCCCCTAAACTTCATTGTCTCCCTAGAACTTCAAATTGTTCCCAGCCCTGGCTTCTCCCTTGAACTCCAGAGTCACAGATATAACTCCTTCATACTCACTCTTGGATGCCTTGTAGGTATGTTCAACTTAATATGACCAGCCCCAAATTCTTAGTTTTTTTCCTCAAACTTGCTCTTCCTGCAGTTTTCATCATCTCAAAAAAATGGCAGTGCTTTCCAACGCATTGCTCAGGCCAAAACCCTTTCAGTCATCTTTGCTTCCTTTCTTGTATTCCATATCTGAGCACATCATGCTACTCCACCATCAAAGTCTAGCCAGAATGCAACCACTCCTCCTCACCTCCATGGCTACCACCCTGGGCCAAGCCTCCATCACACAGCCTGACCATTGTCATTCTCCTAGCTGGTCTCCTGCTTCCACACAGATTATTCCCCACATAGCAGCCTGTGTCAACCAGCTCAGCTTTCTCTGGCTAGAGCTCTCCAATGGCTTCTCATTTTACCCAAACTGAAAGCCAGGGGCCTTTCAATGTCCTCCAAGATCTTGGGCGCTCTGCTTCCTGTTTCCTCTCTGACTTCCTCTCCTACTTCTGGTCCCCTTTCTCGTTCTGTCCCCAGCCACACTGGTTGCCTTGCTGTTTCTTAAGCATACTGGCTCTTTTCACTTGCTAGGTCCTCTGCCTAGAACATTCATTCCCCCAGATATCCATGTATTTCATTCCCTGACAACTCTAGGTCTCTGTTCACACACCCTTTTCAGGGAGGTCCTCTCTGACCTCTCTACTGAAAGAGTATCTCCCCGCTATCCCCTTCTATTCCCTCGCCCTTCTTTATACTATATTCTATACAGCATCTCTTTGCTTATTTATTTACTGGATGCTCCCCTCTTCCCTGCAGCCACCACCTTCCCCTCCAAGCATCATGTCCCTCCAGTGCTTGGCAGACAGCTTGGTTCCTGGCCACTCACCAGCCGGGAGTTGTAGACAGGTGGTTTGATGGGTGTGGCCACAGGGCAGTTGATTCGCTTCTCCTTTTGGCGTCGGTTGCAGAACCAGACCCTCACCACCTCCTTCTCCATGGACAACTGCTCTGCAATCATGGAGATCTCCTCCGAGCTGGGTTTTGGGTTCTATAGGCACCGAAAGGACAGAGTATGGCCAAGAGAAGGGAATCAGGGGCAGGGAACAGAGGTCCCAAAGAAACAGGATACAACTATACATGGATCAAAAGCTTTAGAGTCAGACCTAGGATGAAATACTGGCTTTTTCACTTACTACGTGTCCTTACAAAACTTTCTTAACCTTTCTGAGCCTGTCTTGTCATCTATGAAATGAGAATAATCATGCCCACCACATAGGATTATTGTGAGAATTAAATGAGAAAATGTGTGTAAACTGTCAAGCACAGGGCCTGATACAAAGTAGGGTCTCCATAGATGTAGGCTGTCTTTCCTTCATTCATGAGTTCAGAGGAGAGAAGTCCATGGATGAGTTATGTGGGGCAGGTAGAGTCCCCAGAGCTGCTGCTCCCTTCTGTGTTCTTCCTTATTACCTGATGTCCTTCTCCCTTGTCATTTCTTTTTTTTTTTTTTTTTTTTTTTTTTTTTTTTTTTTTTGAGACGGAGTCTCGCTCTGTTGCCTAGGCTGGAGTGCAGTGGCGCGATCTCCGCTCACTGCAACCTGCGCCTCCCGGGTTCAAGCAATTCTCTCTGCTTCAGCCTCCTGAGTAGCCGGGATTACAGGCATACATCACCACGCCCAGCTAATTTTTGTACTTTAAGTAGAGATGGGGTTTCACCATGTTGGGCAGGCTGGTCTTGAACTCCTGACCTCAGGTGATCCACCTGCCTCGGCCTCCCAAAGTGCTGGGATTACAGGCATGAGTCACCATGCCTGGCCTGCCTTGTCATTTCTTCCTGTCCTCCTGTCTCAAAGCAGAAAATGAGAAAGCTAAAACATGTGGACCCATCAGGACTGTGGCATAGCAATACATGCTACACGGGCGCCACTCCCTTGTTCTGATCCTTCACACCTGGTCTCTAGCCCCGGCCACTTTCCCCTACTCCTACACCCTCCCTTAACCTTGCCACTCTAGAAAGCCTAAAAAGAAGGAAAAGCCAGTTCCTGTCATTCTGCTAGCTGGATATGGGCACCAAATCTTTGAGCTAAATGTGCGAGGAATCTGCTGGAGGGGCAGCAGTCCTGGAGGCCTGGGGCCTTTGGAGACGCGTGGTACCCATGGCGGCTCTGGAGGCTGGGATCTGAGGGAGCCTGGCTAGAGGCTGGCTAGGCCACATCTGTTTCTCCCTCTTCTCTTCCCCAGCCCACACGGGGCTCACAGCTTCCACATACTGGCTCAAAAACATGCTTTTGCTACAAGTTCCAAAAAACGTAGGTGTATAACACGATCACAAGTATCTAAATGTGCATAGAAAAGAAGGAGTAGAAGGAAATGAGGTCAGATGGCATTTGGCGATGGGCGTTTTTTTTCTTTCTACTTCCCTGCACTTAAATTGTTTACAATAAGCATTTATTACATTTATAATTTGAAAAATACAAAATGTACTGCATAGAAAATAGAGAACTTACATACAATCCCCTGACTTTGCTCCCTTTACCTCAACTGGATACGGAGATACACTGTGTTCTGGGACCCTATAGCCCATTCTTTAAATCTCCCAGTGAGAAAAACAAAGGGCCCTAAATAGATGTCAGGGCAAGAAGGGTCAGTGGAGGAGGAGGAGGTTCCTGGAACCTGAGATGGAGGGCAGCTTTGCACTCCAATACCTGGGCGCCTGGAGTGGGATAATGTGTTTTCTGATCGTGTCCCAGAGCAGGTGTGAGGTGCGGAGGGGCTGGTGCCAAGGGGCCTGGGCCGTGTCTGCTCTCCCTACCTGTGTGAGGTAGCCCACCCGTGCCCACCCGAAGGTGCTGCTCACATCTTGAAACCTCTTCTCCAGAGTCAGGCGGATGTTGGTCTCGATGCTGGTCCGTTTCTTTCTCTTCCTACCAAATACTTCACTGAGGCTGGGGTAGGAGCTGGGCGTGCTCACTGAGGGGTCTGACGGAGAGGACTCTGCAGGGACACGAAGGACCAGAGGAAGCTCAGAGAAGGGGATGAGTGGCCGGTGCCTTCATGGATCTGAGGTCCAACAACCCTTCCCGATGGGCTCTGCAGTGGCATTTTCAGGAGCAATCCCCTCCCCCAGCAGGGAGCCCAGAACAGACCAAGAATCCTATTTCTTTTCATTGCTCAGGGCAAAGGCCCTCCGTGGCCCTCCATTGTCCTCCATGGCCTTCTGTGGCCCTCCGTGACCCTCCATGGCCCTCTGTGGCCCCCACAGCAGTGTCTCCAGTGTTTGGGGTCACAGCTGAGGGATGCTCATGCATCGGTGACACATGTGGGTGTAAGGGGGCACTGGCAGGGCTCCTGTGAGTAATGCTCGTGAGGCTGCTGTTTACAGATATGCCTGGATGTGAATACTGAGTGAAATGTGAAATGAGATTTGCAGCCAAAAGCAATGGCACTTGGTGACAGACTGTTGGTGTTGGAGTCATTTTCCTGCCAGTGCAAATGTTTGAGCTAAGGCTGTAGGGGCCATAGGAGGGATATCCCTGAGGAAGGATTCAGGCATCTGATGGAGACTAGGAATGGTCACAGGGCCCTTCCCCAGAGATTCGAAGACCTTCGGATCATTTCGCTCATTTCAGTGCTTCCATAAAGGCTGTCTAAGGGACAGCCTGTAGGGGGAGCTTCCTGCCCCCTCCCATGCTTGCGTGTGGAGGCCCTTCCGTATGAGTAACAGCCCTGGCTGGCTGCCCCACCCTTTTCTCCCTCTCCAGTGTAACCACGAATCCATATGAATCGACTGAATAGAGCCCAGCCCTGGAGACTGGCTCACTCCCTCTCTCTGCCTAGGCCGGCAGTTCTCAACCGGGGGGGACTCTGCATCACCACCACTCCCCCTGGGACATTTGGCAATGTCTGGAGAGATTCTTGGCTGTTTCAACTGGGGGTGGATGCTACTGGCAACTAGTAGGTAGGGACCAGGGATGCTCAAAACATCCTGCAATGCATAGGCCAGTCCCTGGTAACAAGAATGACCTGGCCCAGGATGTCTATAGTGCCAAGGTTGAGAAGCCCCATCCTGTATGCTAGTCCCTGCTGCCAAATGTGAGGTCCCTTGGCTTACACGCTTGATCTCCTGGGTTGCCTCCCGGCCACCACCCCTCACTGAGTCCTCCTGCAAACCCCATTCCTGCTGTCAGGCTTTCCTGACCAGCATGGGTTGCAGTAAGTCCCTGTCTGCTGAAAACCTCCTCAAGAACTACCCAGGGAAAGACCCTGTGTCGTGCCTGTGGTCTCCCCCTCCCAGTGAGACCCTAGAGGCCCCACTGCCCTGTATCCCTGACTAGACTTATTCCAGACAGCAATCTGCATAAGTGTATCTGCTCTGCAGATCCAGACTTTGTTGCTGGCAAGCTGTCCTAAGATCTATGCTGGGTGGGATGGGGTAGGAATGGAATGGGGACAAATCCTGATGGACACAGACCTAAATCCACATCCTTCTGAGGGCTTCTCAGTAGTCGAGCTGACACTTTCATCTACACTTGCCTGTGTCCTGTGTCTTGTTTCTCCATCGGCTCCAGTCTCAGGAGAAGAAGGGGGTGTTAGGTATCAAACTCCCAAAAGCCCCAACACGACAAGTCACTGGCCCTTCCCTGCAGAGCCCTCTAGGGCCCCTGGCATCCGTGTTTGCGAGGCCTACCTGCATCATTCAGCCACTTCTCCAGCAGGGGCTTGAGCTTGCACATGTTCTTGAAGCTCAGGTTGAGGGCCTCAAATCGTGAGATGGTGGTCTGGCTGAAGTCGTTGCCATACAGCTTTCCCATCGCCAGCCCCACATCTCCCTAAGCGTGGGGACCGAGGGGGAGGAACATGAGAGGCAGCCTCCTCCTCTTGTTTGCCCACATCCTGCATGGTCCTAGCATCGATCACACAGCCAGCCTGAATCTTTGAGTGCTCACCCATGCTCGGCTCCTTTCCAAGTCTCCTCCCTCTAAGGTGAAGAATCGGTTTCTTTCTCTCCTTAGACTCTCAGTGGACCACGCCCACGTGCTCAGGAGAGCCAGCCCCTTTTCCACCTCTCATTCTCCTCCACCAGCAACGTCCTCAGTTTCCCTACCAATGGCAACTGTGCCCTATTCTCAGAGAACTCAGGGACATGATGAGGAGACCCCAAACACATCGAGCCTCTGGTCGCTCTTGAAACCTGCACTTGGGAAGCCCAGTCTCCAGCCGCTCGGCTAGACTTCTTCTATCTTTTCCCCTAAAACCAAACCTGTGTGAAGCCCAGCTTAATGCGCCTCTGCTTGAAGGTCTTGGCAAACTTCTCCAGCTCCTCGAGGTCACTGGGCTCATCGGCCCCTCCAGAGCTGGGTAGATGCTTGGGCACTGGGAGATGCTGGGATGCTTCCAGGTGGGGTTCTAAAGAGGATCCTGGCAGCCCAGGGTGCCCAAATGCCTGATAGGAAACACGCCAAGCAGATCCACCACGAAGATCAATAAATAACATTTTCTGATTTTTTTTTTTTTTTTTTTTTTTTTTTTTACTAATAGGCCCACTTAGAGGATGACAGATCCCTGGATACACCCTGGGTACATTGGAGTCTTATATTTTTCCAGTGGCATGGAAGTGGAAATTAAAGTTTCTATAAATGTATAGCAAATAACTGGAATATCTGGGTAGAAACATCAGGAGTGCAGGATAGGGAGGTGGCCTGAGTTTAGCCTGTGACTCACTTTTTGAGTCTTAGCAGGTTACTTCCTCCTTTCAGTTTTCTACCATAAAAGGAGCTAGCAGGGTTGTTTACAAAGATTCCAAAAACAAATCACAGAACTGGACAAAGAAAAGGTTGCTTGCTTTGTTTTTTTGTTTTTTGTTTTTTTCCATAAAGCAGGTAACTGAGGTGTTGAACAGGCATTAACTGAAGATAACAGGGGACATCCAATAACTCATGGCCTTCATAGAACTTTCCTAAAATGTCAAACTCTTGTGCCTCATTTTACTTTCTAAACCACCATTTTCTTTCATGAAAGTGTTTTGTTTTTAATCAAAGGTATTTTAATCAGTACCTTTATAAAATGCACCTTGATCACATTTGGGTTGCTAGGAGATATTCTTTCTTTCTCTCTTTTTCTTCTTCTTCTTCTTTTTTTTTTTGAATCAGGATCTCACTCTGTCACCCAGGCTAGAGTGTAGTGGCACAATCACTGCTCACTGCAGCGTCAACCTCCTGGGCTTAAGTCATTCTCCTGCCTCAGGCTCCTGAACAGCTGGGGCTACAGGCGTGTGCCACCACACCTGGCTAACTTTTGTTTTTTTAGAGACAGGGCTTCACCATGTTGCCCAAGCTGGTCTCAAACTCCTGGGCTCAAGTGATCTACCTGCTTTGGCCTCCCAAAGTGCTGGGACTACAAGTATGAGCCACCGTGCCCAGCCAAATATTATTTCTTGAGCTTATTTTCATAGGAAAACGTACCCTTAAACCTAGAACCATGCTGTGCCTATTTGGGGTCAGGAATGAATCCGATCTTAAGGACATCTATCATTCCACAAGGATAGAGTGGAATCTGGGCCTAGGGGTCCAGGCACTGTGGCCAGCTAGCTCAAAGGGCTAAATCCACCTCTTCTCTCCTTTTTGATTTACTTTTTGTAGACTAAACATTACTTCTTCTCCTCTGGGATATTTGGGTTTACCATTCAGATAGGTATCCTTATGATGAAGAAGGTAAAAGGACCTCTAGAGAGAAGTTTAGGAGTCTTTCCCCCAGTGAAGGGTCTTTTAGTCTGAAACCATCATGAATTTGGTCTTAGTTTGCAGGGAGAGGGTGTGTGAGGAGAGTGTGGCATAGACCAGACCCTCAGGACAAAGCCCCAGTCCTCTTTGAACCTTCCTTTTCATTAAATCATTTGTTCTTTCATTTGACAAAGACTTATGGGGCTCTCTGCTAGACCTTCTCCCTCCTCCTTTCATCTCCAATCCACTGGCAAACTGCACTGATTCAACTTCCCAAAGCATCTCCTCAATCATCCCCTCTTCTTATTGCCACAACTCTAAGCCAATCCTTTATGACCCCTCCCCTGGATGATCTTCATAATCTTCTATGTGGTCTCTCTGCTACCAGTCTCTCCATGCCAAAATATGATAAGAGATGAGAGTTGATCTTGAAGATTCTAAGATCTCTTCCAGCTGTAAGCCCATGGCTATGAGATTCTGGAGAGGGCAGCCAGGAGGAGGCGGAAGAGCAGCTTATGATGCTGGTGTCCCCATTTCAACCACTAGATGGCGAGCTTCCCCTCCAGGTACTTTTAGTGGCCTCAGCCCTCTCTGAAGGCCGGGCTCTTGGTGAGCCATGGGGATCTTAGCACAGAGATCTCTGCAGTCATTCCCAACCATTCTGCCCAACCATCTGTGCAGAGCCATCTCATGCAGCTGTGCAGGTTATTAACTGTACAGGGGCACCCAGATCAGGGGAGGAATGGCAGCTAAGATACAGCTCATGCTGCTGTCGCCAATCTGTCCACCTTGGCATGAGACTGCACCTGGCCAGAAGAGGTGCCTTTTTCCTAGTTGGAAAAAAGGTGCTGTGTGGAACCATGGCAGCTCTGCAAACAACCCCTCTCCCAGACCTCAGCCCACTGGCCTATATACGTGCCCACTGCAGGAGGCAATCTGGAATAGTGGCCCAGAGGTGAAAGACACTGGCTTTGTGGTCTGGGACATCAGGTCTGTAGTATTCTAGTCTCCCTCTTGGGGCTTGAGAGCACCTAGGTAGGGTTCGTGGCCATCTTGGTATGCCTGAGAAGTGAGCTGAGCCTGGCTCTCAGAGGAGCAATGCTGGGGCCTGTGCAGGGTTGGAGTTCAGTGCCTGGAGCATGAAGGAGGCTGGCCTGGGAGCTGGAATCTCTGGATTCTAACTGTGGCCCCACCAGTGACACTTGGTAAATTGTCCCCCCACTTGCTGTAGCTTGGATTTCCCCTGTGCCAATGGATAGTTCCCTGCTATCCCCTCTCCCCAGAGGGGTTAGTGCCCTGTTAAAGGGGTAGGGGGAAACCAGTGAGTTAAACTCAGTGAGAGCTGAGACATTCCTAGAGGAAACAGGAAGAATGGGGTTGTTTACCTGGGATGCCAGTCCCGGCCCAGTCTGTGGGAGGAGGAGACCGCTTTGTTGCTGTGGAAAGGGGAGGAGATTTGGCTGCAGACCTGGGTGAAAGGGGAGGGACAAAGGAACAGACAAATAAAATCCAGGCTATTTGAAACACATGTGCTACAACTTTGGCACCACGATCACTGTCCCCACCCCCTGCCACCTGATCAGGTCCCTCCACCCACCTCAAGTCCCATGGAGAGGCCCTCCTAGCACTGCCAGGCATTGCCACATACAGGTGGAGGCAAATCAGATACAGGGATAAACAGACATGTAAACAGCAGTCCCCAAACCAGTCCTTCCACCTGCCCGCCTGTCTGGAGAGGCGTAGAGGCTAAGGAGGGTCAAGACGATCTACTCTGGGATCTGATTACCAGAGCTGAAGAAAACCAAGAAGGGAAAGGATGCAGGGTGGCTGCTGAGAATTCAAGCTAGGGCTGAGGATTTTGGCTTTCCCTGCAGGAGAAGTAGCTGGGTTATGGCTACAGAGGCCCAATCAAATCTGCGAGGATGCCAGACCAAGCAGATACGACCATACGGCTCTAAAGGGCAGTGGGCCTTAGCCAGAGGCATGTGGCTGACCAGGACATTTTATACTTGGGAGAGAGGGCTGAGAGAGGAGGGAAAGTCCAGGGCTGAGCCTCTGGAAACTCCCTTGGGCAGTATGTATTATACCGGCTTCTCCATCCTCCCCAGGAAAACGGTACATGAGGGACTCTGCCTGGTTGGTGGCTCACTCTCCCAGCAGGAGTGGGGCCATCAAACCACCAAAGCAGACAATGGGGTTGGTCATCCCAATCGCTTGTCACTCAACAGCACTTTGGGGTCTCTGTTTTCCCTAGGCTGTTCTGGGTCACAATGTACATACAGCATCTGCTGATGTTGACCTTTATGCTCTTCAGTTTCAAAAAGTCAGGGCTTCATTGTTCATTATTAAAATACATAGGCAAGAAAGCTCTTACAAGGAATCCAGAACTGGGAGTTGAGAGGCTTGGGTACTAATGGCAATTCTGACATGGCGGTTGAAATGGATACAGCCTTTTCACATGCATTATTTCAAGTGACTCTCAATAATCTCATGAGGCAGAGCCTTGCTATTATCCCATTTTTTCAGAAGAGGAAATGGAAGCTCAGAGAGGTTAGGTAACTTTCCCCAAAACACACAGTTAGTAAGTGACTTTTTAAAGAAACCAGTAAATTTTTCTGACTCCAAATTTGGAAGTGTCTTTCCACCACTGCATCATACACTGACCTAGGTGGTTATAAGCCTGGGCCATTTTCATGTCGCTCTCCAGTCTTCTGAAAACAAATTAAACTGTTACCTTCCCTTTTCCATTCCAGGAGTATGATGTTTATTTTTTAACCAAAATAAACACTTAAAAATTCAAATAGGGTCTCATTCATCACCATAATATTCTGAGGTGCCTTGGAAACTAAGGATAGTGACTGTCATTTGTGCAGGTGCTAAGGGCGGAAGGCAGAGTTGCATTTTGTTTGGATTCTGGATTTCCAAAACCTCTACTTGGGATTTGTGCAACAGGAGAGAGTTTATACTTCCTCCATTATTTTTTTTTTTCAGAGACAGAGTTTTGCTCTGTCGCCCAGGCTGGAGGACAGTGGTGCAATCTTGGCTCACTGCAACCTCTGCCTCCCAGGTTCCGGTGATTTTCTTGCCTCAACCTCCTGAGTAGCTGGGATTACAGGCATGCACCACCACACCCGGCAAATTTTTGTATTTTTAGTGGAGACAGAGTTTTACCATGTTGGCCAGGCTGGTCTCGAACTTCTGGCCTCAAGTGATCCGTCCACCTCGGCCTCCCAAAGTGCTGGGATTACAGGCGTGAGCCACCGAGCCTGGCCAACCCTCCATCACTTTTGACCCTAGCTGATGGAGATGGGAGTGGGACAGGCAGCACACTGTGATGACCAAGAGTATGGGTCTCAGCTAAACGGTTCTGGAACTTCCCAGTAGGTCACCAGAGGCATAATAGAACTACCTACTTTACAAGGTTATTTTGAGGAATGTCAGAAAAATTACTCAGAAGAGCTCCTGGCACATCATGCTCAAGAAATGTTAGCTATTTATTAATAGTTCAATCTATTTGCTCTTGGCCAGGGAGAAGTTCTCTGCGAGTAACTTCCCTGCCAAAGAAAACCTGAACACCCTTTCTACAACCTGTGGGTGGCACTGCTGCTCTCTCCAAATAGAATCACAGCCAGGCTTCCAGGAAGCAAGTCTGAATCTGTGTCCAGGAGAGATTTCCAAGGAATTGGGACTTGTCTGTACTGCATTTCCCAGGGCGCTTCCCCTCCCTTGTACAGCATAGCTCTGCTCCACGCCTGCACCTTCCGTCTCCACTCACCACGAAATTGAGGAGGTGGACCAGACCACCCAACAGGAGGCTGGGAAGGGGAAGCAGAGAAGGAGACTAAGCCTGGAGGAGCATTGCCAGGGTCCCTTCCTCAGACCCTGGGGTGGATAAGTAGGTCTTAATAGCAGATGGGTGACTGACTGACGCATGCTCTCCAATTAGGCCCCCTCACCCAGCAAAAAACAGCAGCAACAGCAGCACTTGACTGGACTTGGTCTAGGTGGAAACCCCCAGGGTTCTTACCTTGCTGCCCAGGCTGGGTCTGAGATAGCAGGAACTGGGATACAGACTGTAAGTGGCCGGGAACCAGCACAAGCTGCTGGAGCGGATGGAGGGAAGCCATGTCCTACACACGGAGAGATACACATACACCACAGAATTTACAAGCTGGGGACATCAGCCCCATCTGCCTGCCACTCGTCCGTCCCAGGGGTCTCCAGACTCAGAGACTTTGCAGGCTGACCTTGGTTTATGCCACTGTGTATCCCCAGTGTCTAGCAAATAGTAGCTACTCCGTTAACACTGGTATTGTTACAGCTTCTGCCCTCAGCCTAGGAGTCCTTACTACATATTGTTACTTAACCCTTGCCTCCTGAGTTAATTTTTGTATGTGTCAGTCCTGTCTCCCAACTAGACTATAAAATGCCCTGAAGGCAAAGCCTGGGTATGACCCATCTCTCAAAGTTTATCCTAGAGATAACATGCAATCCCCAACTATCCAATTCTTTTTAAATCTCATGCCACCTGGTTATGCTAAAAGCCATGCCTCGGCTGTTTCCTGGGCCAGAATCTTTCCTGGAGGGTGTTGGGGTGGGAGTTGGGGGGTGGAGCAAACTATTCATTCTTAATAAAACCAATTTAGTTAAACAAAAAGTCCAGGATTTCTCCTACCAGCCCAGGACATAGGACTAATAATTCCGATGCTTGGGGGATCGGGGAGTCCTCTGCAATGGAGACGCCAGAGCTCTGTGCCCCATGAGGTTGAGCTTAGGTTTGTGCACATAGAGAAGACCTGAGAAGCCCTGCTAAATGGCAGGTGAAGGGACAGATGCATATTCTTATGTGTTTCCAGAAAGGGGTGGCTCTTTCTCCCCCAGGTGATCCCTGCTGAGAAGAGGTCTCGTCATGTGAACGCCCTCCCGGACCTTGGCTGTTACTATCTCAGACGCCTCTTTCTTCCCCCACCAGCACTCCATTCTAGTTTGGCTCTAACAAAAAACCTTAGGGGAGGCAGAGTGGGCCCAATGGGGACAGAAACATTCTCTAACTGCAGCAGCAGCTGTCAACCTAGGATTCCCCTGAATGTGGCTGGCAGACACCAGCAGCTCAGCTGTTAGGTCCTTGGCTTTGGCAAGCCTGGGTCCTTTTTGTCTCTGAGAAGTAGAGGCCTCCCTCTTCACCTCCCTAGCTAGGCTTCACCTGTAAGAGGACTGTTTTAGAACCCTACTCACAGCCTCCAGATCTCTTTCCCACATTGCCTGCAGGGGGTTCTTTAGACGAGTACCAAGCATGGAAGTCGAGCATTTCACAGAGGGATTGGGTTAAACACACTGGCCCACTGTGAAAATCACAGTGTTACCTGACATGGGCTGGCATTTAGCCCAGACATTTGGTTTCCGGACATCATGGCAGGTCCTTGACTCAGGTGGCATGGCCGATGGGAGAGGGTCTGCTGCAGGGAGTCACTGAGATCTTCGGTTTTAATCTGCAAGTGGAAGCAAGAGGAGAGCGTCAGTGCTGGATCCCGTCAGGCAGTCAGAGATGGAAATGGCAGGAAGATCCAGGCAGGAAAGGAGTGACCAGCCTAGAGAGGAGAGAGCTAGCCCAGGGCCTACTGGGCTGCAGCTTACTTTTCCTGCCTGTGTGTGCCCTTCCAGCCAGGGCAGCTGGGCAGAGGCCTGTGTGAGTGACCCTGAAATGACAAAAACGATAGTGTAGTGAGTTTCAAAAGTAGGGCTCGATGTAGGAATTTGAGACCAGCCAGGGCAGCATAACAAGACTTCGTCTCTAAACCAAAAAAAAAAAAAAAAAAATAGCCAGGCATGGTGTTACATGCCTATAGTCCCAGCTACTTGGGAGGCTGAGATAGGAGGATCATTTGAGCCCAGGAGTTTGAGGCTGCAGTGAGCTATGATCACGCCACTGCACTCCAGCCTAGGTGACACAGTGAGACCCTGTCTCTTAAAAAAAAATGGATTAAATTCTTAGAAATTCTGAGATGATATTCTTTTTTTTCTTAGGAGGAAGAAGGTTAAAATTTATTTAGGACAGGATAGTGATCCTAAATGGCATTCTTAAAACTCTTTACCTCACAGAGTAAAAAACTGGCAACTCTTTACTGATCTCCCTCAAATTCTGTGTTTTATTTTCCTCAATGGAATCTCATCTATGAAACCCCAAAATCTGGGCACCACTGATCTGGAGGAGTCTCCCTCCCCATCTCATTTGTCTCCACACCTCTCCATCCTCTGTGTCTGCCTCTGCAGCTGGCCCTCTTCACCTGTGTGGCTTTAGTGACAGTCTTTGCCTGTCTCCCTACAGGTGAAGGCATGTCTCCCTCACAGCCAATGCTGTAGTTACAGCCTGAGGGGCCCGTGGTGGTTTCCAACCTCTCTCCAGTCTCCACCACCCTGCAATGACAGTACTAACCACCCATGCGTGGGCTTCCCAGGTGTCCCAGGGCAGGGCAGGAAGTGCTGCTTGTGCCTACCCCTCATCCCATCCCAGGAAAACTACCCTCTTGCAGCTTTTCAGGAAGTCCCTTGGGAGGGTGTCCATGTGACTTTAAATTCATATAATGTGATGGGGGCACGAGCTCTAGACCATACTTATAAGAGATATTGGGGAGACCCTCCTATGTGGACATCTGGTTGTTCCCTATCCAGATAGAAACTCTTAGCCATAGAGATGCTGGCTTAAACCATTTTCTTGGTCTACACTGCGAATATCACTGACATCCTGGGATATCTTCTGTTTGTGTTAGTTTAACCTAAGTTAAAAGTTCAGACTAACAGCTAAACTTGTGCTTAATTCTTGCGGAAAAAAATGGTGCTTTGGATCACTAAAGAAAGAATTCCTTATAAACAGCTCTATTATAAAGACATATGCACGGGTTATGTTCATCGCAACACTATTCATAGCAAAGACATGGAATCAACCTAAATGCCAGTCAATGATAGACTGGATAAAGAAAATGCGGTATATATACACCATGGAATACTATGCAGCCATAAAAAGGAATGAGATAATGTCCTGTATGGGAACATGGATGAAGATGGAGGCCATTGTCCTTAGCAAACTAATGCAGGAACAGAAAACCAGATACCACATGTTCTCACTTATAAGTGTGAGCTAAATCATGAGAATACATAGAGGGGAACAACACGCACTGGGGCCTGTTGGAGGGTAGAAGGTGAGAGGAGGGAGAGGATCAGGAAAAATAACTAATGGGTACTCAGTTTAATATGTGGGTGATGAAATAATCTGTACAACCAACTCCCATGATACAAGTTTACCTGTATAACAAACCTGGACATGTACCCCTGAACTTAAAATAAAAGTTAGATAAAATGAAAAAAGAATTATCTTTGGTTGGACAATTAGGAAGATCCTACTAACATTTGAGACTGAGGAGGGAGCTAATGTCCTAAATATGGTGCCTTTCACATAGTGAAAACCCAAAGAACATTAATTGAACAAAAGACATAAGCAAAACCCATTTCTCCACAGCCTCCAATGAGGTACAGGGAAGAAAATGTTGAAGATGTGCATTGAATGCTGATCTTGTTTCTAGCCCTAACTCCGACTCTAATTTACTACGTAATCTTGAGCCTCTATGGGACTCAGCCTCTATGGGACTCAATTTCCCCGTCTATTGTATGATAGTCCATGATTTTTCTCCCTGTCGACAAATGGAATTACAAATTCCAATTCCCTAGTGCATTTGGTAGACGTGGCCCATCCAGGTTGCTGCTGTGTTCTTAGACAAAGCAGATCTAAATAACACCAAGAAGCCCTGGTTGCACAGAAATTGGTAAGAAGATGGCTGTTTCAGGGACAGTCTTTGGAAATCATTCCTCTCACTTAAGGAGACTATTATGGAACTCTGGAAGCAAAGAGAAGGAAGCGGGAGAGATGGGAAATAGCACTGTGGGGGTAGAGAGTCAGACATTCAGAAAACTCAAAAAACATGGCTGCCTGGGAGTTGTCTCCAAGAGCCCCACTTCTTTGCTCCATGCCCCTTCAGCTGTGCCCATCCACACTTGGCATCTCTAAGAAACTCTGGTGTCCTAGTTCTTCTCCCCAAAATTAGAGTTTCCATATCCTTAGATTCCAGGAAAACATGTGTTAGCAAGTTTTTAAAAACTAGAAATAGATGATAAACTACTTATTTCAAAATGACCACCACCACTACAACTTTAAGGTTTGATCTGAGAGGGGATTTTACTTAAGCCAAGTCTTTGTGGTCCCCACCTCTTCCCTGCATAACCTCCTCCTGCCCCCAGGCATCTGCCATCCCAGAGGGTACTGGGGAGGCAGGATGGAGGAAGGGGGACAGAGGGAGAACGTGGAGCACTGGAGGTAAAATCATGCTGGTAGAACAGCCTCTGGCAGCTTGGCCCACTTCCATCTTGGAGGCAAGTGGCAGGGTTCCTCTGTAGACTCATTATGCACAAGGGAGAGATAAGGAGAGGCAGCTATGACAGAGCTTGAAAACATGTGCTTTGCCTCCAACCTGGGCGCTATCTGTTAGAATCTGTGCCAGGTCTTCCTGCAACACTTAATTTCAGAAACCAGCGCCATCATAAAAGAAAACGCACCCTTTCATCTGCTTCCTGGATCAATTGCCCTTCAGACTCTTTGGGGGGCACTCCCAACCTCCCAGTTGTAAAAATGAAGTGCGTGATAGCAGAAAAGCCCTTTGGGTGTAAGTTTGGGGGCTTTCTGACAACCCTCTGCATTATTTTTATGATTCGTTTGACCGACTTTTTACTCTTTTATAATTTTTATTTATTTATTTTTATCTTCTTTACGGTTCCTTTGGATATGGAATCTTTTATTTTTCATAATTCATTACCTTCTGGGTGTGAAGTGCTGATAGTAACCCCAAAAGAAGACAATCCTAACCAATCAAATTGAAAGATAATAAAGGACACTGCTTTCTTGAGGACAAGTTCTCAAATCTCAGCTTTGATCAGCGGTCTCTATTAGCTGAGTTCAACAGGAAGGAGGAAGGGTACATCGACAATTCCCATGGCCTCTGACAGACATCTTTGACACTCTCAGGGGTTCAGAAATGAAGAAATTAAGAAATAAAGCCTTCCTGAATTTACAAAAATCCCTTTTTACAGCTGTTAAGGGGAAAAGGTTGGAAGCTTTCCAGGCAACTGGGTGTTGGTTGTGGATCTGGAAGATGAGATAGAGAGACTTCTGTTGGATCCCATTGACTTCTAATGTGAGAACCGGAGGCAAATTGGACGAAAACCCAATCTCCCCCGTGCTTGTGAAAACCCAACCAAACCCACAGCCTGCCTGGAATCAAGAAGATCATCTCCAGGGTCTCTTTGGCAGTTCTTCTCATGCAGGTGGAGTGTTTCTCCAGACTTTACTTGGGACGGACGCATCCCTGGAGACGTGGGTCACCACAGGGTGCTCTGCCCTGCCACAGCCACTGAGCAGCCTGTCCAGCTATTGGACAAGCTTTGTTGGTTTAGGATCTTCTCCACCCACTGTGCTGTGCAAAGGTATTACACTGAGTCTTGGGCAGTGACCAGGAAGGTAAAAATGTATCAGGGATGATTATCTTTTCTGATCCCAGTGAACTCTCTGACATCACTTACTTCAGAAAGCAGTAGCCTCATTCTGGAAGGAGAGAGCCCCTTCCAAGGAGGTGGAAGCCCTTTCTGCATCCCTCCTTGGCTTTACCCTCATAGCCAGGAGGTGTGAGGACAAGTGTTCACCCTTCCATCTCACAGAGGCTCAGAGAGCTTCAGAGATGGTTATAAACTCATATAGCAATACCCCGGCAGAACTCTGACAAGAGAGTGGTCTCCTGACCCTCCTCTGGTGCTTTATCTACCAAAAAATATTACACACATCCCAAGGGTAGGAGAGAGAATAGACCATCGGTGACGGAAAAGGTGGTCTTCTGGCCCAGACGTACACTGAGACTTCCTTACTGACCATCTGTTTTGGGTTCATGGAATGGGGCATGGTGAGGCTGGGGTACTCATCTTTAACCCCCTCCCCATGACATTTTCACAGGGCCCTCTCTGGGGGAAGACAGCTCAACACTAATGAATATATCACTGGTGATGAAAATGATCAAAGCTGTTGTCCCAGTTGCATAACTCGTTTGTGGAAAGTGTTTCATAAACATTTCACAAGAAGGAGCGTTTCAAAGCGTGAACATCTCCCAACCTGCCTTCAATTTCAGGCAAGATTTTTTTTTCTTTCTCCCCCTTTCTACACTTCTCCCTAGCAGTGAGGAAGAGTTTCTGTTTTGTAACTGATATATAAAGGATTGGCAAATGAAAACATTTTAAAAATATATTCTAAGTGGTGGAATGGGGCAGATGGGTAACTCCTCTCAAGTGAACAGGGCTGAAAGTACCCCAAGAGATACCGGCTGCATTTTTGCTTGGGGGATTCTCCCATCTCCATGGCTCTTAGCTGTTCCTTAGGAGTCCAAGGCTCCTGCCTCCTCAGATGCCTCTAGGAAGTGCTTGGGGAGATGACCTCATCCAGCCCCTGGACTCTAATCAAACCTACTATATAGCAGCCTAGGTGTGCCTTTGGCCACACAAACTAGGATTATCACCCTGAGAGCATCAAACTTCTACAAAAGGAGGGATGGAAGAGAGGAGACATATGGCTCCTAGGAGGCTGGGACCATGTGGGGTTGCTACTGCTGAAAAGACGCTTTCCAAAAAGCCATCCTTATTTTTCCTGCTTGTGCCTACTCTGGAAATGCAACAATCTTATCAGTCATGTTATTTAATGCTTTGGCTTCAGTTCTTAGGACATAGCATTGCTAGTGCTGACACATGCATGAAAAACCCCTTCATTTTAAGCCCATAAAAGTTTTCTTCTCCCTCTGGAATATAAATCCCCTGAATTCAGTTCTAAAAATGTTGGGAGGGCGCTGTGCCCTCATGGCAGACCCACCCTCACTAATGCTTCATGGTGCCCAGGACTTGAATCATTTTAACCAAAGCACTGCTGCGGAGCCCTCCTGAGACACCTGCAGCATCCTCCCCAGTGGGCAGCTGCACTGATGGGAGTTCTCTTTTGTGAACCTCATCCCCTCTGAGCCAGCATCTGCTCGTTCTTTTGGTGGCCTACCTGGTAGAAAAGAGGACAGAGCTACCCTCTCTGGTTCTTTGACTAGGGAAAAGTACGACACAGAACTTTTGATTTGCCCCCCACAGAAGGCTGTTCTGCCCCTAAATAAGTGAAATGGCAGAAGGAGAGGGTGTGGGAGGCGGGAAGAAATGCTAAGCATCAAACTCTGAGAACTGTTTCCAAGCCCAGTGGCTGTTCTTGGGAAGCATCTAGTGTAGAAATGCAGTTCATCATCACACTTTTTTTTTGTTTTTGTTTTTGTTTTTTTTGTTTTTTAACATATCCCTGGGCTGCTTATCAGGGAAGGACTTTGCTGTCCCCAATGGGGATGATAAAAAAGACATCCAGCAAATAAGCACAAGGCTCAGAATCAATCAGGATCCTGACTTCAGGACCCATCCTTGCCTCCAACTAGTTGCATGACCTAATATTACATTACTTCACTCATCTCTGTAGTCCTAGATTATTCCTCCAAAAAGAAGAGAAATAGACCAGATGAAATCTACTTAAGAAATTCAGGCTGGGCACAGTGGCTCACACATGTAATCCCAGCACTTTGGGAGGCTGAGGTTGGTGGATCACGAGGTCAGGAGATCAAGACCATCCTGGCTAACATGGTGAAACCCCATCTCTACTAAAAATACAATACATTAGCCAGGTGTGGTGGCGGGTGCCTGTAGTCCCAGCTACTCAGGGGGCTGAGGCAGAAGAATGGTGTGAACCCGGGAGGTGGAGCTTGCAGTAAGCCAAGATTGCGCCACTGCACTCCAGCCTGGGCGACAGAGCTAGACTCCATCTCAAAAAAAAAAAAAGAAAAAAGAAAAGAAATTTATAATGTATAAAGAGAGAGTAGGAGTAGACTTATAAGCATGTAAGTATGCTTGCTATGTTACAAGACCCATTTTATAGATGAAAAGACTGAGGCTTAAAGACATTAAGAAATTTGCATAAAGCCACACTGCTGGTAAATAATGAAGCTGAGATTTCAGTCTAAGTTGGTCTGACTCCATATTTCTGTACAATCCTCACTCTCTGTGTGTGTGATGGAATTATAGAATTATAGACTCTTCAAAGTTGTTTGGTGTAGGTTGCACTAGGTGTATGACAGATATTCCAAAATGTGTTGATTGCCTTCCTTCGCCATCAGAACTGGAAGGAAATATAGACATCACCTGGTTCATTTTACAGTATGACTTCTGAAGCCAGAGAAGGAAAATAACTTGCTCAGGGAAACACAGCTAGAGCTACAGTCAAGTTAGTCCTAAAGACCAAGCCAGGGCTGATTAGCACGGATCTGCTAACTCCCTATCCAGTGTCCAGTTCATTCTACTGCACTGCCACGTGTCTCTGTCATCTGTTTTTATCACTCTGAAATTGTTGCCTACTCTGGCTATTGTAATAACTCAGTTGTAGCCCTAATCCTGCTGTTCCCCTACTGAGATTTAGTCGCAGTCAAAAGAAAGAACTCTGAACCCCACTCAGAGTTCTCAATGACTATGCAGGGCAAGGTTCAGAATCAGATAAACACACATCTGTTTGATATGGAAACATAATGCACTTGGCTTTGGAGCCAGCATCCTGTATTTCCTTGAGTCTCACATATACAAAGTAACTACAAGGTGGGATATTTGCTCTTACCTCCCCCATTAGGAGGAGAAGAGGTAAAGAGAGGAAAAAGGTGGCTCAGGAATGTCATGAAATCTCTGTCCTAGTGTGTATTTTACTATGGGGTTCCAGATGAATCCAATAAAAGGAAGTGCACATGCCCTGTCCTGAACGTACACACGCGTGCACGCGCGTGCCCATACACACACACATATACACACCAACTTATGATCGTGAAGCACTACACAGATTAGTTACAGGAGCATTAGCTCAAGAAAGAGAAAAAATATTTTTTAAAGCACTGTAGAGATGAGAAACACTTTCAAATATACCATCATTTATTCTTCTTGATAATTCAATGAGGGAAGTAATCTTACCAAACTGTTTTAACAGATACGGGAACCAAGGCTCAGAGAATTTAAGCAACATTCCCAACATCACACAGCTAGGAAGAGGAGAGCCTGACTCTCTACATGGTTATTTGGCCTCCAGACCCCTCCCTTCTGCCTGTACCATGCTGTGAGGCACCTGCACTGGGCCTCCCACTCAGAATTCTGGGCTTCTGGAAGCTACTGAGAGGTGCTTGTTCACTCCAGCCTCTTCTGTGTACTACATTGCTTTTATGTATGGTGCACAGTTGGGGTAAACATTTCCAGGCTACACTTACAAGTGTAGTCTGGGACTTTACACATATTTGTGGCCCAAATAGTTACTGAGAGTGAAGTTTTCAACAGGTCTGAATGGGAATCTCTTTGGCATTTCCTGAGTAAACCTGTGATTTGGAAGCTTGCCTCTGAAGGGCATTGGATAAATGAAGCAAATGGTTATCTCTGGTAATTTTCATGGTTTAGTCTTCCATGAAGACTGAGGTCTTCCTTGTCTCTTGTACTCCTGTGGCACCCCAAATCAAGTGAGGCAGCCCGAGGTCTGTTTCAACAGCAGCTGGAAAAGGTGGTCTTCTGTGTGGCGTGAATGAAACAGTTTCCTGCCCTATAAAGGTTCCCCTTCCATTTCAGTTTAGTCCAACAAACATTTACCAAGCACCTACTGTATACCAAAAGGCACTAGGGACACAAAGATGAATAGGAAGCCCCCAGGTTAATTGAGAGGCTGTGCAAGTCAGAGTCATCTCCTACAGAGCAGTACTTCTAACATTCAGAAGCAGGTAAGAGGTGGCAAAGAAAAGGCTGCCATTCGCTTTGTCAGGGAGGAGAATAGCTAGAGAAAAGGGAATGAGATGAAGAAGGCTCTCGGAAGAAAAGTCCTTCTAAGCAACCCTGAAGGATGAAGAAAAGTTTGCCAGGCAGCAAAAGCAAAGAAAGCCATCCCAGGAAGCGGAAGTGGAAGAAGCGGAAGTGGAAGAAGCGGCTCTGTCCAAAGTCGCAGAGGGTGAAACGGGGCTTTCTCTTCCTGTTCAGGATCTACCAGCAATTTGGGACTGCTGCTGTAGGGGAGGGAGAGGACAGGCGGGTGAGCAGGCAGGGGCCCATGGCAGAAGACAAAAGAGTTCAGAAGGGACTCTGAGGGCATGGTGGAACTAAAGTAAAGGGGAGCGATTGCAGTGAGATTTTAGTTTTAGTTCAGTTATCCTAACAGCCCTGTGGAATATGGATTTGAAGAGAGCATGACTGTAGCGAGGGTAGCCGGTTAAAAAGCTATTTACCGCAATTGCCTAAGTAAGAACTCAAGAAGATGAGCCTAAGGCCCAAACAGCGCAGACTGGAGAGCTTTTAGAATATAAAATGTATTTCCACCCCTAAAGGTTTCTCTTTTTTAACAAAGGGCTGTTTATTTCAGGAATTGTCTGTTGAATGCTTCCAGGACCAGAACTAGCACAGAAAAAAATCTGAAGGTCCCTAAGCCAAACTGCTAATCACAGATGCAGCAGAGAGCATTTGGGGTTCTAGAAGGTATCCACTTTCTAAGCCATATATTTCTGCAATGTTTGATTTTTAAAAGCGAATTCTTAGTGTTAGATTAGAGAAGATTAAGATGAAAGTTAGTAAGCATTCAAAACGTCACGTGTCTATATAGAATGTTACAGTTCACAAGATGACAAAGTTAGCTGTAGAGCTGCTTCTTTTGCCTGTGAAAAAGGTGTCTTGAGAGGTTTAAAGGTACATTATCTAAATGAACAGACATACACCCATATATGAAAATATGCACATGTATGTATTACATACATGTACATATGTAATACATACATGTGCGTATGTAATACATACATGTGCGTATGTATATATTTAAAGCAACTACTTGGAATTGATCTCTTTGTCCACATTTTGTGTCACTGTCTCGCAGTAGGCAACACCAGGGGTGTGGCCCACAGACCTCACTTGTACATCTCCATGATGTTCTGCAGTTTACAAAGCACTTTCAAACACATTTCTGTTGATTTTCAGAATACTTTCATGAGATTGAAAAGGTAGATAATGTTATTCCTGCTTGTGGAAAACAGGGTCATAAACGGTGAGAGATTTGTCCAAGGCACATGTTGGCTAGCAGGAGAGCTGTGACTTGAACTCAAGTCATCTAAAATTCAGCGTACCTTTCAAATGCCTAGGATTTTCTCAGGAATCCTTCCTAAAGAAGTGGATTTTCAGTCACAGAAATCTATCTCTTGAAGCTCCAAAGCCTTTTATTTCGGTTTTGGATAGACATTTATTGGTTTCTTTTCGAATAGAGATCTTGCTGAAATGTATCATATACATCCCTATTTTGTCTTAAAGCATACCTGAAAGATAATTTAGTCAATGACTCAGAGTCATAATTTCTAACTTGTTTTAAAAGCAACCATGCCCTCAGGGATACTGATGTGTTTGACCTCTGTTGGCTGTAGTACTGTATGGCCCCAGACTGCCCTTTTTTCTTGTTTTTTTTTTTTTTTTTTTTGGTTTTTTTGTTTGTTTTCTTTCTTTCTTTTCTTTTTTTTCAGCTCTGAGCTCTGCTTTTCCCAGTTTTTTTTTCTTCCTTTCTCACAATCAAGTTTATCTCTGCTTCTGTTGGTATGCTTGCTTCTAGCAATCCCCTATTCCAGCTTGAATTTGCACTTTTATCTGCTAAGGGTTAGAAAAACCACATCATTAAGCTCAGTAGACCATCCCTAAAATAAAAGTTTAAGGCTCTGAGAAAGGGCCTGGCTTGAGGTCTCATTTGCTTCCTTCTTACTGTCAGCTGTCTAAATAGGTTGGCTACTGGCTCTCTGGATAAGTGAGGCAATGCAGCACTGCCATGAAGCTCTCTTTAACACTTGACTTGTGCTTTGGCTTAATTTGTATTAACTAAGTGCCTATCCTGTTACACCTATTAGCTGGGGACAGGGCTCTAGGCACAAGGGTTGGCTGAACCTACTCAATTGACAGTTTAAGATAAATTCTCTAAGGCTAGGGAGCAGCTACCAAATTTGTTACCAAAAGGCTGAGTGGACTTGAGCCAAGGGACTCTACCAGTGTATCTGAGTTTCCCTATGTATAAAAGGGAAATAATCTCTGATACATCCCCAGGTCTCAAGGGTTAGGGCTGAATGTCTAGAAAACCTGTTCCAGGGAGGGCTTTCCTTATTTCTGTCACTAAAATGATTGAAGATATGAATTTTGCACACTTAATACCTGACAGACCTATCTTGCTTACTATGGCCTGCCCAGCACAGTGCATAATGTCCATCACTTAGTAAGTGCTTATTAAACATATGTGGTACTAATGCATAAATACGTTTGACAGTCCTCGCATATAGGAAATTGAGTCTCAGAGAAGTCAAATGATTTCCCAAAGGCCATATAGCTAAGTGGCAGAGCTTGAATCTAGGCCTGACCAAATCCCCCAAATCAACCCTCTTTCCACCATATCATGTGACTTATAAAGTTATGCCAAACTAGGTTCGTTTCCTTTAACATCAGGTTTTTAGAATGGGGGATCAGACAGATACTATCATTGAAATATGTAAATATGTATTTAGGTACTG
Source organism: Homo sapiens (assembly GCF_000001405.40). Lineage (NCBI taxonomy): Eukaryota > Metazoa > Chordata > Mammalia > Primates > Hominidae > Homo > Homo sapiens. Next base: position 120,287,059 of record NC_000011.10, on the reverse strand, counting down.
TCCTGGAGGTCAAGATGAGGTGGTATGGGCTGAGATAGGGTTGATTAACGATGGGTCACTGTCATCTAGGAGGGACATCTCCAATGGTATGCCACAGGACCCTGCTTGTGGTCCACTGTGGCTAAGAATGTTATCAGTAAGATGGATGAAGATGTAGCATGCATACTTATTACATCTCTGCATGAGGAGCAGGGCCAGCTAATACTCTGCGCGGACATCAAGATTCACAAAAAAAAAAGCTCAAACATATAGCAGGAAGGGAAGCAAGTCATAAGATAAAACATAGGAACAAATATAAAAATCCTTTACTTAGAAATATGAAAATTAACTGCACAAGTTGAGACAACAATTTATATGAAAAAAGACTTGAGATGCATTAACTGACTCAAAGAGCGTATAAGTTGACAGTGTGACATAATTACCTTTAAAAAACCCCATAGGATAGGCGGTACTAACAGAAGTAGAGTATCTGAATGGAGGGAGTTTCCTGTACTGGACTGCATTATTCCATGAGGGCAGGCCCCATTACTGCCTTATTTGCAGCTGGCACAAGTAGAAATCAGGGCAAGAGAAAGGCATAGTACCTGCTCAATAAATACAATCAAATAGGTAAATGGATGGCTAGATGAACAAATAGTTACACCGTGCTCTGGCCCGCCTGGATCTCACCTGAGCATTGAGTGTTATGCTGTACACTTGTGGATCTCATACTTAAAGGGAGTGATTGGCAGACCAAAACACATGCATGTAAAGGCAACAAGGCACAAACGAATTCAAGGAGTTCATCACAGCGTTGTAAAATAAAGTATTGGAAGCAACCTAATATCCATCGATTGGGGAATGGAAAAGTAAGATTATGTTAAAACAATAGAACAAGCCAGGTGCAGTGGCTCACGCCTGTAATCCCAGCCCTCTGGTAGGCCGAGGCAGGCAGATCACTTGAGGTCAGGAGTTCGAGACCACCCTGGTCAACATGGCAAAACCCCATCTCTATTAAAAAAAAACAAAAATGAGCTGGGCATGGTGGTGGGCGCCTGTGATCCCAGCTACTGGGGAGGCTGAGACACGAGAATTGTTTGAACCCTGGGGGCGGAGGTTGCAGTGAGCCGAGATAGCACCACTGCACTCCAGCCTGGGTGACAGAGCAAGACTCCGTCTCAGAAAAAAACAGAAAAACCCCCAAACAATAGAACATTATGTGGTCATTAACAAAAATCATATAACTCTCTATGTACTGCCATGAAACAACCTATAAACATTATTTAAAAATTTTAAAAGCCACTAAAGAATATATACGGTATAATTTGTACATATGTGTGTAGGCCACAAAAATTTATACATTTCCATTTGTAATATATATCCAGAGAAAAAGTCTTCCAGACATATATACGCTACCCTGATAAAAGGAGTTACCTCTGGGAAGAGGACTGAGCATGAACAGGGATAAAAATAATCTTCCTTTTTAATCTTTATTATGAAATTTTTTTATAACCGGAAAGTATTCATGTATTAAGTATATAACTGGTTTAAGGAAGGCATTCAGCAGCATAACATATGGAATCGTTTACAGATCCAGGATATTTACACAGAAAAGGGATGATTTCAGGGTGATGACTCTTCTCAAATATTGAAGGGCTGCCATGTGATTGGGACAGACACAGGCCCTGAAACAGAAGCGGGCAGAGTGACCAAGAGAGGTGATGGCGTCTAGCATTTCAACCCACTCAGTCCTGAAGCAGGCTGGTAGCAAGTCTGAAAACCCAGGATGAGTTTTGGCAGAGACTTGGGACCACAGGCCATCTGACAGGGGTGTCAGCAGAATTGGTATATGAGGCATAGGTCGTACTGGAATCACTCTTTCTTAGGCTTTTGAGGCTCATGATTAGTAAACATTTCTTTTTTTAGAGTCAGATACAGTTGTTTTATTTTGCCAAATAAGAATAGTAAAGTAACTAACATCACCGACTCTGACCTTCGTTTCATTACGTGCACTAAATATTTTAACACCAAAAATGCAAAATCTTGAACGATAAAAATGGAATATATTTAGTTCTGTACACCTGCACTCCATTTCTCCTTTTAAAATTTCACCGCTGAGGGTGAAAGACATTATATTATGAATAAACAAACGTGTCAACACACAGGATTAAAAGGAGGAAGACAGCCTTGTGTCAGAGCAGCGGGGCTCTGTGGGATGCTGCTGAGAACAGGGGACAGACGGCCTCAAGGACCCATTAGCCCTAAAAGTCTGTGAGTTTCACACTCACCCCGGGGCTAAAGGCTCAACACAAATTTATCTCCACAGTTTATGAAAAATAATGTTACAGTGATGTCATGTGTCACTGGATGTCCCCAACCACACTGTTTCCATTCAAATGGCCAGGAGAGGCAGCCCCAGGATGGCCACGTTACTTCCTAAGGGGCGTTTAGTAAGAGCCCTGTTCTGGCTTGGGATAATTAGCTGATCTAACTACAAACCTCAAACTGGGTTGGTCAGAGTCCTGCACACACTCCGGGTCCCTAGAGGCTAGGCCCTAGCACCCAACAACCACCAAGCCAACACTGAGATGCCTCTGTAAATAGCTCCCGGGCCCAGCCGGCAAGTGGTAGGGTTAGGCAATATTTACCAGAGCTGACTGGATGGAGCCCACTCCACACTCTATTTGCATAAAGCCAACAAGTTCACCTTCCTGGGAAAAGGGGGCAGGTTTTGTGGATCACTGGATGCAAGAAAAGACAACAGGGAGCAAAGCAGCCACAAGAGCAGAGGAGATGGGCATTCGTGGCCCCCAGGAAGCGGGGTGATAGGCAGGTGGAGAGGTTCAGCCCAATAATCCAACCGTGCATTTATTTACTTACTTAATTTATGTATTTATTTTTGAGATGGAGTCTTGCTCTTGTCACCCAGACTGGAGTGCCATGGTGAGATCTCAGCTCACTGCAATCTCCGCCTCCCAGGTTCAAGTGATTCTCCTGCCTCAGCCTCCCAAGTAGCTGGGATTACAGGTGCGCACCACCGTGCCCCACTAATTTTTTGTATTTTTAGTAGAGATGGGGTTTTACCATGTTGGCCAGGCTGGTCTCAAACTCCTGACCTCAAGTGATCCGCTTGCCTCCATGCATTTATTTAGAACACACTTACTGAATGCACCAGTAACTGAACCGCACAGGCACTGTTCTACCATAAATATGATACAGACCCTTTTCCCAAATATTCCACTGACTGGTGGGCAGGGCAGACACACACACACACACACACACACACACACACACACACACACACACACGAAGCCTATTAAGGCACACAGGTGGAGGTAGTGGAGGGGGTAAGTTGGAGAATGAGGCATTTGAACTGAGTTTGGAAAGATGAACAGGAACCTGAGAATGAGATGGGAAGTGGGGAGAAGGGAGTGGGTGGGGGCAGGCTAGGGTCAGGGCTCATGCAAACCAGAATCAAGATGCCTACTTCTCTGTTCCTCTCTGCTTTCGGGAGCTTCCATCATTCCAGACAGGATTCTCGTTGCTTCCCAGGTGGTACTTGGAAGTCTTTAGGGCCCAGGGAAGGAGGGGAACTGGAGGCCTCTTATGCACTTGGACTCCCCAGATCCTCAGAGGCCTGCCTGAGCAGGACGGGGCAGCCCACTGGATGCTGCTGGGTTGCCACATCCTGGACAAAGTCACAAACCCCAGATGCTGCTGCTCCATACCTTGCTTTATGCCAGAAAAGCACCTGTCTCTCCCAGGTCACGTGGGCAAGTGCAGCCTCTACACAGTCTGGGGAGTGCCCTAAATAGCCAGAAAGCTGCCCTCTTCCAAGCTGACAGGCCATCCTTAAGGGAGGCACCAAATCCTCAGAAAGGAAGTTGGTTCTGGTTCATGTCAGACACCTAGGGAGGGACTCCTTGTCTTCAGGCAGCTTCACTGCTTCCTCCTCCCAGACAGAGTGGTTAGCCTTCTCTGGCTTGGCAGCTCTCGCCTTAGAGTCCAAGTCCAGCTTGATCACTCTTCTCAGCCACACTTGCAAAAGTCCCAGCCCAGAGCTAGGAGCACAGCTCTCCACCATTGGCCTCTGCAGGAACCCATGTTTACTGCCAGTGACTGGGTATCCAAATCTTCCTAGGCTCAGTTTGCCAGCTACATAAGTGGCCCGCAAAACCCACTTCCAAGCCCTCAGATGAAACCATCCACAGTGATGGCCTAGGTTAAGTTTTAAAAAATTTCTTGTTAGGATCACACACTGTGAGATGTCATCAAGGGGGAAAATATAAACATAAAAATCTTAATGTATAACTTGCTTTAAGCAAAGCCTATAGATGATATTTGGCTCTAACTGACCATAAAAATTCATTCTTTGATCTCTGAAAATATTCAGTCTAATATTTCTCTTTTTTTTGTTTGTTTCTTTTTTGAGACCGAGTCTCTGTCACCCAGGCTGGAGTGCAGTGGTGCTATCTTGACTCACTGCAAGCTCTGCCTCTCAGGTTCAAGTGATTCTTGTGCCTTAGCCTCCAGAATAGCTGGGATTACAGGTGCCCGCCACCATGCCTGGCTAGTTTTTATGTTTTTAGTAGAGACAGGGTTTCGCCATGTTGGCCAGCCTGGTCTTGAACTCCTAGCCTCAAGTGATCCGCCAGCCTCAGCCTCTCAAAGTGCTGGGATTACAGGCATGAGCCACTGTGACCAGCCTAATATTTCTTTAAACACAGATTCTCTGGTGAAGGAAAATAATATTTCATTGATGAAACTTTGATTTGTATACAACATTTCAAAAACCACCCTGTTAGGTATAGTGAGGCATGCCTGTGTTTGCCTGGCCCAGACTGAGTGCATAGCCCAGACCGAAAGCATGGCTTTCTTATGACTGCTTTAGTAATGACTGAGTGAAGCACCAGGGCACAGGTAAGAACACTCAGAAGAAGGCCAGCAGTTGGGGGAATCTGAGAAGCACTGTCATCTGGAAACGGAGGAACCAGAGGTCTTCAGAGCCTTCCAAGGGCAAAGCTAAGAAGAAGGGGTGAACTGGAGCCACATGGATATGAAATGGGGCAACTGGAACCAACATTGCTGCTAAATTGTTGCAATGGGAATAACAACAACTCACAGTTATTGAGTGTCTACTGTGTCCAAGACACTTTACACTCAAGATTCATTGAATCCTCCTCCTAACAGCATTATAAGGTTGATCCTATTTTTCCTCCCATTGAACAGAGAGGAAACTGACACTTGGAGAGCATAAGTCACCAGGTTACACAGATTGTGTTGGTGGAGCCAAGATTCAAAGCCAGGTCTGTGTAATGCCAGAGCTCGATCTGCAACCACACTGTCTGCTACAGGACTGGAACCAGGGACACCCCACAGCAGTCCGTGCTGATGAAGTATACGGGAGGAAATATGAGTAGATGCCAGCGCAGGGGAGGGGCTGCCAAGAAAGAAAAGCACAGCAGGATGTGAACTAAGTTATCTTCAGCATTTGGGAGCCAAGAGGGCTTTGGTGGAAAAGGGAGGGAAGTCTCAACACTTGATCTGAACACAAGCAGCAGAGGTCAAGGAGGGTATGGGGGCCATGAAGGCAGCGGTGATCAGTGGGACAAGCTGGATTTGGAGATAACAGACCTGTAGTGAGCACAGCCCCTGTGATCCAGCAGTCACAGAGAAAAGGGAATGGAGTAAGTCCTGGCTCTGCTACTGAGTTGCAGGCCAGTCAACCGTTTGGGCCTCAGTTATCTTCTTTGTTAAATGAGAGCACTAACACCCCCTTGACACAGTTCTTGTGAGTGGAAAAAAACCTATTGGCTTAGAGAAGCCCTCTGGAAGTTGTCAAGCAGAGAGGGACATAAAACTCGCTGTGACCTGGTATCAGGTAGGAAGTGTACAGGGACACAGAAACAGCACCTGAGCCCCAGGGTGGCCTCCAAAGCCGCTTAAGGGTCAGACTAGGGGGAAGGAAGCTTTAAGGTGGAAAAAGTTTATTTTTAGCCAAGGCTATGATTCTGGGAGAAGACGACTCTCTGGTTGGTTACAAGAGCTGCAGGCAGAGCCCTCTTTGACTTGGGGGCAAAGAGAAAGCCAGGGCCCGCCCCCTCCCTGCAGGCACACACAGGCAAACACTGCCTCTTCCCTGGACCCTTCTCACGCACAGGCCCAGGGAGGCGGCTTCTCGAAGGGCCAGGGGAACCCTCTTTGGGTGGGAACACTTCTCCACCCCACCCTTTACCTGGCAACCCTCCCTGAGCCTGCAGATACTATCTCTACCATCTCTGCTGGCAAGCCTCAGCCAGAAGAGGTCTGCGGGTGTTGGTATGACTGACAGGGCTTTGGAAACATGGAAAAGTACTGGACACATGTCAAGTGAGGGGCTCTGGGTAACATTAGGTCATGTCTCATTTGCAGGAGTGCACACACACAAACACACTCTCTCTCTCTCTCTTTTTCTCTCTCTCTCTCTGTCTGTCCTCTTTCTCTCAAAAGCAGCCTGGTATGGTAGAAAGTCAGACAGGCCTGTCTTACATCTGAGCTCCACCTTGGGCAAGTTACTTAACCTCTCTGAGCTACAGTTTCCCCAGCTTTATAATGGGAAGAATAATGCTTACCTCACCAGGCTGTTGTAAGGATTAATTAGGTAATCTCAAGTAAGATATCACCTATGTAAAGTGCCTGGCACAGCACTTCAACTTTGGTTTGAATTCTGGCTCTAAGCAGGTTGCTTGACCTCTCCTAGCCTCAGTTTCTTCATCTTTAAAATGGAAATATAAAATCTACTGCTCTGGGTGGCTATAGGTTTAAATGAGATACTGCTTGCAAAGCACTCAACCCACTGCCTGTTATAAACTGAAGGTTCAATAAATAGTATTAACTTCCCCTGTTATTGTTTGGGGCTAAATCCAGCTTCCCTTTCAAAAGCCTTGCTCCAAAGAGACGCCTGCTTGAAAAAGGGAAGGCCTGGCCCTGCTTTTAGTGTCATCAGTGTCTGCATCCACCAAAGGCAACTCACTGAAATCTCCAGAGAGAAGCCACTTTTTGGCTCCTGCACAATCAGGTGAAGGACCCCTACCTTCTTCTCCCTCCTTCATTCTCACTGTTCTCCACCCAACACCTGAGCCAAGACGAGCATTCGGTCTCCGCTACCCATCCAGAATGCATGCAGAGCTCATGCCAGTGCTGGAGCCGGAATCAGCTAGGCCCAAACCCCATGCTGCAGAGGGGCTTTTTGGTGGTGTTTGGGGCTGTCTGGTAGACCAGCAAGTACTAGGCACAGGCTTCTGGAGAACTCAGACAGCTGTTCCTGTTCCTCTGTGCTGTTCATTATGGGGCTTGCCACAGGGCTTGGTCCACCCAGTACTGGGGCTGCTGCCCAGGCTACAAACAGGAAACAGTTGACACCTGAGCCTCAGGCCAAAGCACCAAGCATGGCTGGCAAAAGAGGACAAATTCCCACCTCTCCAAAAACAAACACGTTTACCAACTGCTTCCCCGCCCACGCTTGCAGAGGGCGGTGGGGCTGAGATTGGGAGATGATGGATTCCAGAAAAAAATTACCTCTCTAATAGCATCTGCAGCCCTCCAACCTGGTGCAAGCCCAGCTAAGTAACCACACAGGGAGAAGGGTGGTGGAGAAAATGATGGGTTCTTATTCATCAGAAAATAATAAGAGCTAATGTTTATTGGTGCGTTATTGTATACCAGACATTATTCGAAGTACTTTATAGATCTTAACTCTATTCATTCTTACGCCATCCCTAGGAAATAGATACTCTTACTGTTCTCATCTTCACATGAGGAATCAGAGGCGCAGAGGAGTTGACCAATACAGACAATATGACCCAACCACCATATCACACGGCCTCCTCCCGAGACAAGCAGGCAGTGGTGGGGGGAGAACCACAGAGTCGGGAGTCTGGCAAGCCTGTCTTTAAATACAGACTTCTCTGTGAACAGTGTTATGATGGGAAAATTCCCTAACCTCTCAGTGCCTCAGTTTTCCCATCTATGGAATAGGAATGATGACAACTACTTCACAGGGTTGCTAAACCCTTTTATACTCAATGCCCGGCATACAGTCAGAGTTCAAGAAATGCTATAATTATTATAGTATCTTGACTACAATGGGGACATCACTTTGGAGAAGGGAGTTATTTAATCTTTTTTTATATATACTTTAAGTTCTGGGATACATGTGCAGAATGTGCAGGTTTGTTACATAGGTATACACGTGCCATGATGGTTTGCTGCACCCATCAACCCGTCATTTTATCAGGTATTTCTTCTAATGCTATCCTTCCCCTTGCCCTCCACCCCCTGACAGGCCCTTGTGTCCATGGAGAGTTATTTAATCTTGCCAATTATCTCCTGCCTGAACATTCTGCTCCATATCCACCTAATCACTCAGTCAGCGCAGCTCATTCCCTGTGGGGGTGGCGCTGGTTTACACACCCCTTGCTCTGACATTTTTAGGAATTTTTCAGACCCATCTCCCTCACTGGATAAACAGCAAGTAAGTTCTCTGAGGGCAGAGGCTGTATGCATTCTTTCTGGGGGCGCCTTTTCCTGGTGTTGTATTTCTATGTGGAAAGTCTCCAGCCAGTCACATCTGGCTCTGTCTCCTGGTAAGAGAAGTGACTTATCCCCTTGGTGGGTCAAGGTCACTCGTTCTCACTGGGGATCACAGCTACCCCGGGAGATGTTTTCTGAAATCTGTGGCGTGGTTTCTCTGGCTGTCTTAATAATTAGGAGGCGTGGTTTGCATTTATTGGGCTGAGGGCAGGTACTCTAGACATCTTGCGCTGTAGAAGACAGTATCAAATAAACACTTCTTTGCATCCCATACAACTTTTTATATGACTTCCAAGTGCCCCACCGGACATCTGTGTCGGTGAACAGCCTGACTATAATCATATAAGCCCAAAACCCAACTCTATTTTTTATGTGAACACAAAGTATCTTTTACACACTCTTAATATGCATTTTACCCAGGGATGCCATTTTCTGTGTTAATTGAGGAAGTATTAGATTTGGCTGGAGCTTTACAAAGAGTTGTTTAACACTTTGAAAGATTGTGGCTTTTGAGCAGCCAGGATAGCATACCAATATCAGCCTGTACTTGTGTCTGTCACACTCATAGAGGCATGAGGGACCTACTGTCTCATTAAACCTTTTAGGGGAATATGTCTAAGGATATACCTGCTGAAATACACATTGTTTTATAAATTACTTTGCTTTTTCCTTTTTATTCAAATTAGACAATATTACTGATTTTTATTTGTATATCTGTTTTTTCTTTTTTGTAACGGAGTCTCGCTGCTGCCCATGCTGGAGTGCAGTGGTGTGATCTCAGCTCACTGCAACCTCCGCCTCCCGGATTCAAGTGATTCTTGTGCCTCACCCTCCTGAGTAGCTGGGTCTACAGGCATAAGCCACTGCGCCCGGCTAATTTTTTTTTTTGCAATTTTAGTAGAGATGGGGTTTTACCACGTTGGCCAGGCTGGTCTGGAACTCCTGACCTCAGGTGACCCACCTGCCTCAGCCTCCCAAAGTGCTGGGATTACAGGCGTGAGGCACCGCACCTGGCCTATGTTTTCTATAAATTTCACTCTAAGATATTAAAGGGGTTTTACAGGAGCCTCATTACAAGAGACACTGGATCTGATAAAACTGAGAACATCAGGGTTAGAAGGAGGTGGAGGGTGTGGCTTGGTCCCATATGGGCCTTCTGTCCAGATCTGCCTGTTGACTAGGAGGGTGCTTTTTAAAATTTTTTTATTTTTTATTTTTTGAGACAGAGTCTGGCTCTATCACCCAGGCTGGAGTGCAGTGGCACGATCTCGGCTCACTGTAACCTCTGCCTCCTGGGTTCAAGTGATTTTCCTGCCTCAGCCTCCCAAGTAGCTGGGATTACAGGCGTGCACCACCATGCCCGGCTAAACTTTTTTGGATTTTTAGTAGCTAATTTTTTTGTATTTTGTATTTTTAATATTTTTTTGTATTTTTGTATTTTTAGTATTTTTATTTTTGTATTTTGTATTTTTGTATTTTTTAGTAAAAAATGCATATTTTTGTAATTTTGTATTTTGTATTTTTTATAGAGGTGGGGTTTCACCATGTTGGCCAGGCTGGTCTTGAACTCCTGACCTCAGGTGATCCACCCACCTCGGCCTCCCAAAGTGCTAGGATTTCAGGTGTGAGCCACTGCACCCGGCCAGGAGGGTGCTTTCAGGTCTGTTTTCTGCCGGCTCTATCTGTGCCTAGTGGATGTGTTTAATTCTGCAGTGAGGTCTTAGAAAGCCTGTTGTGGCCAGGCATCAAAACCGTATCTCCAACATAGCTCTATCTGTCAGGCTCCTGCATTTAAATTTCTGCTTTGACATTTTGGAGGGGAGAGAGAGGTTATTATAGACTGACCCTGAAAACCCAGCTGTACTGCTTAGGGTTGAGCAAAATGTGGTTTGTTGGCTCCTCATCCTCTTCTCTTTCTTAGCCTGCCCCGCCCTGCCCTGCCCCACCACCCCCAAATCCTGTGTCCACCAGGAAGTACAGGACTGGAGGCTGGATCCTGGAACAGAAGCAAGCAATCCTCAGGGGAACAAGAGTCTTTCAGCCCTCAGTTCTCATCCTCCCAAAGAGGTCTCGGAGCCTCCCTCCATTGGACCCACTACCCTGAGGCTCTATTCTCCTGGCATGGCTTTCTTAGGCCCTCTGAACCAGCCCCACTGACCTCCCTCTCTGCGGCAGACCCTACATCTTCCCCACTGGGCTGGGAGCTCCTGTGGGCAGGGACCATGATGTACTCTTCTGTGTCTTCCTAATAGTCAGCTAAGTGCAGGTTTGTGGAACTAAACAATCCAACATGGCCTATTCATTCCCTCCCTTGCTCTCTCAGGCTCAGTGGCTTTGGTGCTTGCTGTCCTGAGGCTGCTCCTGGTTGTGGGGGGGCACTTACTCTGCCATCACCACGGACCCTCCGTTGCCAACTCCAGGGCCTGGCACTGCTGCCCCTGCATTTCCCTCACTGGCCTCCCTGAAGAAACCTCTCCATCATTCTGGGTCCTTGGAGACCTTTCCGTACCTGAATCTTGTTGATTTTAAAGAAGATGCCCCAACGAGCCAATTAATTACAAGTCAATTTGTACTCGGAGCAGCTAGAGAACCGTGGTAGTTGGTTGGTCACATTCAACAAAACAATGATGGAAAATCCCAGTTGGTTTAAAACTAAATGCTACACTAGGGCACACCAGGGCAACTCCTCAGGACGAGCTGGCGCAGGTGTCCAGAAACAGGCATGGGAGAGCCATTGGTGCAGGTGAGCTTAGAATGCTGCCAAGTGTGGGGCTGAGAGGAAACCCCAGGCCACTGATTCTCAGCTTTTGGGGCAGGAAACGTGGGACAAGGACAGCTGCCAACTTGCTTCAGACTCTCTTCTGGCCTCACAGGACTTTTGGGAGGTCTTCAAGCAACACAATGCTCAACAGCATACATAAAACACTGTCCTGATCTGCCTGGTGGAAATCCATGGCCCTGGAAGATGAGGGTTCCAGAAGTTACCGGAACAGAGCAGGTGTGAGGCCACCTACGTATGCAGTTGTCATTTTGGAACCCCCAAGCCCCTTTAATCCAATTCTACCTCCCAGTTTTCTTCTGAAGTTAGCTGGTGGCCCAAAGAGCAGGAAATGGAGTGGAGAGACTCCAGGCAAGGACAGCTGTGCCCTGGGCTCCTGAACACAACTGCCAGGGCACTCAACCCTCCTTCCCTCTCAGAAGAGCCCTCCACTGGGGTCCTCCCACTGCCACCACCAGATCCCTCTTTCCTTTCTCCTGCACTGCCTTTCCTAGCTTTCCCAGGCCACACTCACTCAAGTCCCCTTCCTCCACAAAAGCCTTCTTTTCACACTGCCTCCATCTTAAGCCAAACACCTCCATCTCTTTATCACCCTATTCCTCGAAAGGGAATTCTACAGTCCAAGTCTCCATCATTTCCTTGACTCCTACTCACCCCTCAGTGGCAGCAAGCTTGACATCCACTCTCACTGTGGACCAGACAGACACCAGGCAGAGGCTATCCTTGCCTGCCTGACTTCCAAGTTCCTAGCCAACTTTTAGGCTTCAGACTCTACTGTATTGCTCCGTATGCTCTGATGCTGTTGGTTTTCCCCACCTTCATGAACATCTCTCCTTTGTGAGCATGGCTCCCCTCCTGTCCCTTTGACCTTCCTTCCTAGTTTCATCTATAGACATCCACTCCTCAGCCTGTCCCTTAAGTGCCCTTCTCCAGGTCTGTCCTTGGTCCTCTTCCCACTCTGCACATCCTCCCCAGGTAATCCCATTCCCTCTCATCACTCCATGTAATATGATCCAGTGGCAACTCCCCAATATGCATCTTCAGTCCTGCCTGTCTCCTGGGCTCCAGATCCAAATTTCTTGCCATGCATTGGGCTCCCAAAGCTCATTCTCTGCCCCTCCTTCTCCTCCCATCATCTGGATAAGTTTGTTCCACCTCCTGTCTTCTTGATGATAGGTTGTGGTTCCACCAATGTTCAGCATCTCAAGCTAGAATTCTCAGCCATGTTTAACTCATCCCTCTTCTTTGCTGTCCATGCCCAACCTGTCGCCAAAATCTTCCTGATCTTATCTCAGAATTATCTCTTAAAGCTGGGTCTCTCCATGCCTACTGAAATAGTAATAATAATAGCACATATACAGTGTATATGTTCAAGATACTTGTCTAAGAGTTAGCTACATATCATTTGACCCTCACAATAACCCCGTGAGACAGATATCACTATTCTCCCCACTTTATAGATGGGAAGATTGAGGCACATGGAGATTGGAGAACTTGCCCAAGGTCACATGGTCAGGTAGTGCTGGAGCTAGGATTCACAGCCAGGCAGCCAGGCTCTATGTTTGTGTGCATTTCCTTCCTTCCTTCCTTCCTTCCTTCCTTCCTTCCTTCCTTCCTTCCTTTCTTCCTTCCTTCCTTCCTTTCTTTCTCTCTTTTTCTTTCTTTCTCTCTTTCTTTCTTTCCTTTCTCTCTCTCTCTTTTTTTTCTTTTTTTGAGACAGAGTCTCGCTTTGTCATCCAGGCTGGAGTGCAGTGGCATGATCTCAGTTCACTGCCACCTCCACCTCCCAGGTTCAAGCGATTCTCCCTGCCTCAGCCTCCTGAGTAGCTGGGATTACAGGCACCTGCCACCACACCCAGCTAATTTTTGTATTTTTTAGTAGAGATGGTGTTTCGCCATGCTGACCAGGCTGGTCTTGAACTCCTGACCTCAGGTGATCCACCCACCTAGGCCTCCCTAAGTGTTGGGATTACAGATATGAGCCACTGCGCCTGGCCTGTGTGCATAACTTTCATGCTCTGTCTGTATCCTTCACATTTCTGGCTACAGCAGCATTCCACTGGGCCTCTCTTGCATCAGTTCATCACTCATCCTCCCTTCCCTTCTCACCCACACTCCCCTCCAATGCTCTTCTAGTAAATGAAACTAGTCATGCTTGAGAACACCTAGTAGCGCCTTACTGCCCACAGAATAAGCCCCAGACTTCTTTGCTAGGCATTCAACATCTTCATAGCCTGGCCTAACCCAGCAAGGGAGACAACTCACTATCCCCTAGGCCTGGAATATTCCTGCCAACCCTCTCTGCTAGTCAAAGCCCTACTCTTCCCTCACCACCCACTTCAGACACCATCTCTTCTGTAATATCCTTAGGTAGAGCTTAGCATTCTCATGTCTCTCACAGAATTCACTATGCATCGTTGCAGTTTATCTTCTTACAACAGACACCTCTCTATCCAGCACTTAAGAATGGCTGCATATTCAAAGGTTGAATGGATGGTCCTAGATCCAGCCTACTGGGTCCTTCTGTTTCACCCTCTAGATTTCAAATGATTCTTTTCGCTGGCTCACACACAATCATAAAGGCTGGAAAAATTCCATGTGACATATTTCCCCTCACTCTCTACAGCTCAAGGGTGACTTTCTTCCTGATTTCTCTTCAATGGACAAATAAAATAAAATGGAAGTCGAGTGGAAGTCAGATTCCAACTAACCAGCCAAATTATGGCAAGAGATAAGTAATGACACCGTAACATGAAGACTGTTTGGGGCCTCAGACAGCATCTCAGCCAAGCTTTTCCAGTTTATTTGTCAGGAAACAGAACCCCAGAAAGAAGAGGTTTGTATAAGGCAGCAACTAGTGAGGGACAGACAGCACTGGAACCCAGGACTTCTGAGTCCCTATCCAGGGCCTTAGCCTGTTGCCTCTCAAGTCTATCTTATCTGTCCTGGGGATGGAGGGTTGGCCTTGCTTCTGGGTCCCTTGACCTTCCCACCCTTTTCCCCCAGACAGACTCAGTCTGCCTTCCTGGGACCAGGAAGTTAACAGGCTCAGTGTGGAAACTTCCCGATGAGCCATGAGCATTCGTTGCTCATGCAACTTCAGGACTGTGGTTCACCCAGAATCTGGCTGCACCAACTGGCCTGGGGCCTTGCAACAGGAGCTTCACCCAGGGCAGTGGCTCTTTCTCTGCTCCCCTGTTTCTGCCAACCCCTTGTCTGTGTCAGATGCAGAGGCTGCTCCTACACAACCATTCTTTCTTCCCCTCCCTACTCCTTCTACCTCCCATTTCCTCCCAGTTAGTCATGGTGAGGTCACACTCAATCTCTGGCTCCCAGGCCTCTCCCCAGGGATGGTGTGTGGATACAGGGAGCAGGGCAGGTGCAGCAAGGCCTCATGGGAAAAATGGGCTCTGGAGTCAAAGAGATATGGGTTCAAATCCTGGCTCAGCCTGTCAACCAATTGTGTGAACTTCATCAGGTTATTTAATCTCTCAAATCCTTCTCTGAAAAAGGCGGGGCTGCCTGGGAGGCAGTTTTCTCACTTATGAAATGAGGATCGTATCACCTACCTCATTGGTTTAGAGTGAGAATTAAAGGAGATACAGTGCCAGAAGCGCCTTGCCCCGAGCCTGGCGGTTAGCAAGTTTTAGTTTGCTTCCCTTGCTGTGAAGTGTGAGAGTGTGACCCTCAAGCAGGGGCCTGGGAAGTCCTGGGTGCCCACCCACTGACCTGCAGGTGAGCTGGTGTGAGTGTGAGCGGAGGAGAGCTCCAGCCTGAGTGTGTAAATGAACGTGACCGGGCAGAGTGTCTCTTCCTCCAAAATTCCCTCCACCCTCTTTAAAGGAAAGATCTGTCGTGTCTGTTCTTGTCAGTGATGAGAATCCAAACCCCTCCCAGAAGAGGGAGGGGACAACTCACCCCACAAGGCTCATCCAAGGGAAACAAACTCCAGCAAGGCCCACTCCCAGCAGCAGCCACCGTGTGGGGAAACCATACTACAAAGATGTTCCAAGGGTCAGGGGCCTCCCAGGGTCAGAGGGGCTGCCCTCATCCTTCTCTCCAGCACTAGTGTGTCTCAAGCTTCCAACAAATCACATGGGCCGCCAAGCCCATGGGGCCTGTGAAGCTGGCCACCTCCCCGCAAGGCTGGCCTTGCCATGTCTCGGTATGGAAGAGGCTCCTCCCCGTGCATCTTGTCCCAAGGGGCTGGGGCCAGGAGAGGTGGGCCCTGGGCTGGGGAAACCTGAGTCCTCAGGGCAGAAAGCACAGGGCCCAAGACACATCCCAACCTGTTTAGGATCAGGATCAGAGAATCCATCAGAATCACAGAATCCTTGGGCATCTCCTCCATTTTCCTGCCCTTGAAGCAAACCTGGCCAAACTATCTCTGAGGTAAGAACCTGTCTCACATTTAAAGACCTTGAGTGAGATGCTGACTCTACAGTTTCCCTCCCCTGGTAGTTTTTAATAAACTGCATTGGCTGGAAGTCCTTCCTCTCTGTAGCTAACTTAGATCTCTCTTTAATTGAAGCCTATCTCTGTTTTAGTTCTCAGGTGTAAAGGGAGGGTAGTTGGCTTTCATTTGTTAGCAAACTCCCCAGCCTTCCTGATGAATAAAACTGCAGAATTTGCCTGCCTAAAAGGTGTTGGCTTAGGACTCAACATTATTCTTCTCTCTGACTGTGAAGAATGTACCCAGAATTAGCAGCCTTTTAGGAAATGTTAATAGTGACTTCAGGCCAGGCACTGTGGGTCACACCTGTAATCCCAGCACTTTGGCAGGCTGAGGAGGGAGGATTGCTTGAGCCCAGGAATTCAAGACCAGTCTGGGCAAGGTGGCAAAACCCCATCTCTACAAAAAATACAGAAAATTAGCCAAGCGTGGTGGTGCATGCCTGTGATCCCAGCTGCTTGGGAGGCTGAGGTGGGAGGATTGGTTGAGCCCCAGAAGTCAAGGCTGCAGTGAGCTGTGATTACACCACTGCACTCCAGCCTAGGCAACAGAGTGATAGCCTGTCTTAAAAACAAAACAGTGACTTCATATCACTCTGCAGATAAAGGAGGAGAAGAACCTATGTCTGCCTTTGATCTCCAGCCCCCATCCTAGACTTCCATCTAGATCTGGACTCAGGATAGCAGAATCTAAGGGAGGAATCCTAGTGATTACCCAATGCAGCCCTTTTCCTTCCTTCTTGCCATCTCCCTTTCTACGTCACTCTTCTCTGACTAAAACTTCCTACTCATCCTTCAGAGACAGACTCAGATATCACCTCACCCATGATGTCTGCTCTGAGCTCCTGGGAAGAATTCAGTGTTCCTATTTCTATTTGATTTTACACTTTTTCCATACCTCTAGTAAAACATAAATGAGGCTGTATTATAATTATTCACTTAAGAGTAAGTCTGTCCCTCTCCCTCTCTCTATAGACATTCCACCCCGTCCTTATACTAGACTTTGAGCTCCTTCAAGGCAGAGACCATGTCCTAATTTTGTGTTCCCATACCTGGCATAGTGCAAGTACTCCCCCACTGCCAAATTTATGGAATAAATTAATTTTTCAGTTGAGAAAACTCAGACCAAAAATATTAAATAACTTGATTAAGGTTATACACCTAGTTAGTGGCAGAAATGGGACGAAAACCCAGGCTTTCTAAGTTTGTGTTTAATTCTTACCCCTCTCCCTCACTCTAGGACTCCCCATTATTGCTCCCTGCTTGGCTCCAGCTTAGCCTTTCTCCTCCCAACAAACTCTCCCACTCCCGCCATCTGCTTCTGACATCACACCCTGTCCTACCTCCCACCCCGCCATCTTCCCATCAGCCTCCAACCTCAAGGGCAAGTCCTCTCCCTCGGCTTCCCCCTTCTCTTTACACATCCACATCCATCTGTCCTGCAATCTTTCCAACACCACCTTCTTCTGCCCAAAGCCCTTCCTAACTAAGTCTAACCTCATTCAACTTGGTTTCCTTGCAAAGCACCAGGCGCATGTCTACATTGCCCCCGAGCCTGGTTACCTGCTCTTTTTTGAGCTCTTTCTGCCTATCTGTTTCCTGTTATGTTCTCTAGCTTCTTCCTTTAAATCAGGAATTCTCTGTGGCAACCCAGGCACCTCATCCTTTGTGGCTGCATAAATTCCTCTGTACACAGTCAATTCATGCAAACACCCACCCAAGAGGCAACTCAGGCTAAGCATTGACAGGAAAAGAGCTCTTGTCTTAGATTTCTGGACCACATCTGGCATAAAGTTTACCCTAAACAGGTGCTCCATTTGTTAGCCCTTTTCTGAGAGAGTACTGAAGAGACCCCAACATTGGCTCATGGGTTAGGGTGGGAGGTTGGGCTCAAGGTCCTTTGATCCTGAAAGGTTGGGGTTTGTGAATAAACACCCCCAAACTGTACTTAATCTTGTCTTCCTCCATACCAGACAGTATAGGTGATGCCCAAATTTTATAGAATAAACGTTTCTTTCTGACCCAAGTTCTTACCTGCCTGTTGAAATCTAGGCCATTTCGATCATTTCCTAGAAAAGATAAAAATATATGTATATTAGTTGGTAGCAGGTTTGGAAGAGCTGAAGGTTAGAAAAAAACTAGGATGTTGAGAGGCGTGTGGCTCTATTTTGAAAAAGAGCACCTGCTTCGCTTGTGGTTGGGATCCTCCTCCTCGACCTGTTTCCTGGAAACGCCTTTGGAAAGTCTCCTCCAGGGTGGTGATAGCTGGGTAAAGGGTCACCTTGGAGGGGAGGCTGAATCGTCTGAGGTCACATAGCAAATCAGAGTCTGTGGGGAGGACAGCTGGCCATGCCAACTGGAGAGCTCACTCCACCGCATGCTTCTATGCCCGGGCTTCCCCCTCAGATGGCAGCTGCTACATCCCTCCAGGGACCAAGGGACCAAGAAGAGACCAGCATGGATCCCAAAGGACTCCCTAGGACAGAAGTCATGCTACTAGCCCAGCCCTCCAGGAGAGATGACACCTAAAGTATGTCAGCTAGACAGCTGTCTTTCTTGTTTTTTCTCACCCTCAACTGTTACCATAAATGTTGGGCTGAAAAAGTAAATATGTGCTTAAAAGAAATGTCTTTTGGTGGCTGGAAACGGTGGCTCATGCCTGTAATCCCAGCACTTTGGGAGGCTGAGGCAGAAGGATCACTTGAGCTCAGGAGTTTGAGCCAGGCTGAGCAACACAGTGAGACCCCATTGCTACTAAAAATACAAAAAAATTAGCCAGGCATAATGGCACATGCCTGTAGTCCCAGCTACTCAGGGGGTGGAGGCAGGAGGATCGCTTGAGCCCAGGAGGTAGAGGCTGCAGTGAGCCCTGATTGTGCCACTGCACTCCAGCCTGGGCAACAGAATGAGACCCTGTCTCAAAATAAATAAATAAATAAATACATAAGAGGAAGAAAAGCAAAGCTTTTTGGTTCAGAAAAAGTCTAAAGTAGTGGAAAAATCACCCTACCGAGAGGACGTCATAATTAATATTTTTGTATATTTTATGATATTATTTATAATTGTTTCTCTTCATGGATATATACCACTCTGTATAGACTTCTATCCCACTTTTTCCAGTGAGCATCATAAATATTTCTCCTATGCTATTAAGGAACATCATAAATGCTTCTATGCTTATAAGTATCATTTTTAATGGTTACATAATATTATATTATATGGATATACCATGATTTGCTTAAACTTATACCTATTGTTAGCAGAGTCATTTTCACTCTTTTGCTATGTGAATAGGAAAATTGCTTTTCCTATTCACATAGCTCTCCAGGACTGGAGCTGCCGCACAACCTTCCTTTGGGTCTCCTGTATTATTGGTTCTATAACAGCAAGGAAAATAATTATTTACTAAATACGGTACCCTCAGAGCCCAGCACTACGCAGCATATGCATATATATTAATATGCATATACAATATGCTATATATATGCATCTATATATTCCTTGGGAGCTGGACAGTGACACCCATTTTTTTTTTGTCCTCAGTGGCCACAAAATGACCACAGTTCCTAACATGGATAAGAGGCTCAAGAAACACCTGAGAGATGAATGAATGGGGTCTAAGAGAATTCCCTGTTTTAACCCCTTTTCCTCAGCTGTGTCCTAAACAACCATGGGCAAGTACAGCCCTTTCCTGTGTGGTCATGAGGTCATGACGCATCTCTGAGAGCAGGTGGGCTGGCAAGGTGGCAGCAGAGGATGAAGAGCAGGTGGGGTCCCGAGAAAGAGGGAGAGGTGAGATGCAAAATGATCTCTGAGCAAAGCCTGGTTTTGAGATCAGCTATGATGATATATCAGATCTGCTAGGGGAGCTGGGTGCAGTGGCTCAAGCCTGTAATCCCAGGTGGGTCTATCATTTGAGGTCAGGAGTTTGAGACCAGCCTGGCCAATATGGTGAAACCCCACCTCTACTAAAAATACAAAAATTAGCCAGGCATGGTGATGGGCACCTGTAGTCCCAGCTATTCGGGAGGGTGAGGCAGGAGAATCTCTTGAACCCGGGAGGCGGAGGTTGCAGTGAGCCGAGATCGCATGACTGCACTCCAGCCTGGGTGACAGAGTGAAACTCTGTCTAAAAAAAAAAAAAAGAGATCTGCTAAGGGAGCTAAAGACGGGAAGGACCCACAGCCGCAATAGCTGTGTTGAAAGGGGTAGATGAAGGTAAAATTGCTTTTCTCTTAAAAAAAATCCCTTTGTGACATTGTGATGTTGTAACATTGGGTTAATAAGGAGTAATGTTCAAAGACTTGACAAAAGAACACATTCATTAATTCAACAAGTATTTACTAAGCACAGTCTATGTGCAAGGTGCTGTTCCAGGCACTGGGGATACAATATTGGAGAAGAAGGAAGTCACTGGCCTCATGGAGTTTCTTTTCTAGTTGAGAAGACATAAGAAAGAACTAAGCAAACAAAAATGCACTGTGCTTTCATTTACAGATAATTACTGTGGAGAACAAGAAGGCACTGTAAGGCGGTAGAGAGTATCTGAGGCTGATCAGAAACAGGATGACCTGGAAGGGCCACTCAAGGGAGGTGACATTTTCTCTGAACAAAGTGAGGACCCAGTCTTTCGAAGTCCTGAGGAAAGATCATTTCCGATGGAAAGACTGGGTCCTGAGGCAAGAACAGGCTTGCACGCTGAGGGACAATAATGAGGTCAGTATGGCTGGAGAGAGTAGTGATGGAGAGTTGGCATGGGATCTGCTGGTTGGGTCGTGATAAAGACTGCAATTTTCAATCCAAGGAGGATGGGTCAATCTGAGAGTTCCAAGCAGAGGAGTAACATGATCTGACTTAAGCCTTTACACCTGCAGGGGTAAGAGAAGAGGAAGGGAGACCAACTGGGAGGCTGCTGCAATAGCTCAAGTGGGAGGGCAGCGGGCTGGATAGGATGGTGGCAGTGGATGCAGTGAGCAGGGCCAGGATGTACTTAAATGGACAGCTGACAGGGCTGGCTGATGCGGGGATGTGGAGGGCAGAGGAAAGAAAGGAATCCAGGATGATTCCTAGGGTCTGGGCTTCCTCGGTGAAGCTGTGGTGGTGCCACTCACTACGATGGGGTGACTTGGGGAAGAACTCAAGAGTTATGCTTTCGACATGCAAGGTTTGAGATGCCAATTAGATATCCCAGAAGAGGTGGGGAAATGAGTTTGACTCAGGAGAAGTGTTCGGTCAGGAGGTATCAATTGTGTAGCCCTCAGCTTATGGGTGGTAGCTAAAGCCGCAGGACCCAGTGAGGTCACAAAGGAACTGAGCCTAGATGAGGAAGAAAAAAGGGTCAAGTTTAGATGATGAGGAGGCACCAGCAAAAGAGACTGAGAAAGAGTGGGCAGGCAAATGGAAGAAAGACCGGGTAAGTGTGCTGCCCTGGAGTGTAAGAGGAGAGGGGCTTTCAAGAAAGGAGACAATATGCATTTGAATGAGACCTAGAAAGTGAGAAAAATAGCATTGTATAACAGTTTGACTTGGAGAGGGTCATCAGGTTTGTGGACAATTAAAAAGTGTCTTCACTTTTGATTTCTGTGAATGCCATTATGATGTTGTTAGTGAGACCCATAACATGAAAAAGGTGTGTAAGCACAATTCAGAGATTAATTTGAAAATGACCAACACAATCAACCATTTCTGTTGCCCGGAAGTTTGGCCGTGGCCCCCTTCTCAAGAGGCATCTCACCCTGAGGATGCATCTGCTCCACTTGGAGCCTGATGATGGAGTTTCCCCTTCTCATCAAATTCATTCTTATCTGCTGTGGTATCTCTCATTTTCCTTGTTCCCAGGCACAATGAAGGGCAGGATTAGAGTGCAGGGGCCAGCCATGCCCTCCCGGGAGACTGGCCCCTAGCGCTGCCGGAGGGCAGAGAGTGGCACATGGCTCAGCCTTTGGCACTCAGGTAAGACAGCTCTTGGGAGACATGGCCTCCCTCATGTCTCCGAGCCCATGTGTCTAGGCCGAGACATAGGGACATAGTCTACTGGAGGTATTAGGTTCATATCTGGTGATGCTGTTGATTCTCCCTCCGGATCTGGCTGAAGAGGAACCACCGCAGCCCTCATTTTACTGCCATGCTTGTTCCTGCTTTCCTTCCGTGGTCACTGGACTTGTTCCATGGAGCAGCTCTCCCCACCCAGCCTACAGGAAGGCATGGAAGGTGGTACCTGGGAACTGCAGATGGTGATTTAGGTCATGGGGGCTCTGCTGTGGCCCCAATGCTCCAGATTAAGGCAACTGGCCAGTCATTCCTGCAATGCTTAAATTTATTCATCTTTGAAACAGTACTGAAGGTACTCCTCTTTCCCAGAGAAAGGAAGAGATGCAATGATTATATTGTGTTAAAAACTGGTCCACGATCACCAGAAACTTTTCTACTCCTGTAAGATGCTGTGTGGAGGAGCAGCAGGGTATGCTTAGAAAGAGTCCTGGACTGGAAGTCAGAGGACTGAGGTTCGAGCCTGAGCTCCATCACCACCAAGCTATGTGAACTTGGTCAAAGCAGGGACCTCCTGATATCTCAGTGGTAAAACAAGGTCATGATTCTTGTTTCATTCCTTTCCCAGGAATACAGTGAGAATTGAGTGAGATAAGCTGATGGCTAGGCTTCTAAACTGCAGAGCTGGGTTCCAGACACCCTAGACCACCCCCCCAAAAGGTGGAGTCTGATCTTGTGTTGGGGACTTTGCATATGCTGCTCCCTCTGAAAGGCCCTTCTCTCCTCCTCTTCTACCTAGAAAATACTCACCCTTCAAGACCCAACTTAAAAGTCATTCTCCAAGAAGCTTATCCAAAGCAAAACAAAGGATTTCCTCCTCTGTGTTTCTGCATCATTCATTCATTCATTGACAGGGTCTCACCCTCTTTTCCAGGCTGGAGTGCAGTGGTGCGATCTCAGCTTACTGCAACCTCTGCCTCCTGGGCTCAAGCAATCCTCCTACCTCAGCCTCCAGAGTAGCTGGGACTACAGGCATGTGCCACCATGCTCAGCTAATTGTGTGTGTGTGTGTGTGTGTGTGTGTGTGTGTGTGTGTGTGTATGAGGTCTTATCATGTTACCTAGGCTGGTGTTGAACTCTGGGCCTCAAGCCTCAGCCTCCCAAAGTTCTGGGATTATAGGCATGAGCCACTGCGCCCAGCTCTTATCCCTTATAGCACATACCATGTTTTTTAGAGTCAGTGGCTTATGTGTCTGTTTCCCTCATGAGATTGTGAGGTCCCAGAGGCCAGGGTTATTATATCTTGCTCATCTTTATGCCCCAAGTGTCTAAAACAGTAGGTACTGAAGGATCATATGTTTAACAGATCCAAATCACTGAGAAACTGTGACATAAACTAACCTCCTATTCAGACCTAAGAAACCACAGGCATCCCCATCCACAGAAACCTGAACACGTTCTATTTCCAAGCCCTGGCTCCGTCTTTGGAAGATGGCTGCCGCTGCAGAAAAACCAGAAAAGGACAGAACACATATGGCCAGCAGCATTATTTTCAGAGTCCAACACCAAAGTCTAACCTCAGAGGGGAAAACACCTTCCTGAGGCCACACATAGCCTCAGAGAACCTGAACCAGGACAACAGCTCAGATTTCTTAACTACCAAACTCACACAGTTTTTCCGATAACTCCAACGCATTGAGTGACGCAGAAAAAAATTGAGTATGGTTTTAGACCTTAATCAACAGCTTAGGCTAATAAAGAAGATAGATGCGGATCAAATCTGGAAGTGATTCGAAGCAGAGAGCAGAAAGCAATACATAAAAGTAGACCACAGAATCAGGATTAGAAAATATTTGGTAGGCTCTAACAGGAGACCCAAACCAACAAGATAAAATGTAACAGGAATAAATACAAAGTCCTGTATTTAGGCTAAAAAAATCAACTATATAAAATCAAAGATGGGGAGGTGGAACTGTATGCTTAGAAATGGTTAAGATGGTAGGCTGGGCGCGGTGGGTCACGCCTGTAATCCCAGCACTTTGGGATGCCAGGGTGGGCAGATCACAAGGTCAGGAGTTCGAGACCAGCCTGATCAACATGGTGAAACGACGTCTCTACTAAAAATACAAAAATTAGCTGGGTGTGGTGGCACATGCCTGTAATCTCAGCTACTCAGGATGCTGAGGCAGGAGAATTGCTTGAACCTAGGAGGCAGAGTTTGCAGTGAACCAAGATTGTGCCACTGCCCTGCAGCCTGGGCAACAGAGTGAGACTCCATCTCAAAATAAATAATAATAAATAAATAAATAAATAAATAAATAAATAAATTAAATAAATAAGAAAAGAAATGGTTAAGACAGTAAATTTTATGTTATGCATTTTTTACCACGATAGAAAAATATAAAAAAGCCAACCAAAAGTTTTATTAGGGAATTCTATTTTGACAAATAATGTAAACTGGAAATCCGCTTTTCTACTTCATATTGGATAGTCAGCTAAAGCAGTTCAATTGCGCAAAGATATGCTCCACTTTTAAGACCATCTGCTACAAGGTGGAACCTCATGAAGACTGCTTTCAGCAATACCAACAACCAACCTCAAACTGGAACCAAGAATAGAAATAATCATAGCTGATACATAAAGCAATTAAAAATGCGTGTGCATATTTTAAGATACTTTACCATCAAAATTGCTGTGAGAATTAAATGAGGGATTCGTTTTGTTTTGTGTGATAATGATATTGTGCTTAAGAAGGAAAATGTCTTCATGTTTTAGAGATGCATATTCCCTTATTTAGGACTGAAATGTTATAATGCCTGTAATTTAAAAGAAAATATTCCAGTAATGAGAATGGCAAGAATTTGATGGTTGCTGAGAAGGGGTGATGAGTGCTTGGGGGCTCATTGTATTAGTCTCTCATTTTGTGTTTGTTTAAAAATGTCCAGAATAAAAAGATATTGAAAATAAATGTATAAATAAAATACTTCGGAAAAATAGATGAAGCAAATATGGCGAAATGTTCATTATTGAATCCAGATGATGGATATGTGGCTGTTCATTGAAGTTTCTTTTCCTTTTTCTGTATGTCTGAAATTTTTCAAAATAAAAGTTGAAAAGGTTCATTGAGGGAACATTTGAAAGCACCTGGCCCTGTGCCTGGTGCAGTCAGTGCTGAAATAAATGTCAGTGGACTTTTCCTTCCTCCCCATATACTGGCCTGGAAGTGAAGCAGGCTTAGCCTACAGCTCCAAAGAGCAGAACAATGGTAGAAGCTGTGGGGAAGCAGGCCTCCTTTCAGCATAAGGAAGAACTCTGTAAAAAGTGTACCTGTCCACAGTGAAACCTGCAGCGTCACAGAGCTCCCCATCCTCAGGAATATTCAAGCGGAGGCTGCTTATTTCAGGGCTGTTACAGAACTGATGTTTGAATTGATGAGTCAATTTGATAGCGTCAAAGGGGATCTCAAGTGACCTCCCAAATTCCCTCCATCTGCTGAAGTCTTAGGATTCAATGCATTTGATTGAAACGTACCAGGACTTTTTCTTTCCCTCCCAGAATCTTGTCACTGTCTACAGCATCTGCAAAGAGAGGCACAGGGAGGACCAAAGAACTCTCTTCACCATTTCCCTGGGTCCTGTTGGTTCTGTATACAAATAAAAGATTAAGTACACAGAAGGGAGGGGTAGGGCAGAAAGGGCTCACAAAGGAAGTGCCAGAATTCCCTGTCTGGAGGTCTTGGGAGCAAATGGATGAGATCTGTGCCAAGTAGGAAGGGCCAACAGCTGGGATCTCTCCAGGCCTCTTTTGGTTCTCATGGACCCCTGGGAATCTCTGGGCCAGGAGGCCTCAATGGCAAGAAAGTAGGAGAGGGCATATGCCCAGGAACTCTGGCTCATAAGGCTGGGAGGGAATGCAGGAGATCATCCAGGCCTTTGGGAAGATGTGGTTTTATTATTCACCTCATTTTACAGGTGAGGAAACTGAGCCTGAGACCGAACAAGGGTAAGTGATTGCACAAAGTGAAAGAGCTTTTAAAGCATGCAGGTATGTGGGGAATGATCCTCAGGGGGAGGCAAACAAACAAACAAACAAAACACACACACACACACACACACACACACACACACACAAAACAACAAAAAAAAAAACCATGTCTCCAACCCCAAAGCACTGTTTTCTTCCCACTCTGGCAAGACTCCATTCTTGGAATCTTTTCTGTTTTTTTGAGACAATGTCTCACTCTGTCATCCAGGCTGGAGTGCAGTGGTGCAATCATGGCTCACAGCAGCCTTGACCTCCCCGGCTCAAGCAATCCTCCCACCTCAGCCTTTCCAGTAGGTAGGACCACAGGTGTGCTACCACAACTGACTAATTTAAAAAAAAATTGTAAAGACAGGGTCTCACTATGTTGTCCAAGCTAACCTGGAACTCCTGAGCTCAAGCAATCCTCCTGCCTCGGCATCCCAAAGTGCTGGGATTACAGGCATGAGTCACCGTGCGAGGTTCTGGCATCTCAAACTCGGAGAATGTCTGAGGACTCATCGAAGACCCAACTTAACCCCCCAACGCCAGCATATCCCTGCTCCCACACAGTGCCCAGGACTGTGCATCTCCACCAAACAGCTCCCAGTGAGAAGCCAAGCTGCAGTTGGAGGGATTTGGGTTAAACATGAGAACATCTAGGTCCACAGAATTTGAATTAAGTGATCAAGAGAGTAAAAGGCACACTAAAATTCTGGGGAGCCCCAGGATTCCAATACAATCTCCTTAGGCCAAGACGGCCATAATACCCAATGAAGTGCTGCAGAGGAAAGTCCAAGGATCCTAATGGAGGAGGTGCCCAGTGTCAAAAGCAGCCTCCGCCTCCACCTCTCCTCCCCTTGGCATCTGTGGACACCGTGGATGCCCACCAACAGTGACCTGAGCTCCCTGGCCAAGCCCCTAACACCAGGAGCTAGGCGTGGGGCCCCTAGGAGGGTCCTGCTTTCCCACCTCCAAGATGAGCCAACAGCCCAGGCTAGAAGGCTGATTTGCATAGCTTTGGCAGCCCTGGGATGTGAGTTTGCCTGGGGAGCAATTCTCTGGGTGAGGGAGGTGGAAGCCGGAGAACTGTTCAAGCAGGATTTTTCACTTCTGCCTGGTAAACAATGGAGAGAACATTCGGCAATGGGGCCGAGCCTCTCCCATCTCTGGTTCTCTTCTCACCAGCTCTACTTTCCAGTATAACCCAGTAAGACTTCTAGTGACACTAGCACCTTGCTGGCATTTCCTGGGAGAGCAACCATTAAGCTACTGGGACCTTGGAAGCGCTCCTCAGCAGCCAGCCACCAGAACAAATGGAGAAGCTTCCAGCGTGGTCATTTAAACCAGCCCAAAACAAGTTTTTTCCAGGATGCCCCCAGACATTATGCCTACATTTTTTGGTACTTGAGATTCATCCAAGGAACTGGGAAGTGTGGCCTAATGGTCAGAGTTCTGTCCAGAAAATGCACAGTAAACTGGGTTCTAGGGTCACTTTGGAGGCTGTTTCATGCTCAACTTTGGCAAGTGGCTTAATCTCCGTAGCCTTCAACTTCCTCTAAACATTATATTAAAACAAAAAGTTGCTGTCTCCATTCCTGCCACCTCCTTCTTAGGAGTGAGGAAATATCCAGGAGAAGCCTGAAAGCAATCCTTGAAGCCACCTGAAGAATAGGACCCAGGAGGCCCCATGAGGGACTGTGGGAAGAGCACTGGTTTAGGAGTTGGGAGGTCTGAGTCTTATTTCTCCACTAGCTGAGAGTCCTGGGTCAAGCCAGGGTGTGGATAGCAAATGCAAAGACACCGCGTGTGTGCAAGCCATGCCCAAGGCAGACATCACTAATGGATCCTGGCTTTCCCTTTTTCTTTCCTAAACTCAGGGCTCACCGACCACTAGAGGTGACCAGAATTAGTGCTCCTGAAGACACTCACTTGCTACTCCAAGACTGGATGATCTGTCAGGTTCTCTCTACCCCTGACAGTCTGTGGATTGGGGAGTTTTCATGGTTTAAAGCTCATACCTCTCTACCCAGAGAAGAGTCAACATCACCAACCTCAGGGCTTCCTTGTGACGTGGACTATAGGGCATTCTGATGACTTTCCTTCAAATGCACAGTCATGAAATCAAACCCTGAAGCCTGCTCTCCAGGCCGGTCCCACAGATACCAGGAGGCTAGGGCCATGCCACAGGGGACAGAGGAGCTCTGCTGCACCCACCTTTGCTACAGAGGAGCCCAGCATCCCCTCAGCTTCCCACTGCAATTTTTCATGTCATTTTTTGAGAAAGGGAAGGTTCCTCAGCAAGGTCTCTTTGTTCGTTAGGAAATACAACCCACATTTCTTCTCAGTCTGAGATGGGGCCCTCTGGGCTTCCCATGCAACAGGAGATCCCTGCCTCAACCCCATCCCCTGTTGGCCACACACTGATGCTGCAGTCATAGAGCCAGGGGCAAAAGTGGCAGCATGGTCAGGGCTAAGCAGAAGGAGCACCCTGAGCAGACGGCACCAGGTTTCAGAAAAAAGTGTCCAGGCACTCAGGCCACTGCTGCAAGGAACGGGGCCAAAAGATCCAAGTTCCCAATCAAAACCTTGACTCATAATCCCCCAGCCTTGGAAAAATAGTAAAAGTCCAACTTCAAAGGAAGTTAAATAAGAGCTCTGTTCTAGTTGCACCCAAAAACACATCTCAGAGAAACGCCCCACCCAGACGCTATTTTTCTATCAGAGCTTTTTTGTGCTAGAGAGGAACCAGAGACTCCTTGCTCTGGACCCACCATTTACAGGTAAGGAAACTGAGTCCCAGAAAGGACAAGCCATGTGCTAAAAGTCATGCGACCAGCAAATGGCAACTCAGGGACAAAATCTCTGAGCTCCAATGCCCAGACTTGACTATGTTCATGACAGCCCATGGAGTTCTTTAAACACTGATTCCAGACCAGCACCGCTCCAGCCTTACCCCAGCCTTGCCAGAGGAAGGGGCTCAGAGAGGTTTAAGGTTAGTAAGAGTCCAAGGGGCTCTTTCCTAGTCCTCTCCCCCAGGGTGAGGAAAGTGGGGGTGAGAAGGGGTAGAGAGCGAAAGAGCAGGGGGAGCTACCAGAGGTGCAAGATTCAGCTGGGCGCTGGCTCTCACGTGGTCACAAAGATGTGCTTAGTGCAGCTCAGAGGGGCGCGTGTGGAGTGAGAAAGCTTACACCTAGAGATGCTATCTCACATTTGTAAAGCAACTCACACTTGAAAACTGCTACAGATAGACTCATTTCATTCATTCCTCACAATACATCTTACGCATAAGGAAACTGAGGCTGGAAGAGCTTATGTAACTTGCCCAAGGTCATTTGCTCCAGAGCTGGAGAGAAAGAACTCAGAGCTCCAAGTTCTGGCTCCAAGGTCCATGTGCTGGCCACCAAAATGCATGGTTCATTTGCACCAAAATGCCTGGCTCAAATGCAGTTGTTCCTTCGTTTTGCAGCACACTTCCATGTCCATTTCTTGTTTGATCCTCACCCTGCCTGTGAGGTCTGCAGGGCCGGAATTACAGAAATCCTGTGTTACCACTGAGCAAAGTGAGGCTCAGAGGGGTCAGGGCTTGTCAGAGAGTGGAGATGCCATGTCCTTTCCATGACGTGGTGTGACGCTGCCAGGGTCACACTCTCCCCTCCTCTCTGGAGTGGTGTCCCCAGGGCTGGAGTGCAGGGGAAAGGTGCACTCAGAGGCCCTGAGAACAGAGCAAAAACCCTTGTGGAGGAGCCAGTGAGAAGCTAGAGCCGCGGGACCCCAGGCCAGGGTCACAGAGAGCCCCTGAAAGTGAGAATTGAAGGGTATGGTGACCCCGAGATGTGGCAGGAGCAGGTCACGTGGTGCCGGGCCACTTCTGAGGGAAGGGTGGTAGGCGGAGGGGAAGCTCTGTCCAAGGAAAGAACAAAATAGCAGAAAGGAACAAAACCAAAGCAAAGGACAGAGGACCTGTTTCTGGGGCAGGGAAAGGGTCCTAAGGAAACGTGGGTCTTGAACTCCCGCTGTGACCTTGGGAAAATCATCCCCCTTCTCTGACCCCAGTCTCCTCCCCTATAAAATAGGAAAATAGGGCAAGATCAGAGAATTTTCCAACACTTTGGCAGCAGAACACTGTTTTCAAATAATAAGGATTAATTAGTAGCTGACATTTATTGAGCATTTACTACGCACCAAGCTTTGTAGTAAACATTTTATACACAGGACAGTATTTAATCCTCACAACTACCCTATGAGTGGGTGTTCTTATTATCCCCATTTTACAGATGAGGAAACTTGAGGCTCAGAATGGTTAATTACCTCGCCTAAGGTTACTGATTAATAAATCACTGAGTAGAGACTGAAACCCACATCTGTCTACCAGCAAAGGCTGTCCATACTACACCATGTTATCTCCAAATGAAACCTCATATGAAGTTGCTGCAGAAACTCTATGGGAAAAAAAGACTTTTAGATCTTCTGGAACTACAACATCTAGTCTCCGTGAATCTGCACCATCTCTTAGCACTGGGTCCTGGGAGGAGGGGGTGCTTCCACCAGCTCCCTCCCCTTCTTCCTGCCATGTTCCTACTTCCTAAGAAGCAAAGACAAACTTGAGTTAGGATCAACATGAGGAGCCCACAGTGGGTTAATGTGACAGATGCATCTCCCTGGGTGGCAGAGTGGGCTTCTTGTGGGGTGACAGTCACTGAAGTATGCTTCCAACTCGAGAGTCCTGGACATGTGTGGACACGACAGTGTGCTGACCACGAGTGAATGTATAGGCAAGTCTTCCTGGAAAACAGGCCATATTTCTCACTGAGGCTCCCTGGAGTGGCTGGTGGTCACAGCACCCACCACTTGGACACTTTGTCCTGCTGATACTAATAATAGCAAATAGCATTATCATCTGGCAGGCGCTCTTCTAAGTGCTTTACAAATGTTGACTTGTGTAATCCTCACAGCAGCACTATGAGGTAGGGACTATCATTAATCCTGTTTTATAAAGGAAGAAACTGAGCAGATAGCCTTTAAGTAACTACCCCAAAGTCAGAACAGAGGAGCCCTTCTCAACACATCAGAGACACTTAGGGGTGCAGCAATTCACACTGCTCAAACAGCCTTACAAATACTAACTGATGTGTGAAAAGGATTGGAGTGTGTTCACAGACCCCAGCATCTCAGAGCTGGAAGTTGTTTTAGAGACCCTCAGATTCAGACCCTTCGTCTTATGCACAAACTCCAGCCGAAAGAGGGACGGTAACTCAGGTGAGTTCGCAGGTTTGTGATAAAGATGAGTCCAGAATCCATCTGTCCTCACACCTCCTCCGCCAAACAAGAAAGTGCAGGGATTATTCCCCAGTCTCGCTGAGGGACAACCTGAGATGATCAGTCCAAGGTCACCAGAGGGAGGAAGGCATGAACCCAGCCCCAGAATTCACGCAGTGGTCCTTCCCACGAACTCAGATGTCCTCAGGACACTGAGGGGCTAAATGGAGCCCAGGTGCAGGAAGGGACGGAGACCCAGCCGGCTCTCCTGTGAGGCAGAAGTTATAACACCCAGCCCAGCGCCGACTCCTCCAACCACCCCCAGCTCTCCAGGGTCCCGTGGAGATGGGGTGGGAAGGGAGCCAGTCAAGTACACACCTCCCTTTGATAACCTGGAGCCCTGGAGCCGACATTTGCCAGCAGGCTTAACCCCTTTTGTCCACGCTTCCCTCCTCAAGAAAACCTTAATCATCCTCATTTGAATTTCAAATGACCTCTCCCCCTCCCCACCCCAACAGGCTTTGAGGCAGGGATATGGAAATTCACCCTGCAGTATGGAAATCATCGCCCTATGCAAATTGGGCGCCGAGACCCCATCGTCATAGCAACCACCCAGTTTCCTCTCCTTTCCGCACCTCTCTGGGCTCCCCGGCTTCGATTTTTCGTTCCTTTTTCCAGCCCAAGCAGCTGAAGGGAAGGCAAGCCCCCTACTGGGGCAGGTGGAGTGTCCCCAGCTGAGGTGCCCAGTGGGGTCCAGATACGCCAGCCTACCTGCCCACACCTCTCGTACAAACCTGGACTGGGCACACCCAGGCAAGGCCAACCGCTGGTTTTTCTGGCTGGGCTAAGCCAAGGGTGGGCTAGGCTGTGGTGGGGAAGACTGGGAGTCTGGGGGAGACCACGAGGCCCCCAGAGGTGGCAGGCAGGAAAGGAGACACATGGGGGGCTTTGGTGGTGCCAGTGGTAGGAGATGAAAGGCAGTGTGTGGAAGCTGTATGTAAAATGCCATGCAAATGAACACCTATTATTTTTTGAGTCAACAACAGCACTGATGCTTTTGGGAGATGCCTGCAGCTGTTTCCCATGCTCCTGGCTTGGCACAAAGGCCTGCCCTCCCTGAGTCTCCCAGGGATCTGCTGTTACCCCAGGAGCGCCCACCAGCAAGCTCACCAGTCCAGGGAGAGCCCAGGTGGGCACTTTGAACTCTTGGTGTCTGAAGCCCATAGGAATGAAACCCAGCCACTTATGAGGGCTCTGGTCACACATCCTGCCCTGTCCTGCCAGACCCCCAGGCTCCAATGTGGGAGAACCCCAGAAGCCCCTGTTGGGGTGACCTCATGCCGCTTTCCTTTTAAGTACTCTCAGCTTGACTCTGGCCCTCTTCCTCCAAACCAAAGCCTATGAGGAATGGGGATGAGAGGAAGGGCTCCTGCTTTTCCCCCTTTCCACTTCTTCACCTCCTAGACAGTCCTAGGAGTGGGTCATCCTGGGCAAGCCCTTCCGGGGGGAAGTGGTCTCCACAGACCCATAACAAATGCTGGCCCCAAACTCCAACTTGTCATCTCCTCTGCCCCTCCTGTAGTTTCACAAACTTCCTCAAGCACCCAATTCTGCCTTGAAAGAGCAACCTCGACCAGAAAAGAGACTGCCTCTAGGTGCACCCCCAACTCTGGGGTCTGAAGTGTATGTCTGCTTGTCTATGCGGGTGCTTGGGGGCTGGGTTGGGACAGACTGTAGCTGCATGTCAGTTGCCTGGGTTCTGGCTGCCCTTCAAGGCCCTAAGACTTGTCTAATTTGAACGCTCATTTCTTTCTAAATTCTTCCTCCACTTTTTCAGCACTTTTCCACATTCAGGTGTTCATCGCCCTAATCGTTTCTGAGGGAGGAAGGTGAACCCAAGGTACATAAAGGATTTACTCCCAGCTTGGGGCTGGGGGAGTCTGCAATTTTGGGTGCCTTAGTGAAGGGCTGAGGCTCAGAAAGCTGCAGTGGCCTGAGTCTCTGGATGCTGCTCAGTCTTCCAGTCTGCAGGGTAGGTGGGTGTCATGCCACCCCGGTCAGCAAAGGACAGACTGGGACCTCCCTCTCCTGCTGGGTCTCCCATCATCATCCCCCAACATCTCCAGGGAGGGAGTGAGAGGAATGGTAAGGAGGTCATACGAAGATGTACCCAGGGTCAGGTGGAGCCATTGCTCACGGAGGCCACAGGAAAGAGACTTTCTAATACACAACGCAAACTCCACTAAGGTAGTGCACCACAAGGCATGAGCCACCGCACCCGGACAGCTACCATTGTCTTATGTCCTCTGTCCCTGGTTCTCCACGTTGACTCCCAGTCTTCCTACCACCATCTTTAGGTAGAAAGTCCCCGCAACGACCAAAGCTGGTCTGTGCACTGTGGAGGTCCAGGACCAGCTACGGACAAAGAGTGAGTATAAGAACTTAGAAATGTTGGCTGGGTGCGGTGGCTCATACCTGTAATCCTAGCACTTCGGGAGGCCGAGGTGGGCGGATCACCTGAGGTCGGGGTTCGAGACCAGCCTGGCCAACATGGTGAAACTCCGTCTCCACTAAAAATACAAAAATTAGCCAGGCATGGTGGCACATGCCTGTAGTCCCAGCTACATGGGAGGCTGAGGCAGGAGAATCGCTTGAACCCGGGAGGTGGAGGTTGCAGTGAGCCAAGACTGTGCCACTGCACTCCAGCCTGGGTGACAGAGTGAGACTCCATCTCAAAAAAAAAAAAAAATTAAAAATGTTAATAGCACATCCAAGCACTCCATCAGTGGGCCCTCCAGCTGAATTGGGTGTGAGCCATTTGGTGCTGTTGAGTACGCATGGTAAGTGCAAGCTGCAGGCTGTCGGGCACAGTAGGTCTGGGTGCATGTCTGTGACAGGCTGGAAATATAAACACTGGTCCTCCTCCCAGACTGTTTGAGAAGCAGTGCTCTAAAGAATGACCACTCATAAACTAAGGGAACTCTGGGTGGTAAAAGATGGCTTATGGATGCCTCCCACACCAGGCTCCCCCTCCTTTTTCCCCTCTTACGTTGAACAGAAAAGGAGTCCAAGTTCTACTGGGGGCTGCAAAGGTGGCAACTGGGGTCGAGGGGTGACCATTTCCTTAAGGAGATCTCCAAGAGGAAGAGGGAATGGTGTCGGGCAGGGCTAGCCAACTCCTCACGGCTCATCTGAACCATACAATCCTGCCACCTCTGCTTACCCTAGTCCTGGGTGTTGGCGTGGGAATCTATGGATGAGAAAGTATCTGTAGTTGTAAGTCATGGTACGGATGTGAGCTGCTGCTGTGGCTGCTTTATTTGATAAGGTTCTCTGAGTGCTGGAGGCAGAGAAGCAAATCCTGGCACCACAGGCTGTTCTGCGATCTCTGGCACATGGAGCCACAGTCTGCAGGCTGAGTGGCGAATCAGTACTTACTAATTTCCCTGTCACAGAAAGCAGAAACAAGGTGGGGTGGGAGCCACTCTGAGAAGGGCAGAACAAGGCTGGGTGCGGAGGCTCATGCCTGTAATCCCAGCACTTTGGGAGGCCGATGCAGGCAAATCACTTGAGGTCAGGAGTTTGAGACCAGCCTGGCCAACACGGTGAAACCCCGTCCCTACTAAAAATACAAAAATTAGCCAGGCGTGGTGGTGGTGGGCCTGTAATCCCAGCTACTGAGAAGGCTGAGGCAGGAGAATCGCTTAAACCTGGGAGGCGGAGGTTGCAGTGAGCCAAGATCGTGCCATTACACTCTAGCCTGGGCAACGAAGCAAGACTCCATCTCAAAAAAAAAAAAAAAAAAGAAAAGCAGAACAAGAGGTAATGGGCTTATGCAGCAGCATGAGGGTCTTAGGTGAGAGATAAGAAAGGACTTCCAGGCACTGAGGATGGCATCCTGTAGGAATAGGCAGCCAAGGCCAGGCGCGGTGGCTCACGCCTGTAATCCCAGCACTCTGGGAGGCTGAGGAGGGTGGATCATGAGGTCAAGAGTTCAAGACCAGCCTGACCAACATGATGAAACCCTGTCTCTACTAAAAATACAAAAAATTAGCTGGGTGTGGTGGCACACACCTATAATCCCAGCTATTCGGGAGGCTGAGGCAGGAGAATTGCTTGAACCCTGGAGGCAGAGGTTGCAGTGAGCTGAGATCATGCCACTGTACTCCAGCCTGGGCGACAGAGCAAGACTCTGTCAAAAAAAAAAAAAAAAAAAAAGGCAGCCAAGAGAAAACGTGGGGTTGGTTTTTCTTAGAGATATAAAATAGACAAAAAATAAGTCTCTAAGAAAGCAGCTTCTCTCATTTTCCAGGGATGGGTTTGAAATGTCTCCAAAAGAAGAGAGAGGCATGGACAAGATGTCCTCTCAGGAATTCATAGCAGGAATATCAGGACCCCCTCCATGTCTGGGGGGGACTACAGTTTCATTCCTCTCTTCCAGAGAGGTGAGGGATGGAGCCAGTACAGACTGAGGTGCAGATCCTAGAGGCTACCTAGCCCACTGCTTCATTTTATTCCTGCACTACCCTTCTCCTTCTATTACGATGAAGAAATTCAAGTCCTGGGCACAAGTGCATGCAGGACTTAATGATGGACTGTGAAAATTGTACTCCATCATACAAATACAGTTCAGACTTGCTCTGTCATTTAATCATAAAAAGGGAGGGAGAGTGTGTGTGCGTGTGTGTGTGTGCGCACGCACAGGCTCACACATGTGCTTCATCTAGAGATGGTTGTCAGCCGGGCATGGTGGCTCACACATGTAATCTCAGAACTTTGGGAGGCCATGGTGGGAGAATTGCTTCAGGCCAGGAGTTCAAGACCAGCTTGGGCAACATAGCAAGATCCTGGCTCTACAAAGAGATAATTTAAAAAAATTAGCTGGGCATAGTGGTGCATACCTGTAGTCCCAGTTACTCCAGAGGCTGAGACAGGAGGATCACTTGAGCATAGGAGTTCAAGGTTGCGGGGAGCTATGATCACCCTACCACACTCTAGTGTAAGTGACAGAGTGAGACCCTGTTTTTTTTTTTTTGAGACGGAGTTTTGCTCTGTCACCCAGGCTGGAGTGCAGTGGCGCGATCTCGGCTCACTGCAACCTCTGCCTCCTGGCTTCAAGCAATTCTCCTGCCTCAGCCCCCTGAGTAGCTGGGATTACAGGTGCCCACTACCACGCCCGGCTAATTTTTTGTATTTTTAGTAGAGATGGGGTTTCACCATGTTGTCCAGGTTGGTCTTGAACTCCTGACCTCAAGTGATTCGCCTGCCTTGGCCTCCCAAAGTGCTGGGATTACAGGCATGAGCCACCGCGCCCAGACAGCTACCATTGTCTTATGTCCCCTGTCCCTGGTTCTCTACGTTGACTCCCAGTCTTCCTACCACCATCTTTAGGTAGAAAGTCACTAGAAAGACTCAGGCTTAGTTCTGTCATTCTCTAGGTATGGGAGCTTGGGAAAAGTAGCTAAGGTTCTTTCTCATCACCAGCCTCCATTTCTCCATCTGTGAAGTAGGCTAATAATACCTGCTCTCATAGAGTTGTTGTAAAGGCCAAATGCATGAAGTATTTGAGAACACCCTTACAGACACATGTTGTCACTGTTATCCAGGCAGCCATGAATTCCTGCACTAGAAGGACAACTCCTTGAGGACAGGGATGCTCTTCATCTGAGCCCAGGATCTGCCACCAAGCCATCCTCCAAAGATGTTGGTTATACAACTACAAGCTAAGTCAAAGAGGATCGGAGCCCAAACAGAGAAGACAGCTGTGGGT
Organism: Homo sapiens; assembly: GCF_000001405.40. NCBI lineage: Eukaryota > Metazoa > Chordata > Mammalia > Primates > Hominidae > Homo > Homo sapiens. The sequence goes on along the minus strand of NC_000011.10, from coordinate 120,250,241 downwards.
GTCAGAGGAGAAAAGACTGAAAGGGAAGCTGGAAAGAAAGGAATGGGGAGAAAACCAGGAAAAAGGATGGAGAGAGAGAGCTCAGAGCTGAGGAAAGCTGCACAAAAATGCAAGATCTGGAAACAGATGGAAAGAATTGTGAAAAGCAGAACTGGGCACACATCCTTTAAAATTCAGCCTTTAAAGAGGATCTACTCCAAACCCCGCCTCTATGGGGAGGAAAATGAAGGTCCATGTGGGGAAACGCTTGCCAAGATAATATGCAGGGAGTTAATGGCAGACCTAGGATAAGAGTCTGATAGAGTCAGACAAGGCCAAGTTTGATTTCTGGCTATAAGCTGTGTGATATTGGGCAAGTTAGTTTCTCACTCTGAGCTATGGTTTCCTCATCAATGAAGATGGGGTTAATCGTGTCTCTATCTCATAGCCTTATTGTAAGAATTAAATGAGATGCTGTAAATAAAGTTGCCTACATGTGCCTGCTGTGGGAGGAGGCTCTGTGAATGTTACGATCTCTCCCTCCTTCCTCCTGACCCTCTGTTCTTTCCTCCCTTGTGATTGAGGCAATGATGTGGCCAGCATGGTCAAAAGTCACAGGGTTAGCCACATCTGCACTTGGGGGTTGTCAGTTACAGACCTGGGGGCTTTTGAAATATGGGTAAGGCTATATTCTCATCAACCACATAATTGAGAACAGAAAAAAATTGTTCTCAGCCTCAAGAGTGGAGAAAAGTCCCGGTGCGGTGGCTCATGCCTGTAGTCCCAGCTACCTGGGAGGCAGAGGCAGGAGAATCCCTTGAGCCAGGAGTTCGAGGCTGCAGTGGCCATGACTGCACCACTGCACTCCAGCCTGGGCGACAGAGGGAGAACCTGTCTCAAAAAAAGAAGTGGAGGAAAAGTAACAACAGATGAGGAAGCATTAGGTAGGAAGGACAGAAAAGCTGATAGTTCAGAAATCTAGAAAGAGGAAAGAGTACTGAACAGGGGCTCTGAGCTTTGGCTGGTCCCTTGTGCTGCTGCAAAGACATTCTGAGCTCGTGGGCAGCTTATTCTTCATCTATGCCTCGGCTTCCTCACAGGCCAAAGAAAGGAAAACATGTGCCCCCGGCCACGTCTCCACCAGCCAGGAGGTCTGTGTCTGGCCCTGAGAATGCTCCCCTGGGCATTCCTGACCAGTGCAGATGGGGAAATTTACCTCCCTTTCCCAGTTCTTACCCCCCAGTACCCCTTGGGGATTTCACGCAGCACAGGGGGTGCTTTCAGGGAGCTGGGGCTTTCTAAGTCACCTTTGTTTATAGTTCCTTTAAAACCCAGAGACAAACCACCCCTTAATTCATGCACTGCTGAGAAGGTGAATCTGCCTTTTAAAATCCAAAGGAAGCCATTAAACCAAGTTGGTAACCATTGTGACTCATAATAAGCTTTCTTCTGTAAAAAGAAAATGAGTCAGAACGACTTTCCAGGAAGTTTGGTTACTTTAATTAGCCACCTCTTTCTTCTTGCCCTTAAACACAGGCAGTAATTTGAAGATCACCTAAGTATTGATGCTACCAGCCGGGAGCCCTGAAGTGAAAGATCTCCTGGTGGTGGTAAAGTTCCAGACATCACGGGCTCCTTGGAGCTGAAAAGGGACCTGTGCAGAATCCTTTCCTAAATGGGAAAGGGAGCAAAACCAACCTTCCGGGCTGATGCACTGGCCTGAGTAAAGCGGGGAATGAGCCAGAAGTACTCAGCAGCGATGCCCATCTGTATATTCCAGAATCTTAATGACGATCACAGCTGCCATGTGCCAAGCACTGTGCTAAGGGCTTGAGACATCATCTCAAGTAACTCTCAACCCACTCTCTAAGTTGGGCATTACTTTTCCCCCTTTACAAAAGGGACAAGGATAAATTTTCAGGTCATGCAGCCAGTAAGCAGTGGAGCTGCAAATTTTATCCCAGGTCTGTTTGATTCTAGATCCATACTCTTCAAAGCTCATCCGTTCCTACCTCCTAGGGAGGCAAAGTGGCTGGTCTAAGGTCACATATTGAATTGGTGGTATCCCCGGATAAGAGACAGATTCTGAAGGTCTTAGCCAATGTCTGGATTCTTTCTCTCTTAACCTACTTTATATATAGCTCCCAGATAGGAAGCCAGAATTTGCTCATATTGACCATAACACACTAACCTTCCTAACCCCCACCAGGATTTGAACTCCCTCCCTTTCCTGGCTCCTCTTTCAGGGTTCTATGTGGCTCATTCTCACTCCTAACACTGTTACCCTGATTTGGTCTTAGTAACAGAACACCAGTGCAAGCTGGTTAGGCGTGGTCTTCTTTCCATGTGGACGCTCTCTTAGCTGTGTCCCCACACACCTGGGCAATGGGCCCCAGGTAAACAGAATTGGCTCCAGCCAGCCTGCTTCCAGAAAAGGGCAATCCAGCCTCTCTGGATCATGGCTCCTGGGCTGGTTTTTCTCTAGGGAAGGGTGTCAGTGTGGGGACTATATCTATCACTCTCTAGCTGAACTGAGTTTAAAGTCTTGCTCAGGTTTTTGAGATAAAAGGGAATCTTCTTCTCAACTGGGAAGAACAGGTGCCCCTCTCCACAGACCCTTAGTAAAAGATACTCTGCTAAATAATCTATTGAAACATGAGTGTGACCGGCCCACATTCTCCTTAGTCTTGCTGCCTCTGTACATAAGCAAAGCAAAATAGAAAGATTGTAGTTTGATGTGTATTGCTACCTGTGCAAGGAAACACTGTTTCAGTATTAAACTGGGGAGCAGAAAAGTTTATGGCAAATGCATACTGTGGATGCCCTCCCCGCCAAGACCCCCAATTATCTTGCCCCTGACAAGAATCTCATAGCTTCAAGAATGGAACTACACTGCTCTACAAGATTTGAAAAAGATTTTAGCTCTGGGGGACATTGATTCTCTTCCACTTCTAATTTCTATGTCTCTAATGATCCAGATGAAAGACTAATTGAGGTCTGGTTGGAATGCTATTAAAGTTATTTGGTGGTGCTACAATTTATACTCATCTTTAAGTTCTTTTTAATTATATGGAGCTTTCAAAGCAAGGCTTGAACTATGGAGGTAAAAATAGAGAGCTATGAAACTCTCTTTTTTAATTCTTCTTTGTTCCTCTCAGCTTTTTTTGGGACGGTCCAGCCTCAAACTCCTAGGCTCAAGGAATCCTCCCACCTTGGCCTGCTGACTAGCTGGGACTACTGACATCCTTTCCCTTCTTTCCAAAGCAAAGTCACCTCCAGGCACCAAGCCTTTCTCTCTGAGCCTATTTGCCACCCACATGCACGTTATTTGGAAGAGAAACATTTGTACACAGGCCTCTTTGGTTAGTGCCTTGAGTAGGACTATCAAGGTATCTGGGGCTAAAAGGCCTTGTCCCCATCTAAGAAAGACAGGTTCTGCCTCTGCCAGTCACAGCAGTTGGGAACACAGCTGCTCCTGAACTTTTTTGGTTTTGTTCTGTTTTTAAGTATCTGGTCTCTTCCTAGCCTAATTCCAGAGGTTTTGTTCCACTGTGGAGCAATATCTACTGTTCAAAGGCTCCAGAATCATATCCCATGTCCTCAGGGAATTCCCTTAGTTCCTAAGACCTAGCTTTGGGGTCTGGTTGGCTGAAAGACCAAGCAAGAAGAGACACCAGTTGTTCAACAATTCCCAACAACTCTCTTCCCCCCACCCCCTCCATCCCCGAGAAGAGAAGACCCTTACCTGGCTCCACCTGGCTGAGAGTGCTGCGAGCATCCGTGGAATCGGCTACATCCCCACTCATCTTGATATCTGCAGGGAAAACACAACTGATTTTAATAACAGGTCACAATTTTTCTTGCTATGACATATGTGGCTTTAACTAAATAACAAAGATGAATGTGTAATTACAACAACCATCAGACTTTCAAATTCCTGATTCCCGAACATACAACCATTAGAATATTCATAAGCTTGAGGGCACGGATCCCCTCCTCCCATGCTCGCCTCCTCTCCTTGCCTTTCTCTTCCCCTTTCCCCGGTGCCACTGCAGGGTCTCTCACCTTTTGCATCATTCATGGCCACTTGCTTCTATCACCAGGACTCAGTTGGTAAAAATTTAACAAGGGGGTGGAGGGGACACTTCCCATTTCCAACACTCGTTTCCTTTGGGATCTGAGGAATTTATTTTATTTTTAAATAGTGAAAGAATTATCCCTCCCCGCCTGCCTCCCCAGCTCTGTTTCCCTTAATAACCCCATCCTGGAAGGTAAGAGTGCCCTTAAACCAAGGCTTGCCCTTCTCACCTTTCTTCCCAGGTCCTGCCTGGGTTCTCTGTCTGGTCTCAGAGGTCAGCCCACAGTCTGGGGATCAAGTCCTAGCTCCTGTGTTGTCCTCCTTGGAGATCCTGTCCTTTGGGGATCCTTACCTTCTCTCCTACTCCTTCAACTGGCTCAGTGAGAAAGGGATGGCAGCGGGTCAGTGCCCCACAGAAAGAGAATACCTACACCAGGCCCCTGGCTCAGCCCCCAAGTCCTGCTGGTCCAGCCTCTCTGCCCTGCTTCATTTCAATAAATTAAACATTTACCCTTAACAGACAGCTGCCACCACCTATGTGGGAGGCCCCTAAGTCTCCTCTTGGGGTCAGCAGGGGGAAGAAGAGAGGCAACTTTGAACCAACTCACTCTCTCTCTGCTCCTCTCCTTATTAAACCACCCAAAGACTGAAGCCTTAAAGACAGAAGAATATTTATTCAAATCATGTTGACCCCCACACCCCCCCTTCTCTGGGGCAGCACTTTAACTCTTTCAAACCAGATAAAGTCTTGGTGAGCCAATTTGCGTACTCAGCTCCCCAGCCAATCCCAGTCAAGCAGGCAGTCTTAATTTGCATCAGGTAATCAGGCAGTTGGCAGTCCGGATGCCCAGGTCTGGAGATGATCAGGATGAGGAAAAAGGGTAGACCTGTGCCCCAGGGAAAGAGGGGAGAAAACCTACTTTTTCATGTGTGTGAGGACTAACGTGTGTGGCTCCGGCCGAGGTGTACACCTCTGGAGTGTAGCAGCTTCGATGCCAAACAAGACATAGATGGGGGATCCAGAGATTTAGAGGCTAGAATACCCCAGAAATAGGGGAGAAAGTCAGGAGTCACTGTGGTTTAAGGAGTTTTCAAGACCAGCCAAATTGAGGGAAGACGCCAAGGTAAACACTTAGAGCTCTATGGAACCCTCCCCAGACAAATCTACACTGCACTTTGTGGTCGGTCACAGAGCTCTGAGGAAGACCTGCAACCTTACCCCACCCCCTCCCCTCCTAGTGCACAGCGTTTAGGGAGGCATTTCTTGAGCCTAACCTCAATCCGTCCTGCTGCAGTCTCAAACTCTCTATAGTTTGCCATGCATGAATATGCAGAATAACTACTATGGACCGCCCAGACACATTTGCAAAGGGCTTCTGCTGCCACTGGCCTTCTGTTCCAATGGAGAAACGGGCTCCCCTCTCCCACCCATTAAGTACTATCCCCCCTGGAGCTGGGCATTGCCTAACGCAGATCTGCTCAGCTCATACTTCACCATGGGGATTCTTCAACAGTGCTGAGAAGAGGCCCTGAGTCAGAGACTGCTGGAAAGGTGCACAGGAAGTTCTCCCCCACTGGTGGTTTCAATTTGCTTCATCAGCACCAGGATTCAGAGCATGGGATTTGGCATCAGACAAACCTGGATTAATCTCAATGCCATCACTAACTAGCTAGGGGACCCTAGCCACATATTCGGATGTGAATTTTCTCACCTAAAAATGAGAATAATGATATACACTTCCCAGGGTTTTTGTGAGGATTAAATGAAATACTGAATGAAAACTGCCAGGAAAGGAGTTCCAGGCACAAAGTAAGCACCTAATAAATGAACTAATTAAACAGACACTTAGGCTTAGATGCTAGTCCGCTTCCCTTCCTGCCTTCTTCTCATGCCCCTCCATTAACCCCTTGCCCCATTATAAGGAATAGCTTTGGTTTTCTGTCTCAGCACCATTGTAATTTGTCCTTTATCTGGGAAACCATTAGGATTCTCCAAATTCTGACTTCACAGAAAAAGTGTTCATGAGGACAGGAAAAAGTTAAGAGGCAGTGACGCTGGGATGATGACCAGAGTCTCTGAATCAACTCATTTCAAACTCCTGAAATTTAAGAAGGTAATTCTTTAGCTAAACTGTAATCGCATGCCTAGAACCCAAATTCTCCTCCAACACCCATTCTCCACATCACCTTCATCAAATACACACAGAAGCTCTCATTCATCCTTCAAGTTAGCCTGACATTTAGTCTTAATCATGTCTAAAAATAACTTTCAAAGGCATCAACCCCCTCCCCTCCTCATCTGCCATGTTGTCTACTCATTTGATGTATCCATTATGGGATCAACAAGGTGCCACTTCAGGATTGGAGGGGCAGGGTGAGATAACCTATCAAGCCTCTTCTTGAGTCCCATAGGATGCTAAGACACTGAGAACCTGTTCCTGTTGGGTAGGAGGCTGAGGCTGATGGGTGGGACGAGCTTTTGGGTCTCAGCCTAAAAATGGGCCAACACCGAAACTCCCTGAGACACTGTAACCCTTCACCTGTCGGACAGCACTTGCCAGGGGTGAGTGAGAGAGGTGTGGGGTGGGGCCAGGCTCCTCTGTGTTATCTCAGCCAGACACTGAGTAGGCTCCTTGCCATCACTCCCTTCCCTGGGGAGGCTCAGCTGCTCTGTGAAAGAGCCCAGACACCAGCTGCAGACCCTTGGCTGCCCCACTCAGCACCATCACACCCTGAAGTTAGCGTTGGCTTGACCAGGAGTGGGCCCTCCTTAGACATCTGTGAACCCCAGGGAAGAAAGCTCGAGAGGAAGCACTCCCCACAGGCTGCAGGCTGAGGGTCCTGGACCTCCTGGGACCAGGCTACTCTGGGAAAGCAGAAGCCACAGCCCTCTCTCCTAGTGTCCATCTTCATGTTCTTGGAAGGACGGGAGCTCCCTCTGGCTCCTCCCGCACATACCTGCTGATGGCGGCACTTCCACTGGGAGACTTCAAAGGACCCACCGGCCCCACTTCTGAGCTAGCCAAGGCTCCAACTCTCCGCCAGAGGAGACTTCTCTCATTTCTTCTCAGTCCCATCATCAGGCCTTCCAACCCAAATGCTATTCCTGAGCTCCAATTGGCACCCGTCTGTGAGACTCAGCCCCCCTTTCCCAACCTTGGTGGGGAAAAGCTCACAGTGAGGAGAAGGGCAGAGAAAGAGACACCTGGGGCAAACCAGGTGTGCCCCCGCCCGCTGGCTTCCCACTGTTTTCCTTTGTCTCTTATCTGCCTCCCTAGCTGGCTGTCTCGGGTCTACTTCTCTGCCTGTTTTTAGTCAGGGAGCAGGGAGCCCCTCCTTGCTGCAGAGCCCCTGTGTCTGGTGACCCTCTGCCTGCTCAGGTCTTTGTGCTTCCAGGTGAGAGATGCTCTATAAAGTACAAGGTGCGAAGGCTCCAGGCAGACCTGAATCATGGCTCGTACCCAGGTTATCAGAGCAAGACAATGGGGCTAACTCCAGCTGGCCTCAGTGCGAGTGGAGCCCTTGGAGTGGGCGACCCGGGAGCAAGCCTATGCTCTAGTTTGTGTGCTCCTGTTCCTCCTCCTTCCCCCATCCAAACTCCTCCAGTAAGTCAATTAAGGAGGAGACCCCAAGGACCCAGCCCTGGGAATTCACAGGAGAAGTACTATTTATCAAGATCAGTAGGATACAGGATTACCTTGGCGGGGGAAAATGGGACTCAAAAGAGACCACATTTCCAAAAGAGGATCCTGGACTAAGGGACCCTAGAGAGGGACCCATAATGAGATATTCCATAGAGGGAAGAGCGATCCTCCTTCACAGACCCCACAGCAGGGTGCGCACTGGAAGACCCTACAAAGAAGATCTTGAACAGTAAAGGCCACCAGGAGGACCCAGCAAAGAGAGCCCTCTAATAGAGACCCAGTTAGAGAGATGGGACAGAAAGTCCTAAACTCAGAGACCTCTGGAGGTGCCACTGAAGGGGAACCCTCAGACACTACAGAGGGGCCAAGACCCAGAAACTGCACAGGGAGGCCAGGTAGCCCTGAGGGGGGAATGGGCTGGGGAGGGAGCAGGCAAATGGAGAGAGATGAATTGGGCAATCTACCCCCAGGTACATGGAGATCCCGCCCTGAGGAATCACCCCACCTGGGGTTTAGCTCAGTCTCCCCCCATGTGTCGGGAATACCTGCTCACAGGGACAGGGTGGAGAAGGTGTCTGGGCTTCTGAGAAGCATCAGCCAGGAGCTCACTCCTGGGGAAGGCATAGAGGCCAAGCCCTATGCCTCAACCTCATCCTCTGGTGTTCTCTGCTCTCTGCTATATCCTCTGAGGCCCCAGGCTGCCTCCCTGCTGGGTCCCAACTGTCCCACCCCCTCCCACTTCCACAGAATGGGAGCCTCCAGTAGACAAGGAGGTGGAAAACCCCCAGGAAGTCTGTGATCTTGGTGCTAAAAAACTTCCCATCCACTGCTAAGCCCACCTTTCTGAAGAGACTTGCTCCCATTCAAACCCTGGCCTTCTCTGCGGGCAGTGAAGGGGAGAGCACCTACCCGGGGATCTGCCCCAGGTATGCCCAGTCTAGAAACAGACTTTCCTCAGACTCTGGATGACACCCAGTTGGATGGCTTCTTCCGCCTCACCTAGCCTTTCTGGCACGTCCTGGAGAGCCACTCAGTGCCAACATCTCACTGCCAGTCTGCCTCTCACTCAGCCCTGCCAGGAAACAGCATCTGGGGAACTGGGCACTCCAGGTCCCCTCCCTCCGGGCACTCACTGACGCTTGTTTTCAGGCTGGGTAGGCCTCAGGCCTGCTCTGCTTCTTGGGGTGGGTCTGGAGCATTGCCTCCTCCCTACTCTCCCAGAAAGGAGACCAGGTAACAACATTCCCATCAACAGCCCCGAAATCCTAAAGAAAGATCACTGGGTCCTGCCCACTTTGAGAGTAAGTTGCTAGGTTAGAAATGGCCAGGTCAGGTACCGCTTTCTTCACTTGTTCTTTGCTCAGGCCCTGTGACCTCCAGAAGGCCCACCCTAACAGGAAGCCCCAAGCCAAGCCCAACCTGGCTGCCTGGCAGCTCCTGCCTTAGCCCAGCTGTGGAAGGAGGAACAGCAAGGTGAATGGAGGGGCTGGGTTCCCTCCATGCCCACCTCTCATTCATTCATTCAGGGAAGCCTGACTCCCGGCAAAGCATTTGCATCTCCTAGGTTTCCACCCCTTAGGGAAGGAAGGCATGGGACATGGAACCCAGAGGATGTGTCTGTCACCATCCCTTCTCAAACACATGGGGGCATGGCCCCTGCCCCAGGGGCACCTCTGTAATTGCCCCACCTCAGCCACTTCTCCTAAGCCCCCCAACCACCTAAATGTCCGCTTTGCCTCCATTTCACACATATGCCCGGACACCAGCACACAGCATGTGGACATACACATTTCCCTCACTTATGCACTCCCAGGTCCACACCCCTGGCTGAGTGAGTGAACCACCCATCCCTGCAACCTCCTGAGACTATGACAGTTCAGTACACCCACGTCCCATACAACTGCCACTCCCCAGACCGGGGGCTTCGAAGCCCTCCCGCCCTTCACCAGCCCCCACCCTCATTCTTTTCCAGGGTTTCTTATCCCAGATCCCCTCCCTTTAGTCCCCAAATACTGACCGGCACCCACCCCAGGACAACCCGCTATCCACACCGCCCTCTCCTGGCCGCTGGGAAACAAGCCCCCCTCCCTAACCAGAACGTTGTCCCTCTCCTTCACCCCTGCCCACGCGCAGTGACACCTGTCAGAGCTCATTCCCTCCGCCCCTCACCTGTGTGCATGGACTCCAGATTCACCATCCTGCCCCAGGCGGGGCCAAAGCCAGCGCCCCCCCAGGCCCCTCGCCTCTGCCCCAGCCGGGGCCCCTGCGAAGCCAGGGTCTCCTTCCTCCAGTTCCCGGCCGCCGCCGCCGCGGGAGCCGCTGCCGGAGCCGTCGCCGCCACTGTCGCGCGCTCCGCTGCTCCGGCCCGGGCAACACTCGGCGCCGCCAGGATTGCCACACTCCCCAGGTGAGCACGCGGCGCGGGGCGGGGGCCGCCGGCCACGCCCCCTGGCAGGAGCCCCGCGCCTGGCCCCAGGCCCATGCAAAGCAGTGATTTGCATACATGGAGCTGGGGACCTGGGGAGGGGGCCGGGGGTGCTGCCGGGGCGGGTCTCGATCCCGCGGAACACCTGCCTGCTCCAACCCAGCCTGGCAGCACCTCCTCACCGCGCCCGGAGTGGCGCCAACTCCTGGTCCTGCTCGCCCTTTTTAGGAAGCCCTGGCGGGTTCTCCAGCCTGAGCCCGAGCTTCCTTCTGGACAGATCGCGAAGTGTAAGCGCTGCAAGGAGTTGGAGTGTTTGGAGAAGTCGCGGGGGTCTGCTGGAAAGAATTCAGTTTTGGAATCTCGCCTCCCAACCGCTTACCAGCAGTGTGGCTGGGACAAGGTTCTTCACCTCCCTGAGCTCATTTAACTCACCTGTAAAACAGGACAGGTGCTAATCGGGTTCCCTATTGGGCTGAGCAGGTGACCAAGCTCACCTAGCCCCCATGGCATCCTCACAGCATTGTGGGATTTAGACGGGGTGCAGTTTATTATTAGCAGAGTTTCCAGGTGCACACAACTGCTTCCTGCTTGCCCCTCCAGTCTCCCGCCCCAGGTCCCAGGTTGCTGTGAGGCTCTACGAGATGATGGATGTGGAAGTTACCAGTGCCCAGGCTTTTGGTGACAGCCACCTTCCAGAGCGGGGAAGCGGCTTGCTCAAAGGTGCACACTTCCCTAGTGACAGAGCCTGGCTGGAATCAGGTCTCTGGACTCCCACTCCAGTGCTCTTTGCAGCACCCATCATAGGCTCACCCCTTTCTCTTCGTCTCTTCAAGTCCCAGTAAGTGGTCTGTCACCACAGGATGGCCTGCATGGAAGCCCAGAAAGCTGTGTGCAGACAGGAGGGCAGGGCCTCGCTTTCCTTCCCAGACAGGACTCCTCATGAACATGTCTTCTCCTTAGTCCCATGGGCTACTTTCTGAGCACAGAACAGGTTTTGGGCTTTCCTGCCTCTACACCTTGTTTACAGTGTCCTTTCCCCCTGGCACGCCCATCCCACCGTGCACTCCAGTCATGCCCACGATAACACCCAGCATTTCGTGTGCCTTCACTGTGTATCAAGCACTGGGGTGACCAACACTTGAAAGGCATCTTTCGTGCCTTTAGTTCTTGTTTAGTCCTCAAAACCTGTACATTGTACTATGATTATTGCCATTTTATAGATGGGGAAAATGAGGCTTAGAGAGTTTAAGTTCCGTGTTCTTTTTTTTTTTTTTTTTTTTTTTTTTTTAGACAGAGTCTTGCTCTGTTGCCAGGCTGGAGTGCAGTGGTGCAATCTCGGCTCACTGCAACCTCCACCTCCTGGGTTCAAGCGATTCTCCTCAGCCTCCTGAGTGGCTGAGACTATAAGCACGTGCCACTACACCCAGCTAATTTTTGTGTTTTTAGGAGAGACAGGGTTTCACCACGTTGCCAGGATGGTCTCGATCTCCTGACCTCGTGATCCACCCGCCTCAGCCTCCCAAAGTGCTGGGATGACATGTGTGAGCCACCACGCCCAGCCTAAGTTCCATGTTCTTAACAGCCTTCGTGGCAGGTTCTGAGGGCCTTTTCTTAGCTTACCCCCTGGTTGGTAACTGATCAATTGCTTCATTCTAGTGCCAGCACCCCAGCACCTAGAACAGGGCTGGGCACACAACAGGTATCAGAAAGTGTTCTGTGGGTGCTACAGTGGCCCCAGAGGAACAGGAAGCACTTAATTGCTTCTTCAGGTCCACATACACCACCCTCCCCAGTCACATGGACCTCCCTTCCCCACGCTCCCGAAAAGAAGGGAGGAGAGAAACTTCTTCTTGCTTCTTTTTCTTTTTCTTTTTTGAGATGGAGTTTCTACCTTGTTGCCCAGGCTGGAGTGCAATGGCATCATCTCGGCTCACGGCAATCTCCGCCTCCCAGGTTCAAGCGATTCTCCTGCCTCAGCCTCCCGAGTAGCTGGGATTACAGGCATGCGCCACCATGCCCGGCTAATTTTGTATTTTTAGTAGAGACGGGGTTTCTCCATGTTGGTCAGGCTGGTCTCAAACTCCTGACCTCAGGTGATCTGCCTGCCTCGGCCTCCCAAAGAGCTGGGATTACAGGTGTGAGCCACCGTCCCCTGCACTTTTTCTTGTTTCTTCTGGGTGAGGAAAGAGACCAGCAAGGGCTTATTGGAGGCCCAAGGGGGTCCCTCTCAGGACACTCTCAGCCTCTGTTCCTTCCTTCCCTCCTATTCAACACTCCCCCAACTCCCATCCCCTTCTGGCCTTTTCTTCTCCTCCCCAACTTCAGGTTTGGCCCCTTCCCTGAAGTCCATTTCTTACCTACAACTGCACTCACCTACCACCATTCTGGAAAAATGCCTGCACACAGCTTATATACCCCTGTGTGCTTGTGATTTCCATATCTCTATTTGCATATTATTTGCATGGCCATGTGCACCGAGGGTCTCATTCTCCGACCACCTTATCTGGGGCCCGTTGCCCTTTTTCATGTGCAAAGTCACATTTCTTCTCTGGGCTTTAGTTTTCCAAAAGTCAGAGAGGCCCATATTTGATAATTTCAAAGGGCCTTCTGTCTCCAGCAGCCTAGGATTCTGGGGTTCTGGGGGGAATGGGGATATGGAGTTCTTGTGGGGATTGGGGTGGAAGCTGAGGCACAGATAGGACCTTGGAGGTTCACAGCTGGAGGCACAGCTTTGGGTTCCAAACTTGGAGTGTGGAGGTAGGAGGATGAACGGGGCAGAAGGGGCTGGGTGGGGAGAGGATAGCAGATACTCCCTCACATTCATTCATTTACTCATTCACTCAATGAATATAGATTGAGTGCTTCCTACGTGCCAAGAACTGTGCTCCATGCTGAACATACACCATCTGATTTTAGTCAGTGCCACTTTAGATGGAAGGTACAATTATTAGCCCTGCGTTACAGATGAGAAAACTGAGGTTCAGAGAAGTAAACGCAGCTAGTAGACTACAGAGTTGGTATTTAGACCCAGGGCTGCCAACCCCAAAGCCAGGATTTTAGTCCTGCCCTCCAGTTTCTGAATCTGAGCTTCCCCTTCTCTTATCAGATAACGAGGTAGAAAGAACCTAGATATCATTGAACCCTTCATTTGAGGGACCTGAGGCCCACAAGGAGGGGGACTTACCCCAGAAAACAGAACAAACATATGGCTCAGCAGAGACGTTTCTACTCTTCCCTGCTTCTCCCTCATGTGCCCTGAGGCTTAGAAGGCTGGGGTGCCCTCTAAGTCCCACCTGTGTATAGGGTTGAGGGGGAATGGTGAGCAATCTTTATTCCTTCTCTCTCAGACTTGCTCACTGATCATTTCAGTTAGATGAGCTAGAATGGGAACGTAGAGAACTCCTTTACCCCTTCCTCCTTTAGCAGTTCTTGGAGACTCCATGAAACCGGTTTTTTGAGCTCTGGGCTGGAGTGAGATAGAGAGGAAAATGTCAACCCCCCTGAGCCTGATACTCCCTGTCCCTGTTTAGCTTAGGAGAGGAAAAGCTGTGGGGAAGAGAGAGAGATAGGGGTTTGCCTGGAGGTTAGAAAGGAACAGAAGAAAGAAAGGGAAAAAGAAGCCAGGACAGGAAATTTCTGTGCCTTTGGACATCAAAAGAACTATATGTAAATGAAATGCAAATTAAATGCAAATCATCCCTCCCTCCCTCCCTTACCCCACCTCTCTCAACAGCTGGAGGACTTTTTTCAGAGTAGCAGAAGCCTTACTCCAGGATGCTGTGGTTTTGAAACTGTCATCAATTCTGACCCCTCCCCAGGTCCTCCGGGGTCTCCTGGAGTGACATCTAACCCCCTTGGCTGCACCTCTAGGGAGTCACTAGTGCCCCAGGCTTCATTTCTATTTGAACATATCATCAACTTCTTTTGTTTCAAGGACAGAAAGCTCTAAGAGTCAAGCCTCCTTTCCAGACACAGTGGGTGGAAATGGTGCACAGCCCTGGAGAGGGTACTGCGTGGAGTGGGCCCAAGCCCCATCCCCACCTCAGCAGGGAAAAGGGACCTTCTTGGCTGTAGACCCTGGGCTCACTCCCATTTCCTGTCCTGTCAGCTGGATTGAGTTGTCAGGGCTAGGAGAAGGGCGGAGAGTGAGGCATCCTGGAAGGCCACCAAGGAACAAGTCCCTTCTAGCCCTTTCCTTCTGCCAGATGGGCCATGGGGCCCAGAGCGTGGGGGTACAGGAGAGGGTCAGCTCCTTGCCTCAGGGTGATCAAAGAGAATGGATCCAAACTCAGATTCCCAATAAAAGCAGATGGGAGCAAGGGAGAGGCTAGGAAGGACTTCCAGGCCTGTTTTAAATCATATGTCAAGGTACATCTGAGGGCATCATTGCCGGGAGGCTTTTGGTGGAGGTGGGGTTCGTGTCAGGGTGACACAGTGAAAGGTGTCTTGGGAACCAGGATAAGGTAACTGTGACTGGCGAGGGGATGGGTAGAGGACACCAGAGTCAGGATACAGAGCTATTCTCTGCTCTGATGTCTCTAATGCTGAATACCCCCTGCCCTTGCCCAAGAGACATCTCCCCATACCCAGCCTTCACCCATGTCGGGGGGCAGTACACACACATTCATTGTCCATTTTGCACTTAAAAGTTCAGAATCATTGATAATAGCAACATATATTTAATTTAAAGACAACATAACAGCAACTCTGCTTCCAATCAATTTTTTTGACTTTGAGGCCGGCATTGGACCTGAGCTGGATCTTTCTAACTGCACCTTCGACAGAGCCCAGCCTCAGCCTCTGCCTCAGCCAGCCCTTTCCTGGCTGCCTGGACCCACCTCACCCCAGGTAACCTTCCCAATCCACTTACACGCTCAGGGCAAGTCTAGGCCCTGCGCGCCCTCTCGTGGTCACAGGGGCGTGTGACCCTGACTTTTGCACCTCTACCTGCAAGACCCTGGAGAGATCTTTTCACAGGAGTGCCCATCCATGGCTGGGGGATGCACAGGGGAGGGCCCCAGGTCTAGGCAAGATGGGGATGTTGAATTTTAGTTTCAGACTACCATTGGGTCTTCCAGTCCCTGCTCCCCATCAAAGACCAGACCTCAGCCCAGAACCCTAGTTGGAGTCAGCCAGCTTGGTTGTTTCTGCTCAGTCAACGCAGTGACAGGTGCTCCTGGCCCGTTGGGCTATCCGTCCTGTTGCTGGACATCTCTGCCAGTCAAAATGTCCTACCTCCTGTACTTCCCTTTGCAGCTGCAAAGGGCACTGATCCCCGTGGGATCAGCGTATAGACAAGGACTGAGTGTGAAGGCGCGAAAGCAGGAGCCACGAGGGTGGTGATATTCACATGGGAAGGACCTGGAATCTGCCCTGACTTCGGTGAAAATAGTTCAGCCATTTCAGTAACAGATGACTTGTGACACATATCCTAGCTGATTGCTGCATAGCCTTGAGTAGCGATTCCAAGGTTGGAAAGTGCTGGGGAGGAGGATGCTGGCAAAAAGGTGGTCTGTGAAGGAGCCGGGAGAAATAGGGCAGAGGTGGAGAGGGACCTGGTTTT
The DNA here is from genome assembly GCF_000001405.40 of Homo sapiens. Classification (NCBI taxonomy): domain Eukaryota; kingdom Metazoa; phylum Chordata; class Mammalia; order Primates; family Hominidae; genus Homo; species Homo sapiens. The sequence continues at coordinate 120,234,552 of NC_000011.10, read as the reverse complement.
GAGGTGTTTTTTTATTTTGTTCTTAAGATGAGAAAGAATGCGAACTCTCCAGGGCCACTGGGAAGGAAGCAGGAAAGGGAGCAATGCTAGAGGAAGAGGGGATCATTTCCCCCAGAGAGGGAGGTCCGGGAGAGTGGGGAGAAAAGACATGTCTCCATGAGGTCAGGAGGGGAACTGGGAAGGTGGGTGCCAGCGTAGGCCAGGGAGTGGTGAAGAGGCTTCTCCTCTCGAGGCTTCTGCTTTCTGTGATGTAGGAGGGGAGGGAGCTGCCTCTCATCCTGCCTCTCCCTGCTTAGGAATCAGGACCTTGTCACAGGAGCCAGGGCTGGTGAGATAGTTGCCCCCCAGGGGCATGTGGACACCACCCTTGTGACTGTCTTTCCCTGGCTCCACTGAGAGCTCCTGAGGTCCAGCCCTTCTCCATGGAGGTCTGCACTGAATACCCACCAAGTGAGCCTACACTTTCCACCCGCTTTTACCCTCTTCCCTTCTACCACTAACCTTCTAGGTCCCCAGCTGGGGCCACTGTGGTTATCAGTCAGGGTTTCTGCAGGAAAACAGAACCAACTTAACTCGGAGTGCCTCTAACAAAGGTGTTATTGACAGAGATGCCAGCAGGCTTAAGGGAACCAGCACCCAGAGAGGGGCTGCACAGAGAAGCGAGGGCAGAAGAGGCAACAGGAGGAGACAGTGGTATGGGAGCCCCGGAAGATCTGGAGCCTTGGAGGAATGAAGCCAGTGCCACATGTGTGGTGCTGAGGCAGCCAGCAGGGAACTGACACCCCACTGCTGTCCTGTGCTCCCACCTGCAGTGCTTCTCATCGGCTGAAGCCAGAGGGTGAGGAATCCCAGGTGAGGGCAGAGGAGGGTGGAGGGGAACAACCATCCCAGCTGTCACCTGGCTACAGCCAATAGCTGATACTGAGAATAAGCCCTGGAATGCTGTCATGTTTCTCACTGGTCAAACAGCGAACAGTTTATGACAATACCAAGCGATGGCAGGCATGATGATTCATTTTATGTGCCAATTTGGCCAGGCTCTCATACCCAGCTGTTTTGTCAAACATTAGCCTAGACGTTGCTGTGAAGGTATTTTATAGACGTGACTACCTTTATAATCAGTTGACTTTAAGTAAAAGATCACCCCTGTATTGCGGGTGGTCCTCATCCAATCAGTTGAAGGCCTAAAGAGCGAAAATGGAGGTTTCCTGAAGAAGACATTCTGCCTTAAGACTATAACACAAGAGTCCCGCCTGAGCTTCCAGCCTGCTGCCCTGCCCTACAAATTTCAGACTCCCGGCTGGCCACAACATTAAGTTTTGCCTCAGCTGCCAGACTGCTAGTTTGTTAGGATTTTGGGCTTGCCAGACCCCAAAATCCAGCAAGCTAATTCCTTAAAATAAATCTTTCTCTATGTGTGTATCTTACTGGTTCTGTTTCTCTGGAGAGCCCTGACTGATACCACAGGAATATGAGAGAACGGGAACTTTCAGACACTGCTAGTTGTGTGTAAACTGGAACGGCCCCAGCTGTAGGGTGATCTGACAGCATCTACAATGTTCACGCCTGTGACACAGACATTCCAGTTGCCTGTTTTTTCTTTTCTTTTTTGGAGATTGAGTCTCACTCCATCACCCAGGCTGAAGTGCAGTGGTGCGATCTTGGCTCACTGCAGCTTCCGCCTCCCGGATTCAAGCGATTCTCCTGCCTCAGCCTCTCAAGTAGCTGGGATTACAGGCGCCCATCACCACGCCGGCTAATTTTTGTATTTTTAGTAGAGAGGGGGTTTCGCCATGTTGGTCAGGCTGGTCTTGAACTTCTGACCTCAGGTGATCTGCCCGCCTCGGCTTCCCAAAGTGCTGGGATTAGAGTCAGTTGCCTGTTTTTTCTATTCCTGCCTACAACCTGGCTTGTAAGAGCAAGTCACAGTAAACAATTCGATTTTCCATCAGTAGCCAAATGGCCAATAGACCATTTGGGAGAATATTAGGCGATTAGACATGGAATGCCCGTGTTGGGGAAGACCTTGGAGATAACCCAGTGAGACCCTCTCTCTTATGGGATGTGTGTGACCCACACAAGGTCACACAGAGCTGGGCCCCAGCGGGTGCCCATGCTCCTCAGATACAATGCTGGCCTCGAGCCTTTGGTTCTTGAGAGTGGCACTTGCCCTCCTTTTTGCCGGAGTCCTTGTCCCCTCATCCACCAGAGCCAGGTCCAATAAAGACCCTGGGGTAGAGGTCCTCCAGCTGTGGCCCACAGTTCCCCCACTGAAGGCCTCCCTTGGCTAACAAGCCTGAAGGGAGAGATGCCTGAAGAAAACCCACAGGAAGTCCATAGTGAGGTCCAGCCCAGCCCGGGTGAGGTTGCCCAGGGAACCAGGCACAACTCATCCTCCCGGCTTGCAGCAGCACCAGTCAGGGCTGGGTTTCTGGCCTCCCCGAGGGTGCTTTGCTTACCCTGGCAAACGGAAATCAGGCAGTTCTTCCTGCCAATTCTGGTCCCAGGAATCTTTGGACACTGTCCCCACCACCCCCTGCCCACATGTTCAATGATTGCTACTACAGAGACTGGCCCAGCAGGTGCTCTACACTCCACACTCCTCCCCGTCCCACCGAAGCCTAGGTCCCCTCCTGTGGGTGAGCTGTGCTCTCGGAAGTTCTGGCTGGCCAACCTCATAAAGCACTTTGGGTTGGGAGGGGGTGTGGAGTAAGAAGGACAGGGGTTGGATCTCAGTTCTGTTCTAACAAGATGCCTGGACTTGAACTTGGGCTGGTCACACAATTTTATAAGGGAGCCACATCTATAAAATGTTACAGAGTCACTACAAGGAGCCAATGGCCAATTTATATGAAGGCACATTGTAAACCCTAAAGTCCGCAGAGAAATAAGTACTGATATTACCACTCCCAAGTGTTTTACACGGCCACAAAAGCCTCCTGCGATAGGGAAGTCTTATCTCAGTGTTTGCCAAACAGCTGACCACCTACATCTATTTCAACAAGCTCCTAAGTGATTCTGATGCACACTAAAATTTGCTTTTCAGCAAAGAAGTGACTGTCACGGCAGGATTTCAGGTGCTGTGACAGTGGGGCTAAGGCGGTTGGGCGAGTGCTTTGGAATGGTGGACTCGAGCCCTTGGATGTGGCCCTGTGGGAGGTGCCTACTTTGCAGAGTGTTAAGGTCAGCCCAAAGTCTCAGGGATTCTTCTCATCACCATCCCCTGAGACTAAGGAGCCCAAGGCAGCTGGTGTCTGTAGTGATGGTGTCCAGAGCCCCCTCACTGCAGGGGCCAGACAAGCTAGGAGGTGCTAGTCAAGGAAGGTCAGAAAAACACTCCAAGTCTTGAAAACATTGCTTTTTAAAAAAGCATTATTTTTGGTGACTTGGAAATCAGAAGGGAAAACATACTGATTTGGGGACTCCCCTTCCATCAAAAAAGGCACACAGGAGGTAGCAGGTGCCTTCTCCAAGTATCCCTTGCCCACCTGGAGCAATGGCTGGGGCTTGGGATGGAGGCCCTGGCAGAAAGGGAAGGAGAAAAAGGACTGGGGGGTGACTGATGGGACAGCTCCCTCCCCATCCCCCAGCAAGGCTGAGCTGGTCCTTGAAAACAGGTTCAGAAGGGAGGTGTGCCCACCTGAAAAGGTTATCTCCCCGCTGACCCTCAGCTCAACCAAGGCCAAGCAAGCCCAGCTCCCTCAACCCTCTGGCCTGCATGAGTTCAAGGGGCAGTTGCAGCCTGTTCTGGGAGTTCTGGGAGCAGAGTAAAGGGGACCACCCTGCAAACCCCTTCCCTCGCCAAGGCCTTCAAGGAAGGATCTGACTGTCCCCATCTCTTCCTTGAGAAAGTTGGGTCACCTGGGGAACCCATGAGACTCTTCCAACCCCTAAAACACTCCTGCCTCCACCTTGCCAAATCGTTACCATCTTCCAGCCTCAACCCACACCCCAACTCTTCCAGAAAGCCTTTCCCAATACATGCAGCCTGCACATCCCTCGCTCTGGAACCATCCAGAACCCTGCCCGGCACTTCCTATTACAGCCTCTTCATGTTGAAAGATACTTTGGAAGTGAAGAGCCTTCCAGATGTCTGATTTCATTGAGTCAGGCTTATAGCTGCAGGAATGTCTGCTTTTTTCACTAATAGTAATGATACTAAGAATGGCTAACAGCACTATGTGCTAGATGCTTGACATGCAAGAATTCACTTCGGTCTCTTAAGTAAGCTCATTTTATAGCTAAGGGAGTGGAGGCACAGAGAGGTCAAGCAACTTGACCCATGGCTGCACAGCAGGTAAGTAGCCGAGCCCAGATCTGAAGCGGGGTTCCAATCTCCACCCCATCTCTTGCCTTCGCGCTGGCTATTTCTGACTGGCTTACTACGGTTGCAGCTATGTCTGTCTCATTGTCTTGGGTGCAGAAGTTTTATCTCATCCTTCCCTAGTAACATCTTCCTTCTCCTCCTTCCTTCCTCAAATGGCTGAGCACACAGTAGGTGCTTTCGAAGTTCTTGTTCCAAGATAGGCCACTGCTAGGGTGTGGGGACACTTTCTGACATCAGGTGGCAGCATTGGCCAAAAGTTTTCTCCAAACTCTGGGTCTCATTAGTCAAGTAAAAACTTAAAACGTTTATTTCTGGTAGAAATGATAAATACTTTGCACTAAAAATCTGGAATTCAAGTTTTCCTCGTACTTCATGCTCCCTCCCTGCCCCAGAACCTTACAAAAATATTTCTGTGTAGAGAGGGAAAGAGCTGGTGCCTGCTCTGGAGGCAACGTCCAGGTCCGGGAAAGGCACTCGTGGTCTGTGATCTGTCTCAGTGATGGGAGGTCTCCACTCGCCCCACAGGCAGCCTCGGGGCCAGAGATGAGAATATGCTGTAATCCAGTACAGGGGCTGCGTCGTGGGTCCCCAACAGCTCCTTCTTTGGGGATAGTGAGCCCCTTGTTGGGGAGTAGGAAGGGACTGAGGGGCCAGCTCCTTCCAGATGTGTGCATGGGGAAGGGAGTTGTGTCTGGGGAGGTGGGTGTCCAGGTATAGACTCCTTTTAGGGTCTAAACGTTCAAGGAGTTCAACAGAACAACCAGAGGCCATCATGTTTTGGCAGCTTGCAAGTGAACACTCCAGGGGAGATGCAGGAGGGAGGGGTGTAGATCTGGGGAGCCCTTCTCTCCCTCTCTGCCCGCAAGGAAGGCACAGGGTGGGAATGGGGGTGCCTTCATGAGACCCCCTGCCATGCCACACCCCCTTCACAGTCATGTGAGATGGGGCCAGAGGGGCCCAGGCTCTAGGGCCAGGGGAGTGGGGAGGGAGGGAAATAAGGCCTCAGGTGGGGGTTGCCACCCCCTCTAGTGGCTGGTGAAGAGCAGTGGGCCCAGAGCAGCCACCCGCCAGGTTGCTCCCACCCTAGCCTGGGTAGGGATCCTCATCCCAGAGACACAGCTGCCTCTGGGGCACGTAGAAGTCGAAGCTGTAGCTCTTCTGGCAGCTGCGGATGCCACACTTGTAGGGCGTGGGCCGGTCGCGGCTGTGGCAGTACTTGAGCATGCAGGGGTACCAGGCCAGGCTCAGGCCATAGCGGCAGACGCAGGGCTTCCCGTGGTCCCCCACCTGCCTGCAGCGAGGCAGCTCCGCCTGCTCTGAGGCCTTGGGCAGAGCCTCGAACACAGAACTGTCCACACCTGGGGGAGAGAGGCAAGGATCAGGGAGGGAGGGAGGGAGGGAGGGAAGGAGCTCCCCTAGTCAGAGGCCGCTGCCATTCCCCACTTGGTCTCCTCTGTCATCCCACAGGCATTTACAGACACCTCCATTTCCAAGCTTGCCATGGGACACAGAGGTAAGACCTGGTTACTAGGCTCCTCCTTGCTGGGCTCGTGGGAGAAACAGATTAAATAGGAATCACCCTCCTCTATGGCATCAACTGTGTGCTACGGGCTCTACTTACAGTACCTCCATCAGTCACCCCATGGGCTAAGTATCGTCATCCCTGTTTTAGTGATGAGAACATCGACCCAGAGTTTAATGATCTGGCCAAGGTTTCAAGGCCTCCACTAGACCACACTGCCACCCAATGCTTTAAAAAATCACCATACCGGAGTGTGCTGAGATAGAGGCGTGGGGAGACAAGGTTGGAAGTCAAGGAAGGCTTCTTAAAAAAGGTGACATCTGGCCGGGCACAGTGGCTCATGCCTGTAATCCCACTTTAGGAGTCTGAGGCAGGTGGATCACCTGAGGCCAGGAGTTTGAGACCAGCCTGGCCAACACGGTGAAACCTTGTTTCTACTAAAAGCACAAAAATTAGCTGGGCACAGTGGCGGGCACCTATAATCTCAGCTATCCTGGAGGCTGAGGCAGGAGAATTGCTGGAACCCGGGTGGCGGAGGTTGCAGTGAGCCGAGATCGTGCCATTGCACTCCAGCCTGGGGGACAACAGTGAGACTTTATCTCAAAAAAAAAAAAGTGACATCTGAGTAGGGCTAGGCAGAGAAGGGCCAGCAAAGCACACCCACAGTGGGGCAGGTCAGGTCAGGGTGGCCAGGGCTTGGATCAAATGGGAAAGTGTGCATATTGGGGCGCTGGAGGAGACGGAAGGTACCGGCCTGATTAGGCTCAGGGGCTGTATGGGAGGGGCCAGCTTCTGGAGGACACTTATGTCAAGCTTGCGGCATAGTCTGGGGTGCAGGCCATGGGGGAGGGTGTATGTGTGTGGGGGGCAAGACCACAGCTTGGTTGGGTATTTCTAAATCTGGGCCTGCCCTGGGAGGAGCAGGCATTTCACCAGTGCTCAGTTGGCTGGCAGAAGGCACAGGGGCTCAGAGTTGGAATGGCGCCATTTCCCTCTCCCCTCCACACAGGGGACCTGAGGGCGGTCCTGGAAAAGGTACCCAGAGAGGGGTCAGCGCTGAAGTCACAGAGGTCAGGAAGGCAGGGACCATGCAGTATGGAGAGGAGCTTCCAAGGATCTTGGGGCAGAGATGCTGGCACCAGGGAGGGCCTGAAGCTGATATCTGAGAGGTGTCAGTGGAGGGGGGCAGGGTGTCCTTGTGCCCCACACCCATGACAGAAGGCCCCATCTCTGTGTCCTCACTAAGGGCAGGGACAAGGGGAAGTACCTGGGAATCTCCCTCCACAGGGCCTAGCAGAGTCTGTGTGCCCTGCCTGGAGCAGGGCCCTTTCCTCTGGCTGAATCTTCTCGCTGAATAATCACACAGGCTCCATTTCCTCCAGGAAGCCTTCCCAGACCAACTGTAGCCTGGTTTGGGGGTCCCTCCCTGAACGCCTGTAGCTATCATGGTATTCTATCACACTTAACTCTGTGCAGATCTACCCTGCTGGGGGACAGGAACTGAGTGTCTACATCTCTGATTCCTGCGCCAGTACATCTCTGTAGGTGTTCAGTAAATGTCTCCTGAACAAAGGAAAGGCTAATGATGAGACTTGGCTAATGATGAGACTCAACTAATGATGCCCCTGCCCTCCTCCACTGCTCTGTGCTGTCTCCCTGTCCCCTTCCCTCCGCCCAGCAGCGGGCAGTGCCCAGCTCCCAGCTGACCTTGCTCCAGCCAGAACCGGACATCCTCCTGGCGGGTGTAGATGGCATCCACGGCCTCGGCACACACGTTGTGGAGATGGGGGCTCAGCAGGGCCCCCTGGCTGAAGTTGACAGCGACATCCATGTGCAGATGCTCCAGACCCCGAACCTCCTCCGCCTGCCGCACTGCCCGGGGATTTTTCTGTGTGTGGGAGAGAAGTCACTCCTACCTGGCTTCAGAATGCTCCCTGTCCATCTTCCCCTGACCCTCCAGAGTCAGGCGAGCCCAAGCTGACTGCCTTTAGAACGCTGGGGCCATCTGCAGGGTGGCAGCCCCACCCCTCTCCAACTGGCAGTGAAGCTGATGCCTAGAGTACAGTCGAGCCTTTTCAGCCTCTATCCAGAATGGATGCTTCCCAAACTATGTGCTGGCCACTGGGCTGACCTCTGGGGCTTGATGGAGAATGCTGAGGTGTGGATGGGAGGTGGAGGTGGGTGGGCCAGGCAAGCTGTGCCAGGGCATATGACCTCTGGAATCACGTACTTTCCAACATCCAGGGAACCAAGTCCCTTTGGGAAAGCAGGCAAAGCGCAGGGGCGAGGAGGCCCCCAGGGCAGGCTCTGCTGGGCAGGCCAGGGAACTCAGATGAGGCTGGGGCAAGGCCCTGGGTCTAAGAAGACAGCAGGAGCAGGCCGGCAGCTTTGAGGGTCTTGAACACTTCACATATGTTTGCTCACTGAATTCCCCCATAACCCAGTTTCAGTGAGAAAATTGTGGCTTTGAAGGTAACTTGTCCAATGTCACCCAACTAATGAGTGACGGAGGAGATGTGATGTCTGATCTGACCTCAGAGCCCAAGCCCCTAGCCTGTCACACACGGGGAGGTGCTGGAACCAGATGGGAGAAATCTGAGAGTTGGGGTTCAGTTAGTGATCTGCAGCTCTAGGGTCAGGTTTGGCCTGGGGCAAAATCAGGGGCTCAGGACTCTAGGGTGAATGGGGTACCAGGGATGAGGGCAGGTCAAGGGCAGTGGGTCCAGGAACAGCGTGAAGATGAGGAGCTGGGTGGGAGGCTAAGGTTGGGGAATCAGAGCTTAGAGCTAGGCTGGCTGCAGGGGTCGGGTCTGCAGGTCAGGATCTGGGCCGGGTCTGCGGGATGGGATCTGGGCCGGGTCTGCTGCGGGTCAGGACCTGGGCCAGGCAGGCCTGGTGGGGCACTTACCTGCCGGAGCTTGGCCATGGCCTCACTGGGGATGATCTCATTGTGCTGCAGCTGGGTGACAAAGCAGAGGGCCTGGAACTGACTCTGCCCCTTCTCCAGCTCCCCCAGGATCAGGGCCCGGAAGACCTTCACATCCTGAAGAAGGGCAGGAGGATGGGAACGGCTGGAGGGTGTGGGACCTTCCCACTGGCCCACCGGGTGCTCAGCTTGGCCCCTGAACAGGATGCCTGGACACTGCCGGGCAACAGACACCTCCCTCCTGCTGGTCTAGGAATTTTTATCTTTTCCGTTTAAACCCGTGACTTGAAAGAAAGAACACACCCCAGATGTTCCAAAGATCCTGGAAAACTGACAAAGTGAACCACTAGAGTTTTTCCCAGCTGATGATTCCTCTCGGCAGAACCCCTTAACGTCACCCTGATCAGGGTGGGTCAGGGCCTCTACAGGCACCTGATCAGGGCATCATGGAGGAGGGCTGGACTTTTCCAGTACCGATTCCAGAGTTCCTCTTTTTTTTTTTTCTTTGTAGTTGTAATGGCTAGAAATCTTAGACATTCTTATTCAGTAGATCTGGGGAGAGGTCTCAAGATGCCCTTGGTGCTTCTGATTGGCCAGGCTCCTGGCCACCGACCACTGAGTGAGTGGAGTGGTGGGGCCGGGACGGGGTGAGGGCAGAGTGGGAGGCTGGCTGCAGCTGTTGCAGCCTTCCGGCCTGAGGGAGCTAGGATGCCTCGCCTCTTCCTTTCCCTCCCCACTTCCCCTTTCCCCCATGGGGTCGCTAATGGCATTGCCGCAGTCCAAGGGCTCCTTCCTGTTACTGACTCACTGTGTGAATGGGGGGTCTGCAGCAGGATGGAGGGAGTAGAGCTGTAGGGTGGGCTGGGGCCCCCTTCCCTATCCGGCTGCTGGAGCCCTGTGCTCTGCTCACCTGTACCGCTCACCACATGAGAAGTGGCCCCTTGCCTTCTTACCCATCTCTGTGACTTGATTAACTCTGCTCCCAGTGAGAAGTTAGTGGGTCCCAGTCAGAAGTGGTCTACATCTGTCAAGGCCCCTCCTGTGGTGGAGGCACCCTGACCTCAGTGACCATTCTCTGCTGGGAACCCCTATGGCTCTGCACTGAGACTTAGAATGACAGCTCTGTGGATCATCTATTAATGCCCGGGCCCCAGCTCCCCCCACCACACAGTCACTGAGTACTTGCTGTACACCCGCGAGAACAGAAGTGTCTCAGCAACAGGCTCTGAGTGGCCCCCTTGGAGTCCAATACATGCGGCAAGGGACTCACAGCTCCGCCCCGAAGCTGCAATGTATTAGTGAGTCCTCCAGGCTTTCCCCTAATTTCTCTGATGTGTAAAATGGGGATGATCCCAGTTATGTGACAGGGTTGTGGTGAGGACTAAGTAAGTTATCTGAAGATTCTCACATGGGGTCAGCGCTAGCTGGGATTACTCTTGTAGGTGACCAGCAAGCATCGTAGGTGGTCTGCAACAAACGAGTGCATGTCATCTCATAAATGCCCATGTATTTCTGCAGTCCTTTAACTCTACAGAGTTTCTCTTACTTGCCATTATTGTAAATCATCTCTGGAACGATGAGGTATGGAAGTATAGGGGGAGGTTTTCCAGAAAGGGAAACTGAGGCTCAGCTGTTGAGGAAGGTTCCATTAGGTTCCTTATGATCCCAGAGATTTGTGAAGAAGGTGATCAGAGCTCAGCCAACCCCTGCTTCCTCTCAACAGGAAATCCCTTCTTGGTCATGGTGCTGCAATCTCCTTGTCCTGCCAGCCTGGGCTATCTGATCTTCCCCTCACTCAGGTCGGCTGAGGAGAGATGGGAGGCTGCTCTGCCTGTAGCATATTCCATTCTGGGCTCAATTCCTGCCAGGTGAGACTTGATACCAGACTTCCCCTGCTAGAGCTTGAGCCAGGCCATGTCCCTGGCAGGATCCCCCAGGAAGGATCCAAAAACCACTTCCCTGGTATTTTCAGCTCTGACTCTTTGGAGAGAAGCCTATCTGGATATTCACAGCATCTTCTCCAATACCGCAGGTGCAGGAAATATCCGGAAGTCTCAGGGCTGCTCAGGGGTCTCTTTGCTTGGTGACATCACCTGACTACCGTTGGCAAAAGAAGGTATTTGAACTTTCAGACCAGACTAGAGGATGAAAGAAATCTATTTGAGCTTTTTTCCTGCTTCTATATTAATAATGTCATCAATGACAATAACAAAATGCTGTCAAAATGGGAACTGACAGGGGGTGCAGGAAGGGAATGATAATTTCTCACTGAGAGGATTTCCTCTGTATCTCCTATTTGTATAGGAAAAAGAGTTACTGAAATTTGTAACTAGAAGAGAAAAAACATTGTTTCCATGGGTCAAAAGGATGTATGATCCTTTTTAAAATCCTTACAACAGGCGGTAGGAGCTATGATTGTTACCGAGCTTGGATTAGGTAACCTGTTCAACGTCATGGACTAAGAGGAAACATAGCCAGGATCTTAATCCAGACAGTCTGACTTCAAAGCCTGAGCTCTCTTAACCAGAATCCATAATTGCCTCCTGGATCAGCTAGTCTCATCTCCTTGATGCTCAGCTAAAGAAGCTGGAACTCGGGCACACAGAGGTTGTGCGGTCTGCCCTTGATGCCTGAGCTGGCCAGCAGCAGAGGTGGGATTAGGACCCGCTCCCCATCATGCCCATCTGGCGGCAGCCTGCCTTAAGTCAGCACACCTGCCTTCGAATGTGGCGGCTCTGGCTCGTGGTTCCTGCAACTACCAAACAGCATGACACAAATAAGAGAAGAGGAGGCAGGAATACCCTTCTAACCCGCCTGCCTGCCCTGCCAGGACTTCTTTTTTTGTTTTTTGTTTTGTTTTGTTTTTTGAGACAGAGTCTCACTCTGTCACCAGGGTGGAGTGCAATGGCGCGATCTCGGCTCACTGCAACCTCCACCTACCGGGTTCAAGCGATTCTCCTGCCTCAGCCTCCTGAGTAGCTGGGACTACAGGCATGGGCCACCACACCCAGCTAATTTTTGTATTTTTAGTAGAGACAGGGTTTCTCCATGTTGGCCAGGATGGTCTTGATCTCCTAAGCTTGTGATCTGCCTGCCTCGGCCTCCCAAAGTGTTGGGATTACAGGCGTGAGCCACTGCACCCGGCCTCTGCCAGGACTTTTTAAACTACAAATTCTCCGGTCTCTCCTTTGTGTGCATGGTTGTTTTTTTTTTTTTCTTTTGGAGACCGAGTCTTATTCCGTCACCCAGGCTGGAGTGCAGTGGTGCAATCTCGGCTCACTGCAACTTCCGCCTCCCAGGCTCAAGCAATTCTCCGGCCTCAGCCTCTGGAGTAGCTGGGATTACAGGCATGTGCCACCATGCCCGGCTAATTTTTGTATTTTGTAAAGACTGGGTTTCACCAGGTTGCCCAGGCTGGTATCGAACTCCTGACCTCAGGTGATCCGCCTGCCTTGGCCTCCCAAAGTGCTGGGATTACAGGTGTGAGCCACTGCGCCCGGCCCTTTCGTCCTATTTCCCCAGAAAAGCACATTCCACTTGCTGATCCCTGAGAAGGAGTGGGCAGCCCTACTTTCTGGGTCTATTTGGTAACAGGACTCCATCATCCTGACCAGTGTCCCTCCCGCTTTCCACTCCTTGCACCTCAGACTCCCTGGCAAGGTTCTGGGGCCCCCTCTTCTTCCAACCTTCACAGGGAAGGGTGAAAGTCCCCTCAGATGCTAAGCCCAGGCCAGATGGAAGCCTGACTCCCAGCCTTCCTCCTTGCCCAGGAATCTGTTGGGATGACGTACTTCATGTGGCCTAACACCTAAAGCAGATGCTTAGCTGGGGAAGAGCCTACAACAGGGACTGCAGGCAGGCTCCTGAGGCTCAGGACCCAGGATAGGGTCCCCAAGACGGGAGGTTGTTATAAGGCTCCTTCTCCCACAAGCTTCCAGGAATCTCCAGCCTACCTGGAAGAACTGGAGCATACTACATCCAGGGCCAGGATCTGGGCCACGCAGAGGGTGTGGCAAGTACCCTGGGGAAATAGTGTTTGCTAGGGTCCTCGTCTGTAGTTTTAAGTAAGGAGTAGGTAGGCTCTAGGATAGCACAGAATTTAAGAACAAAGGCTCTGGAGCCAGTGTTACCCATGTTCAGATCCTGGCTTTGCCTCTGCTGGCCACATAACCTTGAAGGGATTTACTTAACCTCTCTGTACCATAGTTTCCACATTGGCAAGCTGAATAAAATGATAGTATCTACCTCAAGGGACTGTTGCAGGGAATAAATGAGTGAAAGGTTTCAGAACACAGTGGGCTGAACTTTCAGTTTCTCTCTTGTGGCTGCAATTCCTGGCTCTATGTCTGCCTTGCTCCACCTGAAATCTACTCCACTCCTGAAGACCCAGGAGTTGAGATTGTTCTCTTCTAGATGTACCTATGGCCTAGACAGGTCAGGTGACTCCTCTGGGGCTTGCAAGTAATCAGCCAATCAGTGGGAGAGCACTGATTAGCAGGACATGGGGCAGGGCCTTCACAAACACCTGGGCAGGGGAGTGGCCTTGGCCAAGACACAGATTCCTGTTTTCCAGGGGATGGTGGAGGAGGCTGACTTCTGACAACTCAAGTCAGCAAACAATAGGCCTAGGATTGAGGTTTACTCCAAGTGCAATGGAGGTAAAGGGTGGATGAGGGAGTGCTCGTTGTCCCCTTAAGGTTGGGGCTGGGGGTGGCATGAGGGAGGGAAGACTTCGCACAGTGAGGGACTCCTCATTGGCCCTTGACAGTTAAAGGATGGAGGGCTTTCCAGCAATGAGGCATTTACAGAAGACAGCCAGGCATGAGTCTCCCAGTGCCCCCACCCAATCATCCCTCCATGCTACTATCACCCGAGTGGCCGAATGCCCTTCAAGGGCTCCCTTTGTCCTCACCAGAAAGCCTAACCCCAGAGCCTGGCATCCCAGGTCCCTGCTCACAGCAACTGTTGCACTTCCCATGCACTGAACCGGAGAGCTTGTAGTTCCCAGAATGAGCGATGCTGTGTCACCCCTAGGCCTTTCTGTGAGCAGGTTCTTCTGCCGGGATGCCCTGTGCTCAGCTGTCTCAGCTGTGCCTTGTGTGCAGGGCACAGCTCACAAACGACCCTCCTCTGACTGCCCTCCCAGTGCTGCCCTCACCAGCCCTTCTGCAGAGTTGGCCAATCCCAGTCGCTGCCTCTAGAGCACAAATCCCACTGTTTACTCCCACTGTGTTTTTGCTGACCTCTTTACTTGTCTTTCTTTCCAGACTCAACTTCTTGAGCCAGGAAAAGTGGCTTGCTTGAAGTGCATCCCTGCCCCCTGGAACACAGCAGGTGCTCAATAAACATCTGATAAGGAATACATGAAGGGTGAATGAACAACAGCATGGAAGAGTTCTCTGAGAAAAGCGGTGGGAATGTACTAGGGGAGGAGGGGAAGGGTCGTGAGTGCTGATGAGGCTGGCAAGGGGTCAGGACACAAGCAGGACGCAGGGTCTGAACCAGGCTGAGGAGTGGGAGGCTTCCTCTTGTGCCTCTCTGGAAGTCACTGGTGGGTTTGAGCCTGGGGTGACATGAGGGACCTGTGGTTTGGAGCTGAATCAGACTCTGCCTGAGGTTGTGAGAGTGCCTTGGATCTCAGTGCCCCAGTCAGATGGTCTCTGTCCTCATGGAGCACCTTCTGCCCAGGCAGTTAGTCATCCAAGCCCTCTGTGACCTGCCTCTGGCTCAAGAGCAGCGACTCTAGCCTATTCACATGGTGACCCTGGGGTCTGTCGCACAGCTGGGGCTCAATGCTTAGTAGCTGGAGGAACGAATGAATGCTCTAGGGCCTCCATCAACCCACTGGCCTCCAATGTGCAGACACTCTTTCTTCTCGGCCTTGCCTGCAGCTGGGCTCCTGCAGGCTGATAGTGCTACAGCTGCTATTTTGGCATCTAGAAGGTTTAGGGGATCATCTAGTTCATGGCCCAGTGAGGTTCCAGCAGGGAAGTAACCTTCATGAGTCACACAGTGGCAGAGCCAGGGCCAGAAGCCTAGACCTCCTGACTCTGAGTCCAGTGATCTTCATGCTTGTCCTGGCTCCCCTCCGTAGCCCTTGTCCAGATACTCAATTCCTCCCTGTGCCCATCCCAGCCATGCTGTCTGACTGGGATCCACCTGTGTCTCCAGAGGGAAGGCTGCTCTGGTTCAGCTGCACTGGGGGAATGCGCTGAGAGACGGCAGAGCACCCCTGGGCAGACATCCTGTGCTCAGCACTGAGGGTGGGGAGGGAGCCCCTGGATCCCAGGGGATAGCGGGGCTGTCACACCAGCCCTGACTGGCTTCCAGACTCAGATAACACTGGGAAGAATGAAACAGGCTGTTTTGCCACGGCCTCAGCCGCTGTTCCTGGGGGTTTATGTTGCTCACGGCTGAGCCTAATCTCAACTGATGCACAGGCTCACACGGCTTCCCCATTCGCGCACACCGTCCTCTTTCACAGACAAGCTGGGTCTCAGTCTCCTTCCCGCAAGGTCTCCCAGTGGCTCCTGTTCCACATTCCCATTCCCTCCACAGGGGTGCATCTGGGCCTGTCTCCTCCCTCAGTCTCCCTGTTGCCGGCAGAGGCGGCTCCCCACCGTCTCATCACACCCCTCTCCGCAGTCCCCACGCCCACCCCCCCTGTGAATTCCCCATCTCATGCCCAGCGTCAGGGCACACCCCGCATCACCCTCCTCACTTGCTCGATTCTCCTCACACGCCTCCTCCCGATGCCACTTCTCATAACGTGTGTACACACACACACACACGTGTACATGCGTGCATGTGCAGGCACACACTCTTACCGCATGTCATCACCTTGCTCCAGCCTGCCCGGTCTCCTCTGGCACCCTGCCTTCCCATCACGGTCCCTAGCTGGCCCCACTCTCCAGGCGCTCTTCCTCAGCCCCTCCCCAGAAAGCCCTGGGGTTTGGGGGGAGGCCCGCCTGCAGGAGAATGGAAAGCAAAGGGGGCCAGGGCAGCAGACTGCCCCTTCCCTCCACACCCTGCTTCCAGCCACCACTGTCCAGTGCTGGTCATGGCCCAGGCTGCAGGTCATCGCTCTAGGGCCACACAAGCCACTTGGCCCCCTCCCATTCTTCCAACCCTCTTGCTCCTGGACAGCTGGCGCTCTCTCCTGGGAGTGTCCTCTGCCATCTTGGTCTCCTTCCTGTCACACCAGAGAGCATGATTCTGGGGCCCAGGCTGAGCCAATCTAAATATTTATTCCTCTGCTCCTGGCTGGGGCTGCTTTATGGCTAGAGAAGTGGCTGGCTTCGCTGGGCTGGGGAGGGGAGAGGGGGTTTAGCCTGCAGAGCCAGCCAGGAAGCAGTGCCTTCCTAGCCCCACGGCAAAGCTGGAAGCACCCTGGCTGCTCTGCCCAGGCTTCTCGAGCAGGAACGGGGTGGATGGATTCCACCCAGAGCCAGGCCACGCACATCCCGAGGCCAGTGCCCAGGGACCTAGGCCGCCCCATGATGAGATGCCAGCATCCCCTCAGGGCTAGGCCTGGACAGAGGCTGCTTGTCTTGGGGCATTAGCACAACCACTCACCCAGAGCAGTGCTCCTGCCCCCAGCCCCTCCCCAGAGCAGTGCTCCTGCCCCCAGCCCCTCCCCAGAGCAGTGCTCTGTCAGCCGAATCCCAAAGGTCACCACTGTCCTGACTGCTGCAGGAACAATGTGAGGCTTTATGTGGATCAACTGCGCCCCACTGTGCTGCTGACTCAGTGCTCCTGAGACGGGTCTCCATGCTTCCCTCTCACCCGCACTCCCAGCCCTGATGCCTCTCCCTGCCCTTTATCTGAATCCCTAGTGGCAGCCACTTCAACACTTGCCAACTTCAAGGATGTTAGCTCCTCATGATGCTTTGGTCCCTACAGCAGAAAAGCAGCAGCTGCAGCAACATGCTTAACGGTGGGGTAGACGGACATCCAAGCGGGCACTGGCACCTCACTCCTCACATGCCCACGCGGGCCTCTGTTCTGCGAAGGGCCTCTTAGTCACTGCGCACACTGAACCCCAAGCATCACACTGTTGTCTCTGGTGTACCGGCAAGGAGCCTGGGGCTCAGAGAGGTTAAGTGACTTGCCAAGTCACACAGTGGGTAAGTGGCAGGAAAAAACGTACATAGTGATTGCTCACTAGTGTCTGTGAGATATTTTCTTTTCTTTTTTTTTGAGATGGAGTCTCACTCTGTTGCCCAGGCTGGAGTGCAACGGCGTGATCTCGGCTCACTGCAACCTCTGCCTCCCCGGTTCAAGTGATTCTCCCGCCTCAGCCTCCAGAGTAGCTGAAATTATAGGCACACACCACCATGCCTGGCTAATTTTTGTATTTTCAGTAGGGACAGGGTTTCACCATGTTGATCAGGCTGGTCTCGAACTCCTGGCCTCAAGTAATCCGCCTGCCTCGGCCTCCCAAAATGCTGGGATTATAGGCATGAGCCACCACACCTGGCCTTGGTGAGATATTTTCCAAACTCATCCCCCTCACCCAGCTCCCCAAGAGGCCATGCAGGGGAGAGAGGAGTTGCAGGCATGGCCAAGTAGCCAACACTCCATCCACTGGAGGTAAGAGCGTGGGGGAAGTGGTCCAGCCCAAGTCTGTACAAACGAGGGTCTCTGTGGATTTGTTCCTCTGCACCAAGGTTTTTTCCAGCCTCCTTCTCCCCTCCACCTCCCTCCCCAGGGTTCTTTAGCCTACTGGAAGGAGCCCACTCATGGTACCATGGCAGACAGGCAGTCAGGATATACTGGAAGGAACCCTGGGTCCTAATCTGGGATCATCAGCTGCTTCATCTTGTCAGCCTCACTTGAGAGCTCCAGGCGATCAGATAAGAGCATGTGTGACATGAGGGACTGCTCAATGGGTGATCTCCAGACCCTATGCAATCCTCACTTCAAGGCTGGGCCCTCCGCCAGCGGAACAGGAGTCTGTCCTAAGTTTATCTCCACCACCTCTCTGTGCCTTGGGAAGCCTGGGAGGGAACTAACTCACTCTCCCCACCAGCTTCCCAGCAGGATCCTCCATTATCCCAGGTGGCAGTCTTCATGGCCTACCGGGATCTTTTGCTAGGACTCCACCTGGACATAGCATTCAGGGGTGGGAGATGCTGGCCAAGCTCCCGGGAGGGGGTCTGAACCCTCAGGCAGGGCTGGCCATCCTGATCTGAGGAGGAATTCCTCACACGCAGAGGAGGGACAGATATTAGACCCAGGAGCCCCATGTCAGTGAGCCTGGTCATTCCATCTGGCGACTTCTTGTAAATACCTGTGAGGAAATGCTCTGAGCTCCAGAAAAGTCTGGGCCTCTCCCGAAAGCACCTCCACTGCCTTTTCCTCCCCAAGGAGACTTTCCATCCATCAGATGCTTCCACGCCAAATCTTAAGGGTGCTAACACAGACAGGGTAGGGGCAGACTGGGCCCTGAAAGCTTCTCGGTCCCACATCTATGTGCTGTGATATCTCCTTGGGATACACGTTCTTAGGTGGCAACGTGGACATTGCACATTCCACATCTTTACTGACTGCACCTCAAGGCTTCCCATGTTGCTCCCCCACCCACAGACCAGGCCCCCCGGCACAGGGGCCCTAGCATTCTTTGGACTATCCCTTCCTCTGGCTCCCACTCACTCATCAGTGCCCAGGACAGGGCTCAAGCTTCCATCCTCCATGGGTCCTTGTCCCTTCGAAGCGGCCCTGAGCTGACCCACACAGCTGTACAGTTCCCCTTATCTTGCTTATTCCCTCCAGGGCTCCAGCTGTGGGCCTTCAGGATCCCCTCCTTCCACACTTTTGGAGTCTGTGTCTCCCTATCCTCCCTGATGCTGGGAGGGGAAAGGGACCCCCACCGCCCACCACCGTGATGCCATCACACATGACCTTCTTCATATCTGTCAGTATCACCCTCCCCATCCGGTCAGCCCCAAGGCAGGCAGCCTGGAGCGTGACTCATCCTCTTCCCAGCTTTTGGCCACTCGGACTAGGGGACAGAGGTGAAAGAGAAACTGGCAAGAATACCAGCTTCCAGGAGGTAGACCAGAAGGGCTGTCAAATAGCCAGTTTAGGGAGAGGGGATGGTGACACACCTATGATTAGATATGCCAGTGATTATGTACATCCAGGGCTAATTACACCCATAGGATGTGGAGTATAAAGGAGAGTGTTGCCCACCAAGGGCGCGCTGTGAATTAGTTTGTGTACTGAGGGCACACAGCATTAGGCCCGAAGTATATGTGCTGCTCAAAACACATTAGGATTAGTGTGGGTAAGATGACAGGTTTCAAATATGTGACTGAGTTTGGGCCCTACCCTCATTTAACCTGAGCTGGCTCCTTCTCCAGGTCCCCTCCCCTCCCCTAGAGCAACTGCGCCAGTGGTTCCCAAACTTTGCTGCACACTGGAATCACCTGGGTTCTTTTGTCACCCAGACTGGAGTGCAGTGGCGCGATCCAGGCTCACTGCAACCTCCGCTTCCTGGATTCAAGCGATTCTCCTGCCTCAGCCTCCTGAGTGGCTGGGACTACAGGTGCATGCCACCATGCCCAGCTAATTTTTTTTTATTTTTTATTTTTTAGTAGAGACGGGGTTTCGCCATATTGGCCAGGCTGGTCTCGAACTGCTGACCTTGTGATCCGCCTGCCTCAGCCTCCCAAAGTGCTGGGATTACATCACCTGGGTTCTTTAAAAGAAAAAACAAAACCAAAACGACTGCTGCCTGACTCCCACCCTGAGATATTCTGATTTCACTGGTAGGGTGTGCAGCCCAGGCAGTGGGAATTTTCAAAGCTCCCCAGGTGATTGTGAGGTGCGGCAAAGCTGGGAGCCACTGAGCTGCGGCATTCTTTCAGAGCTGTGGCTCGGTCAGCCTGATGGCCTTCACTCAGCCTCTGGGCAGGGCTTGCAGTAATGCAGGATGGCCATCTGATAGCTCCAAGCTACTGAGTCTGCAAGCCTCACCTGGGCTCCAGGCTATGTGTCCTCCAGTGGGTTGACGACTGTGACTGCTTTGCTGCGTCAAGGTCCAGAGCAGTAGTGTGGGAGAGAGTTAGACTGTCAGAACTCTGACGCGGGTAGAGGCAAACAGGTGGGAAGGGCTGGAGAGAGGGGGCTGGATAGGGTTGGGAATCAGACAGAAGCCTTGGTCCCATCCCACACAGGGAGGCTCACTGCTGCCCTGGGTGGACTGTCAGGACAAGGATGGCTGCTCCTGCTCTGAGGGGCTGGCCAGCAATTTTGGCACTTCAAGGAGAAGGTTAAGATGAAGAGCTCAAGGATCCTCCAGGCTCAGTACTGACTTTTCTGCATGACCTTGGGTCCGTTGTTCAATGTCTTTGAGTCCAAGTTTAGCAGAGAGGATCCTTGCTGAAATGCTGTGTGAGCCACAATTGCAAAGCTAACAGCTCCTATGTCTTGAGCCCTTAACACAGTATCTAATACAGAGTAAGGATGTCATAGGCACTACTAACTGTGGGATATGTGCTATTATTATCCCCATTTTATAGATGAAGAAATGAAGGTCTGGAGAGATCAAGTAGCTTGCCCAGGGTGAACCTGCTAATAAGTGGTAAACCAAGTCTGTCTCATTCAGTCTGGACTGTTCTCCCCAACGTGATCAAATGGCAAACAAGGCTCTTCCCAAGTAGATGAGGACTTTTCCCAAATCACTGCAAATGAGTTTGGTACAAGAAACACAAAAAGCGTGACTTCCCAGGCTGGAGTGCAGTAGTACAATTGCAGCTCAGTGCAGCCTCAGCTCCTGGGCTCAAGTGGTTTTCCTGCCTCAGCCTCCTTGAATAGCTGGGACTACAAGGCACACACCAGCGTGCTCCGCTAATTTTTAAATTTTTTGTAGAGACAGGGGTCTCGTTTGGCCTGAAGATTTCATATTCCTGGTTTCAAGCGATAAGCCTGCCTCAGCCTCCCCAAATCCTGGGATTACAGATGTGAGCCACCACACCGAGCCGAAGTCTTTTTCTTATAGGAAAAATCATTCCTTCTAGACCAAACTTTCTTATGGAAATCTGACAAACACTATGAGGCATGGGGCCTTGAGAACTGAGAGGTGACCCACCCTAGAAGGATCTGGACATAGAAGCTGCTGTGGCCAGTGCAGGCAGTGAGTGAGTGGCCTGGGTGAGGGTAAGGCTATTCTCCCCCACACTGCACTCTCCAACTCCACCCCGTCCTAGGCCAATGGAGAAACCTGGAGTTAAAGGGACTTGGGAAAGCTGGTTTCCTTTCGGTGTCTTCCACTCCCAATTCCCTCCCTTGCTGATGAAATTGGAGATGCCAGAGGTGGGTATGAAATGGTAGCTTCTGGGTCAGAGGCTAACCTGAAAATCAGACTTTAGAAACCTGGGTGGAGGTCTGAACCACTGTAGAGATTCAAATGAGGTGCTCACAATCTCCAGATGCATTTTCTAACTGGGCAGTCAGATGACCAGCATACCCTCACTCCAATCCCCAGCACCCCACCCCCGCCATCAGCCACTACTGCCAGCACATCACAGCTACCTGGGTACTTCTTAGCCTCTCCCTTCAGATCACAGCAATAAAAACCTTCCAGATGTAGCTAAAGGCTATAAAAGCTCAGCCCTACCCATTGCCTTTCACTGTCCTGGCCACAGCCAGGGAAGTCTCTCTGCAGGATTCTAGTGCAGCCACAAGATGACATCCAGTGGGCAGGGGGTTGGGAGCCTCACAGCCTGGCCTAAGGCTAACTTTCAAGGACAAAGGGCTTGGACAGAAGATTAGATCCCCGATTCCTGATGGATCCAGCCACTAACATAGATTTTTCAGGAACAGAACACACTTGATAAAATTCTCCTAGGGTTTAGGTGGGGAGGCAGGGTGCCTAGCTTAGGCCTGCGGAGTAAGGATGGGCTACAAAGTCTTCCCATTTGTGAACGCTCACTACCCCACCCCCCATCTGCCTGCTTATGTCCAATGTCAGTGCCAACTCCGTGGCCCTGGGGCAATCAGCGGTCAAGCCTCACCCCCCAACCCCACCCACCTCTAGCGGTCAAGCCTAACCCCTCACCCCTGCTAACTATGGCAATCTGGCTGGGTCCCTAACTGACTTCCCAAACTCCGCCACCTCTCCTCTAAAGCGCCCTGTCTCTACGAGGGAGGAAAGACAGGCAGCTTCAGCAAGGGTCCCCGGGGCCCCGGGCTCCCCCAGCTATCTAATCGGCTTCACCCCTGCACTCCCCCAGGGACAGAGCCTCACAGGGCCTCTCTTTAGCTGGGGGAAGGAGACAGAACGCTCCTTTTGAATACCTAAGACTTACCCACCCTCTTTTCCTCCAGCTTTCCTGCTGCTGGGTCACTGTTAGTCACTCACCATCCAGGCCCATTTCCTGATAATCCCCCAGCCCCCTGGGTGCAAGGCCCTTCTTATTCCCTCCAACACAGACACACACACACCAAGAGCGGGCTGGTCTCTAACTCCCAAACCGTAATCTGGGACACACACCCACACACCCACACCCACCCACCCACCCACCCACCGGGCTGGTCTCTAACTCCCTAACCCTAATCTGGGCCAAAATAGGGGGGTTGGCTCGCTTCTCTGCCAGGCAGAGTGAAGGGCAGCACTTCTCCCAGAGGGAGGGGGCCTCAGCTGGGGTCTCTCTCCAGGATCCTCCTGCTGCAAGCGCCCCAGCCTTCCAGACCAAAGAGGAGACAGGGCTTCTCCCGGCTTGAGAGGGACCAGGGGCAACCAGCTCTCCCCAGAAAAGTGAAACAGAGGGAGAGGTGACAGAGGGACTCCAAAATGTCAGGGCTGGGAGGCCTCGCAGACCCCTCAGTGCCCTGTACAGGGGTGAGAAGCCAGGCCCATAGGAGGAAAGAGGCTTGCTTGCTCTAGATCACACAGGGAGAACCCACAGTGAGAGCCCACAGCGAGAACACTTCGCCTAGGACTTTCCCACTAGAGCACAGGGGAATGACTCCAAGAAGGGAGTCCAGTCGTTAGTAGGAGTTCTGGAGGAGGGTTAGCACCTGGGGGGCTCTGGGAGCGCTGGAGGAGGGAGTGAGAAAGGGAAGCAGAGGGGTTCTTTGGAGAGAATGAAGGGGTGGGCCCTGGGGAGTGGGCAAAGAGGTGTAGAGAAGAGCCCGGCGTGACCTTGGGCCAGCTGCGTCTCCCTCCTGGGCCCGTCTTTCCGTCTGCAGGCAAGAGAGCGCCTGGGATCCCGGGGGGCTCAGGCTTGAAGGTGCCACCCCGGCGAGTGAGGGCGCCTCACCTTCTTGAAGTCGGCGGTGAAGGAGACGAGGGTGCCGTCGGGCTTGCGCAGCTCGAGGCTGATGCTGTCCGCGTCGCTGTCCGCCTGCAGGCTCTCCTCGGTCACCTGGCCGTCCGGCAGCCGCACGCGGACCCGCAGCTCGGCCGGCGCACCCGTTCCCAGCAGCGGCGCGAGCAGCGGCAGCAGCAGCAGCAGCGCAGGGCGCGCCAGGGGTACCCCGGGAAGGCGCATCCCCGGGGGCCGCTGCCGTCCGCGGCCCCGGCGCGCCGCGTGGGGGCGGGGAGAGGCGCAGGCAAACTTCGCCCAAAGTTGGGGGCTAGTTCGGGGCGCCCGGGAGCCGCTCCGCCGGGGGCCTTGGCCGCGGGGTCGCCCGCGAGGTGGCGCGGACGCACGTGGGTAGCGCTCAGCAGGGCGCCCCCGGCGGCCCCGAGGCGGAGACGGCGCTGCCCCGGCCCGGCTCCGCGGCCCCGGGCTCCAGCGCTGCGAGCCTGTGTTTTGCACTTTTCATTCAATCCCACCCCCCGTCACTTCCTTCAGAAAACAGAAACCACCAGGACCCGCCTTAAAGAGACCGCGCACCTCGCGGCCCTTAAAGGGCCCGCGGCTGCTCTCCGCACTTCGGCGTTGGCCGGGCAGGGGGCGGGGAGAGGGGGCAGCGGCTCCGCGGCTTTGTGCGAGCGGCCTCCTCGACCTCCCTCCCGCCCGGCCGCGCGGAGTCAGCGACCCAGGCGGAGTCAGAAGTTTGCTCTCCCGGGGCAAATCCCTTCCTTCCAGCAGGGGCAGGACGGGTGACTCTTCCCCCGCCCTGCACCGCCACCCCCCCCCCCCGCTTTTTTTTTTTTGGCTTGCTTTTGTGCCACGTGGATGAAATAATCGGGCTTGGATTTTTAGGGGTTTTGTTTGGTCTTTCAGTTTCTCTGACAGCGAATTTCTAAAAAGCTTCTGCAAAATCAGACCTCGCTTTGCACTCTGCCTTTTCCCTGCCCCACACTGGGAGGGTGGATCGGGGGTTCTCGCCCAGCTTTGCCACGGCCAGGTGTTAGACCTTGATGGGTCAGGTCACCCACTGGGACGCGGCCCTCAGGTTTTGTGAGCCCCTGTGCCTCTTTCCTTTTCAGTCCTGCCTCCCGTGCTTCCCGCATTCACGGCCTTTCCTCAGTCCTGCCCACCACCGCAGACCCGGTTCTTTCTCTCTATTATAGACTATGAAAATCCAGGGAAATGTTGGATTCCAGGTCACTTGGGAGAATTTCCAGGGACTCGGGACGCTGGCGCTCCACGACAGTGGCTTTCCCACAAGCCACAAGGAAACATGCGTGCCCTGCGGTGCACCCCAACAATAAGAAGGGTGAAGACCAGGAGATCTGGATTGCTGCCTCCTCTGATTAGTTGTGGAATTTAGGCACGTTTTAAAAATTCTTTGGGCTTAAGTGTCCCCGTGTGTATCGTGGAAGCTGCTCAGACCTACACTGTCCTGCCAGTCCCAGGCAAGGGAAAAAGCCCCACGAAGATGCTCAAAACCAATTGTTCCCTGACTTCCATTTTCACTTCTGTTGGGACCTTGATTACTGATGGGTGAAAACTCCCTTCTCTGCAGCCTCCTTCCCTTCTAGGGCTTCCCCAGCACAGGGCCATGTGAACTGCAGGGTCCGGCTAGAATCGGCCTCTTGCTATCATCCAGGGGCCCTTCCCGCTACCCGCTCTCTGCTGCCTAGATTTAGGACTGAAGGGAATTTAAGAGACTACCAAGTCAGCCTTTTCCAAATTTGCCTTTCCTGAAGAATCACCTGGATGCTTGTTAGAAAATAGATTCCCGAATCCCTAAACCCATGGAATCAGATTCTAGGGAAAAGAACTGAGGATTAGCATTTTTGACAAGGCCCACATGATGCTCGACATAAGTGGTTGACAGCAGGTATTTGGCAGATGTTTAAGCATAGAGCGTCTGGGCCAGACGCGGTGGCTCATGCCTGTAATCCTAGCACTTTGGGAGGCCGAGGCGGGCGGATTGCCTGAGCTCAGGAGTTCGAGACCAACCTGGGCAACAAGGTGAAATCCCGTCTCTACTAAAATACAAAAGAAATTAGCTGGGTGTGGCGGCGTGCGCCTGTAATCCCAGCTACTCGGGAGGCTGGGGTAGGAGAATTGCTTGAACCCAGGAGGCAGAAGTTGCAGCGAGCCAAAATTGCGCCACTGCACTCCAGCCTGGGTGACAGAGGAAGACTCCGTCTCTACAAAACAAAACAAAACAAAACAAAACAAAAACATAGAGCATCTGAAACAAGCAGCATCCTTCCTGGAGAACCTGGCTCCTAAGGAGTTCATCTTCACATCCGGGAGATAAGGCAGGCTGTTAGGGAATAATTGGATTAGCACAAGGATTGCTCCCCTAAGGACTCCCACTCTTAGCTGGCAACCGTTTAGACTAGAGATGCCCAGGGTCTTGAAATTGGCCTCCCGCCTGACAGGATGCTGGATCTCCATGCGGCCTTGAAGCTAGGTCTCCCACATGAGTCAGCCCACACAGTCATTAAGGGCCTCGCCCACATTTCCTAACTTCCCTTGTTTCAGGTCCTGTCCCCATCCGCCACCAGCTCTGCCCTCAGCCATTTCCCAGGCTCTTACCCCTTCTCCTCCCACAACAGCCCAGAAGTGGGCAAAGAAGCCCTGGATGTCAGATTTCTTGTTTAGGTCCCTGAGGTTTGTCTCTGTTCACATTTTGGGTTTGGAAACAAGGATGGAAGACCTCATCTCTTTCCCACCTCTTCCCCATAGTCAACTTCCTTCTCTACTTCAACCACAGATCAAACCAGATTTTTCTTTGAAAGTGATAGGGCATTTGAAATCTCACTCCATTACATAAGCCCTGCCTACCTACATCTCTATGCCTTGCTATTGATTTCACCTGACCACCTCTTCAAGCTCCAGGACAAAACTCAGGTTTCCCAGGAAGACTTTCTCGACTCCCCACCGACCTAGCCCTCTGTTCTGTGCCACTGTCTCCGGCCTCTGGACTCCAACAATAGTCATTATTATAGCAGCTCCTCCCCCATTGTATTTTGATTATGTCCAGGTTCTGTGCCAAGCATTTTACATGGATCATCTTATTTAATTTTCATGGCATCCCTCCAAAGTAGGTTCTATTCTTAGGCTCTTTTTACTGACTAGGAAACCAAAGCTTAGAGAGGTTAGGCAACATACCCAAGGTCACAAAAGCAGTAGAGCCAGCCGGGACTCAAACACAAGTCTGCCCGCCTGACCACAAAGCCCTTGCTTTGAACCACAGTAGCCTCTGCCTGTCGGTAGCCCTCACTTTCTGCCAGTCCCACTCGGGGCTCACATCCTGCGCTATCTTCTCCTGTTATCTAACGGTTTCGCGTGTGGCAATCCTGTATCCCCAGTGAAGCCGTCAGCTAGTTCAAACAGGCCAGCCCCGTGCTGGGAACAGACAGCGTTTCCCTCAAACCATCCGGGCATAGAAGCATCCATTCATCTTAAATGTAAAGGCCGTCAGAGGAAGAGCTCTAACAAGCCTAATTACTCCGACTACAACCAAACAGCCCTCATTGTCAGAGAGTTCTTCATGTCTCATCGCAAGACCTCTGCCACACCATAAACCAATTTCCTTTTTTTTCTCATCTCTAGCCCTTGGAAAGCAGTAGCCAGTAGTGGTTCAGAAAATGGGCATCAGGATCTCAGTCCTGGAGCTCGGCCCCAGTCATGAGCTGTGCGTCAGTGAGCCTGTTTCTTCAACTGTAAAATGGGCGCATACGTTTCTCCCTCACTGGGTTGCTTTGAAAATTAAATGAAACATTGTGCATAAAATATTTCGCAACATGTTTGGCATATAGTACAGATCCAATAAATGGTGGCTGTTATCCTTTAATTCTGTTTATTCTTTCCCATTGTATCACATACTAAATCTCTGATTATACAAGTCTCTCCCTCTCACCCCCTGCCACATGTATACGCGTGCATGTACACATATTCTTTCAGAAACATTTTTTTGGCTGGGCGCGGTGGCTCACACCTGTAATCCCAACACTTTGGGATGCCGAGGCGGGTGGATCACCTGAGGTCAGTAGTTCGAGACCAGCCTGGCCAACATGGCAAAACCCGTCTCTACTAAAATACAAAAATTAGCCGGGTGTGGTGGTGGGCGCCTGTAATCCCAGCTACTCCGGCGACTGAGGCACGAGAATCGCTTGAACCCAGGAGGCAGAGGCTGCAGTGAGCTGAGATCGTGCCACTGCATTCCAGCCTGGGTAACAGAGCGAGTTGGTCTCAAAGAAAAAAATAAATACATAAAAAAGAAATATTTCTTCCTCTCTATCCTCTTTAGGTGTCTAAGTTTTCTGTGTCTTGAGACCTCCGAAACTGAGAAATGGATAGCAGCAAAACCTCGGGAGGCACTTTCCCTTTGCTTTTTGGTCTGAGTGTGCCTTAATTTGGGAGGAAGAGAAACACCAAACCATCTCCCAATCTGTGCCCAAGAAAACAGGTGCTGACAAGACCCTGCAGGAGGTGGAAAGGGAAACTGAACCAATGACCTTTACCGAGAGACAGGGAGAGAACCACCAGGTGCTTGTCTTTGCAAGACTGGAAAGATTTTTTTCTTCCCATGACTTTCTGTGAGTGGCTGTTTGGTTTGGGTTAGGTTACAGCCCCTTTGTCTCTGGGCCTTTGCAGATAGAGTGGAGGATTTGCGATTTGAGTTTGAGGGAGAACCAGGGATGGAGTGAGGGATCCCCTCTGCTTCTCAATGTCAATTGCAAAGCTCCAGACACTTCATTGCCAGCACAGAAGTACAAATTAGCTTTCCGCCATCACACAATTATGCAGTTCCATCCATCAAGGGTGTGGTGGGAAAGTGGATTGGAGAGACAGCTGGTGGGGATACTGAGTGGAAAGGGAAGAGAAGTGGAGATGGCTGGGATAGGCATGGAGAAGCTATTCTTTTCGGGCAGAAAAACCAGGCAGAAGGGAAGTTGTCATGGAGGTGGGCTGGATCCATGACTTTCAGGAAGGAAAAGGAAGCCTGGATGATCAGAGCTGCAAGCCAAGGCAGATCTCAGTCCATTGATTAGTCCATTGATTATGGTAGCTCTTCAGGTGCCTTTTACCCTCTGCCTCTTGCTATAATTATTTCACAGTATTTGTGTTTGAAACCAGAGGCTACAAAAGAACCTAGGCCAGCTGTAAGTGGTGCTGCTCAGATTAGAAGCCTGGCATTCTGAAGCCAGGGCTTGTCTCCTCCTTTGACACGGCACAGAGCTCCATGTTGCCCATTGACTCTTGAAAGTCCCAAACATAGCTGGGCACGATGGCTCACGCCTGTAATCCCAGAACTTTGGGAGGCCGAGGCAGGCAGATCAGGAGGTCAGGAGTACGAGACCAGCCTGGCCAATATGGTGAAACTCCGTTTCTAATAAAAATACAAAAATTAACTGGGCATGGTGGCGTGTGCCTGTAGTCCCAGCTACTCAAGAGGCTGAGGCAGGAGGACTGCTTAAACCTAGGTGACGGAGGTTGTAGTGAGCCAAGATCATGCCACTGCACTCTAGCCTGGGCAATAGAGCAAGACTCTGTCTCAAAACAAACAAACAGAAAAAAGTCCCAAACATAACCTCTTTTCCTCCATGCTAGTTCCTCCATGAGGCCTTCCCTGCTCCCCACCCCCAGACTCATGCATTCACTCGTTCATTCAGTCATCTAGCACGTGAAGAGTGAGTCACTGCACTAGATGCTGTGGGCACAGCAGTGGAACAAGGCAGA
The DNA here is from genome assembly GCF_000001405.40 of Homo sapiens. NCBI lineage: Eukaryota > Metazoa > Chordata > Mammalia > Primates > Hominidae > Homo > Homo sapiens. Next base: position 120,205,735 of record NC_000011.10, on the reverse strand, counting down.
TGCAACAATTATTTACCCTGAGATGGAACATGCAAGAGAAGCAGGCTATAAAATCATGGCAAAACAAAATATTTTAATTATAATTGTTATAATGGAGAATTAGAGGAGAGTCTAGCCTAGACCAGGAGGCCTTCTTGGAAGGCTTTTCCAGGTGTAGCCTAATCTTAAAAGATGAATCAGCATTGACCAGCAAAGACAATGTTCCAGGCAAAGGAAACAGCTTGTGTACAGGACCTGAGTCTGGTGGGCTTCCCAGAAACATCACCAGGTAGCTAGGGCATGACGGGGGTGAAGAGTTGCTTGAAATCATGCAGTACAGTTTGGCAGGGCCCAAGAAACGCAGGGCCTTGGAGGCAATATTAGCACTGGGCTTGGTTTTGTTTTGTTTTCCTAAGATCAATGGGCAGTCATCGAAAGGTGTTATATAAGGGGTGACATGATCAGACTTGTATTTTAAAAATATTGTGCTCAGGAAATGGATTGTGGCCATGACAAGTAGTGCTGATGAGTGGGGTGGTGGTGGTGGCAGTAGGGGTGTGGAGAGGGGTTGGAATTCAGCAACACGGGGGAGTAGGATTTGATGTTTCTTTGGACTGGGGCAAGTGAGCAGGAGCGGTCAAGGGCAACTCCTGGTTCTGGCTTGCGTAGGCTGTGGCACCATGAATTAAGGTTGGGTAGCTGGGGAGAAGCCCTGGGATTGCCTTTATGGTAGCTCTTCAGGTGCCTTTCACCCTCTGCCTCTTGCTATAATTATTTCACAGCATTTGTGTTTGAAACCAGAGGCTACAAAAGAACCTAGGCCAGCTGTAAGTGGTGCCGCTCAGATTAGAAGCCTGGTGTTCTGAAGCCAGGGCTCGTCTCCTCCTTTGACATGGCACAGAGCTCCATGTCACCGCCTTCACTCACGGTCTTTGTAGGCTGAACCTGGCCCCTCTTTGCGTCCACCTTATGCCCAGCATGGTGCTTTGTATGCAGAAGGTGCTCAATAATGACATCTCTGTAGCCCTGTGTACCTGGCACTGGGCTATGGGAGAGAGAATCTGAGACACAGTCCCTGCCCTCAAGAATCTTGTTGACCATGTGATCCAGGACCTTCCAGAGCAGGCTGGGCCACCTCATTATAATGGAAGACCTCAGGCCCTTTTCAGATGCCAGTATTGCTCCTACCTGGAGACTCAGACATCTGTCCCTGAGAGCATTTTGCCCGTCATGCCCTGGCAAGTCCTTCATCAGGGCACACTCAGGGAGGCTTTAGAGAAGAGAGGTCTTGTTCACTGGTCTGGAGCGTCGCTGCCTTCAGCCACAGAGACCTTAGACTGTACGCCTGCGGCAAGAAGATGGGATCTGGCAGGGTTTGTGTGCCTTGTGTTGATTACATTTTAATGGGTAAACACCCTTTCCTTTATGCAAATCCCCGAGAAAATTTATTACTTTTTTTTTTTTTTTTTTTGAGATGGAGTCTCGCTCTGTCGCCCAGGCTGGAGTGCAGGGGCGCGATCTCAGCTCACTGCAAGCTCTGCCTCCCGGGTTCATGCCATTCTCCTGCCTCAGCCTCCCGAGTAGCTGGGACTACAGGCGCCCGCCACCACGCCCGGCTAATTTTTTGGATTTTTAGTACAGACGGGATTTCACCGTGTTAGCCAGGATGGTCTCGATCTCCTGACCTCGTGATCCACCCGCCTTGGCCTCCCAAAGTGCTGGGATTACAGGCATGAGTCACCGCGCCCGGCCAGAAATTTATTACTTTAAAAAATCAGTTGGATTTTTAGCCTGGTATTTTATTGCTCTTGAAAAATGTGCGTGTTACAGCTTGGGATGGGACATCCTGCTTTTTCATCAGGGGGCTGAGTGTGAACAAAGTTGAGCCTGGACAGGGGCCATTTCTGACCAGAGCCATCAGCTTGTCTCCCTTTTCCTGTCACAGTTGCTATGGGCCCCCTTATCAGAACATCTGGCTTCCATCTGACTGATGGTATCATCAAGGCTTAGGCTAGAGAGTCTAAGAAGGTTCTAGCATTATCCAGGGAGGGAGGCTCAGGGCCTAGTTTCTTATCCAGTGGAAAAGGGAACATTGCCCTCTCCTGAACTGGGGATCTCAGAGCCACCCTCACTATCATGACTTTTTAAAAAAAGATCTTTCATTTTTCCGAACAAATGGAAAGATACTATGTTTATCGAGAAAAATGTGATAAAAATATATACATTTAGTGCATTTCCAATTAACATCCTAATGGAGCTTAAACATTTTTAAAACAGACTTTTTTATTTTTAACCGTTTTAGGAGTCACAGCAAAATCGAGTGGAAAGTACAGCGTTCCCATATACCCTTGGCCCCTATGTATTCATACTCTTCACCATCAGCATCCCTGCCGGAGGGCTATGTTTGTTACAATCAATGAACTTGTAGTGACACTTTGTAATCAACCAAAGTACACAGTGTACATGAGGGTTCCATTCTTGGTTCTGTATATTTGATGGGTTTTGACAAATGTATCCACCATTACAGTATCATACAGAGGGTTTCACTATGCTAAAAATCCCACGTTCCACCTATCCATGCCATTAAAAAGTGCATGTAATCGTGTTAGGCCACTGGAGAGAAAATAAAACCTGATCAATATTGATTTCAGATTATCTTCTGAGCATTGTGGTTTTTATGAAGTTATCGCTGCATGCCCTGTGTTTCCTGTCCTGCTTTTCTTAATATTATTTCCTACATGCATTTCCACATATTGACACAGTCCACACATCATTCTTTTTTTGTTTTTTCGAGACAGAGTCTTGCTCTGTCGCCCAGGCTGGAGTGCAGTGGCACGATCTCAGCTCACTGCAACCTCTGCCTTCTGGATTCAAGCAATTCTCCTGCCTCAGCCTCCTGAGTAGCTGGGATTATAGGCACCTGCCACCATGCCCAGCTATTTTTTGTATTTTTAGTAGAGACGGGGTTTCACCATGTTGGCCAGGCTGGTCTCAAACTCCTGACCTTGTGATCCACCCGCCTCAGCCTC